>NC_000003.12:47585757-47888787 GCF_000001405.40 Homo sapiens | reverse complement strand
GACAAGAAATAATGGGAGAAAATTCTAGAAAGTTGTTTGGAATCCAATCTTGCTAAGCTTCAAATGTCCCACTGAAAAGTTTAAAGCTTACTACTGTGTCTGGAATTGGTGGGTTCTTGGTCTCACTGACTTCAAGAATGAAGCCACGGACCCTCGCGGTGAGTGTTACAGCTCTTAAGGTGGTGCGTCTGGAGTCTGTCCCTTCTGATGTTCAGATGTGTTCGGAGTTTCTTCCTTCTGGTGGGTTCGTGGTCTTGCTGGCTCAGGAGTGAAGCTGCAGACCTTGGCAGTGAGTGTTACAGCTCTTAAGGCAGCGCGTCTGGAGTTGTTCGTTCCTCCCGGTGGGTTTGTGGTCTCACTGGGCTCAGGAGTGAAGCTGCAGATCTTCGCGGTGAGTGTTACAGCTCATAAAAGCAGAGTGGACCCAAAGAGTGAGCAGTAGCAAGATTTATTGCAAAGAACGAAAGAACAAAGCTTCCACAGTGTGGAAGGGGACCCGAGCGGGTTACCAGTGCTGGCTCGGGCAGCCTGCTTTTATTCTCTTATCTGGGCCCACCCACATCCTGCTGATTGGTAGAGCCGAGTGGCCTGTTTTGTCAGGGCACTGATTGGTGCGTTTACAATCCCTGAGCTAGATACAAAGGTTCTCCGTGTCCCCATCAGATTAGTTAGATACAGAGTTTCGACACACAGATTCTCCAAGGCCCCACCAGAGCAGCTAGATACAGAGTGTCGATTGGTGCACTCACAAACCTTGAGCTAAACACAGGGTGCTGATTGGTGTGTTTACAAACCTTGAGCTAGATGCAGAGGTTCTCCAAGGCCCCACCAGAGCAGCTAGATACAGAGTGTCGATTGGTGCATTCACAAACCTTGAGCTAAACACAGGGTGCTGATTGGTGTGTTTACAAACCTTGAGCTAGATACAGAGTGCCGATTGGTGTATTTACAATCCCTGAGCTAGACATAAAGGTTTTCCAAGGCCCCACCAGAGCAGCTAGATACAGAGTGTCGATTGGTGGATTCACAAACCTTGAGCTAAACACAGGGTGCTGATTGGTGTATTTACAATCCCTGAGGTAGATATAAAGACTCTCCACGTCCCCACCAGACTCAGGAGCCCAGCTGGGTTCACCTAGTGGATCTCGCACTGGGGCTGCAGGTGGAGCTGCCTGCCAGTCCTGCGCCGTGGTGCGTTCGCATTCCTCAGCCTTTGGGTGGTTGATGGGACTGGGCGCCGTGGAGCAGGGGGTGGTGCTTGTCAGGGAGGCTCGGGCGGCACAGGAGCCCATGGAGGGGTGGGAGGCTGAGGCATGGCGGGCTGCAGGTCCCGAGCCCTGCCCCGCGGGAAAGCAGCTAAGGCTCAGTGAGAAATCGAGCGCAGCACTTATGGGCCGGCACTGCTGGGGGACTCAGTACACCCTCTGCAGCCACTGGCCCGGGTGCTAAGTCCCCCATTGCCCGGGGCCAGCAGGGCTGGCTGGCTGCTCCAAGTGCGGGGCCCACCAAGCCCACGCCCACCCGGAACTCCAGCTGACCCGCAAGTGCTGCGCGCAGCCCCGGTTCCTGCTCGCGCCTCTCCTTCCACACCTCCCTGCAAGCTGAGGGAGCTGGCTCTGGCCTTGGCCAGCCCAGAAAGGGGGTCCCACAGTGCAGCGGCGGGCCAAAGGGCCCCTCAAGTGCCGCCAAAGTGGGAACCCAGGCAGAGGAGGCGCCGAGAGCAAGCGAGGGCTCTGAGGACTGCCAGCACGCTGTCACCTCTCACTACCATGTTCTGAAACTGTGGTGACTGCCTATGATAGCAGATAAAGTAGCTCCAGGTCAGCTTTAGGAAGATTTACTTGTTCTCAGTAAGTGTGATGAACTGGAAGACAAAGAGTTGAAAGCAAACAATCCTGTTAGAAATTTGATTCAGGTAGTGGCAGATGAAACGCTGAGGATATGAGAGGGGAAATATAACAGGTGAAGATAAAGTGAAACTGGAATTTGGAAGGTGTGTGAGAAAAAGGAATTGAAGGTCATGCTGTGATGTGAGGCTGGTTTTCCCAGCCAGTGGTAGTATAGGTAATGGAAAGACCCAACAGAAGAGCACAGTTCATTGAAGGAGTTAGTAAGTTCCACATCAGACATTGCTTTTGTGAAACTCTGGGGATATGTGGGTGGTGGTCTCTAGAAATTGCCTGATAGCTGGGCTTGGTGGCTCATGCCTGTAATCTCAGCACTTTGGGAGGCCTTGGCAGGCAGATTACTTGAGGCCAGGAGTTTGAGACCAGCCTGAGCAACATGGCAAAAAACCCATCTCTATGGAAAAATACAAAAATTAGGTGGGCATAGTGGCATGTACCTATAGTCCCAACTGTTTGGGAGGCTGAGGTGGGAGGATTGCTCGAGCCCAAAAGGACAAGGCTGCAGTGAGCCAAGATCATGCCACTGTGCTCCAGCCTGGGAGATAGATCAAGATCAGGTCTCAAAACAAACAACAAAAAAGAAGTTGCCTTATATATCCATGAGACAAGGGAAAGGGCTTGGTGAGAACTACCTTCTGGGAGAGAGAAAGCAGTTTCTGCTTATGCACAGTTACATTTATTTGTATAGGTCGAGTTACTGCATGCCTGTATCATAGACAATGCGACTTTATGAAATATGTTGTTTACTGAAAAATGCTGAACTTATTGAAAAATATTTATAGTGGTCTGGGGCCAGTGGCAGCTAGTTACACAAGTAAGATCTTCTTTGAGCTTGCTGTAGAACAAAGGCATTAGCCGGGCGCGGTGGCTCACGCCCGTAATCCCAACACTTTGGGAGGCCGAGGCGGGCGGATCATGAGGTCAGGAGATCGAGACCATCCTGGCTAACACAGCGAAACCCCAACTCTACTAAAAATGCAAAGAATTAGTTGGGCGTGGTGGCAGGCGCCTGTAGTCCCGGCTACTCGGGAGGCTGAGGCAGGAGAATGGCATGAACCCAGGAGGCGGAGCTTGCAGTGAGCCGAGATGGCGCCACTGCACTCCAGCCTGGGTGACAGAGCGAGATTCCGTCTCAAAAAAAAAAAAAAAAGAACAAAGGCGTTAACAAATTTGCACAGTTGTTGGCTATGGTTTTTCCCCATTACATTTTAAAACTAGAAAAATACTCAGTTTTTGACTAAAAGTACATATGGTTCAAACATCAAAAAGTACAAAGTGCTCTCCATTACAAAAACCTCCTACCAAGACAAGATGGTATCATCTCATTGTTTTCTGCTCCTCCCCTGTAAATACAACTAAATAGTCTGGAAATAATTGAAGATAATTCCATAAAAGAATATGAGGTAGAAAGAAGGCAAACCTGGTAGGGATCTCAGGACTTGAGGAATGGCAATACAGTGAATTCCCTGGGACTGATGAATTGATTGATTGATTGATTGATTGATTGATTGATGGTAGAGATGGGATCTTGCTATGTTGCCCAGGCTAGCCTTGACCTCTTGACCTCAAGTGATCCTCCTTGCTTGACCTCCCAAAGTGCTGGTATTACAGGCATGAGCCACTGCGTCCATCCCCTGGGTTTTCTTTTTGTCTCCTACATATCCCTGGCTGGGCACTGGAGAGGCCTGTAACCTGGAATTACCAACAGGCATAGACTGAAAAGAAAAGGAAAGGAAAAAAGAAAACAAATAGAGAAAATCTGTTCTCTATTGCCAAAAAAACAAGAAAGAAAAAAACCCAGCAAAGACCTAATGGTGAGCCCTGTTTCACTACCCATCCCCAGCAGTGGGCTCAGTCTGCCTGCAGGTACAGTGTCAATGCAGCCCATAAGGGCCTTCCTGTTGTCCACTCCATACTCAGCAGAAGCTATAGGCCTGGTCCGCCCACATCACCAGCAACTGCAGGGAGGCCTGTCCCCTACCAGGTAACAGCACCAGTGGCTTCTATAGCCCTGGTGTCTTGTAATCCTCTACCCAGGGGCAGGAGACTTTCGTAGGTTTCAGAACCTCTACTTCCTTCCCCTTAGCAAGAGAAAGCCCCCGAGGTAGGTGTTTCCTGCTCCCAGCAACCCCAGCAGAGATCAAACAGGAGGTCTGCCTGGGTCCCAGGCAGCCAGAGAGCAGTCCAGAGGAAGCTCTCTATTCTATGTTTCCAGCATCACTCAGCCCCTATGTGCTGACACTGGGTGACACAGGTAAGTCCCTACAGCCCTTTCAGGCAGTACCAAAAGGGATTAGTTAGAACCTTAGCAGAATCAGAACACAACAGGCCATAAATGCATTGCAAGGGCTCTAGGAACCAAATTGTCATCAGAACTACAGTCATAACCTGTAGACTAAATATAAACAGGGTGATTGCATGCTAAAGTACAAAATCAGAATTTTAAAGCAGCCATCATAAAAGTGCTTTAACAAGCAATTATGAATTCTCTTGAAACAAATGAAAACTAAAAACCTCAGTAAAGAAATAGAAGTTACATAAAAAGAACCAAATGTTAATTGTCAATATGAAAAATATAATAATTAAAATTAAAAACTTCAATGGGCTCAGCAGCAGACTGCAGATAACAGAGGACAGAATCAGTGACGTTGAGGACAGATCAATAGGATTTATTCAATCTGAACAACAGACGAAAAAATGGTCTACAAGGAAAAAACATATCTTCAGACCCATGGGACAATAACAAAAGATCTAACATTTGTATCATCAGAATCTCAGGAGAGGAGCAAGGATGCAAGGCTGAACAACTGTTCAAAGAAATAATGACAACAAACATCCCAAATTTGACAAAAGACAAAACTTACAGATTCAAGCAACTGAACAAATACCAAATAGGATAAATGTGGAGAAATCATGCCATGACTTTTCATAATTAAACTTTTATAAACTAAAGACAAAAATCTGTAAAAAAAGCAAAGAGATATGATGCATTAGGGAAACAGCAATTTTTTTTTTTAACCTTCCTTATGGTGCTGAGGAAACAGCATTTAAATGACAGCCTGTTTCTTATCAGAAACTGGGGAATGCAAAAAGAAGTGGCACAACATTTTTCAAGTGCCAAAAGAAAAGAACTGTCAACTGCAAATTATTTGGTAAAACAATCCATCAGGAATGAAGGGGAAATAAATAAAAAAGACATTTTTAGATAAAGGAAAACTAAGAATTTGTTGCTAGTAGACATACCCTTAGAGAATGGCTAAAGGAGGCTCTCCAAAAAAATAAGATTTGGTAACAGAAGGAGGCTTGGAATTTCAGAAATAAAAGAACAACAATGGAATGGGTAAAAATATGGAAATAGCCAGGTATGGTGGCTCATGCCTGTAATCCCAGCACTTTGGGAGGCCAAGGCGGGTGGATCATCTGAGGTCGGGAGTTCGAGACCAGCCTGACCAACATGGAGAAACCCCCGTCTCTACTAAAAATACAAAATTAGCCGGGCGTGGTGACGCATACCTGTAATCCCAGCTACTCAGGAAGGCTGAGGCAGGAGAATCGCTTGAACTCGGGAGGTGGAGGTCGTGGTGAGCCATGCCACTGCACTCCAGCCTGAGCAACAAGAGCAAAACTTGGTCTCCAAAAAAAAAGGAATATAATAGACTTATCTCCTCATGAATTTTTTAAAGTCATAAATCATATTTGAAGCACAAATTGTAATGCCATCTGATGTAGTGCTTAATCTATGAAGAGGAAACACTTAAGACATATTTTAGGGCTGGGCGCAGTGGCTCACACCTGTAATCCCACCACTTTTGGAGACCAAGGTGGGTGGATCACCTGAGGCCAGGAGTTTGAGACCAGCCTGGGCAACATGACGAAACCCCATCTCTACTAAAGATAAAAAGAAAAATTAGCCAAGCATGGTAGCGCACACGTGTAATCCCAGCTGCTCGGTTGGCTGAGGCATGAGAATCACTTGAACCTGGGAGGCAGAGGTTGCAGTGAGCCGAGATTGTGCCACTACACTCCAACCTGGACGACAGAGTGAGACTCTGTCTTTAAAAAAAAAAATTAAAGTAGGGAGAAAATAAAGGATCCTAAATGGAAGTAAGGTTCCAGTAGGTCACTCAAAGTAGTAAAACATAGCTGGGTGTGGCGGTGTGCATCTGTAGTCCCAGCTACTCAGGAGGCTGAAGACGGCAGGATCACTTGAGCCCAGAGTTTGAGACCAGCCTGAGCAACACAGTGAGACCCCATCTCTAGAGGAAAAAACAGTAGTAGAACATTGATACCAGTTTGTTGTATGTATATTGTAATACCTAGAGCAACCACTAAGAAAACTATACAGAGCAATATACTCAAAAGCTTTTTTTTAATAAAAATAGAATTCTAAGAAATGTTCAGGTAACCTTGGGTGAGATGTAATTTGAAAAAATGAAAAAAGGAAATTAAAAAGATTAAAAATGTTCAGGTAACCAACAGGAAGGCAGGAAAGTGAAACAGAAATGAGAAAAAGAGAGAACAAATAAAAAATAAAATATCAGACTTAAGCCTTAACATAGCAGTAATTATTTTACTTTATTTCATTTATTTTTTTATTTACTGAGATGGAGTTTCACTCTTGTCACCCAGGCTGGAGTGCAGTGGTACAATCTCAGATCACTGCAACCTTCACTTCCCAGGTTCAAGCGATTCTCCTGCCTCAGCCTCCCAAGTAGCTGGGATTACAGGCGCCCACCACAACGCCCGGCTAATTTATGTATTTTTAGTAGAGATGGGGTTTCACCCTGTTGGCCAGGCTGATCTCCAACTCCTGACTTCAGGTGATAAGCCCACCTCGGCCTCCCAAAGTGCTGAATGGATTACAGGCGTGAGCCACTGTACCTGGCCATCAGGAATTATTTTAGAAGCAAATGGTCTGAGTACTACAATTAAAAGACAAAGATTGGAAGAGTATATTATTTTTAAAAAATGACTCAAGTAGGCCAGGTACAGCGGCTCCTGCTTGTAATCCCTTTAGGAGGCTGAGGCAGAAGGATCACTTGAGCCTAGGAGTTCGAGACCAGCCTGAGCAACCCAGGGAGACCCCATCTCTACAAATAATTTAAAAATTAGCCAGGCATGGTGGCACATGCCTGTGGTCCTAGCTATTCAGGAGCTGAGGTAGGAGGATCACTTGAACCGAGGAGGTAGAAGCTACAGTGAGTACAGTCAGCCATGATCACACCTGTCTTAAAAAGAAAAAAAAATTGCCCAAGTATATGCTATCTACAAGAAATGCATAACAAACATAAGGACATAGGTAGGTTGAAAGTTAAAAGATGGAAAGAAATATATCATGTTAACAATTTTTTAAAGTAGCAGTAGCTATATATAATGATTATGCATATATATATATATATATATATATATATATATATATATATATATATATATAGTTGTTTTTTCTTGTTGCCCAGGCTGGAGTGCAGTGGCCTGATCATAGCTCACAGCAGGCTTGACTCGCTGGGCTCAAGCAATCTTCCCACCTCAGCCTCCCAAGTATCTGAGTCTTATAGGCATACACCACCATGCCCCACTAATTTTCTTTCGATTTTTGTAGAGAGGAAGTCTCACTTTGTTGCCCAGGCTAGTCTCAAACTGCTGGCCTCAAGTGATCCTCTGCCTCAGCCTCCCAAAGTGCTGGGATTAAAGATTACGTGTCCTGGAGTGACTATACTAACATCAGACAAAGTAGATGTCGGAGAAAAGAATAAAGGATCAATCCCACTAAGATTGATCCTTACATTTAGAAAACTTAGCAATTCTAAATGTATACACACCAAAAAACAGAGCATCAAGATATATGAAACAAAAACTGACAGAGCTAAAAGGAGAAGTACACAAAGTCACAATTACAGCTGGGGACTTCTGTAACCCACTATGAACAGTTGATAGAACTACTAGACAGAATGTTAGTAAAGATGTAACAGTGCCATCAAACAACAAAATCTCATAAACATTGATAGAAATTCCACTCAGTGACAGAATGTACATTCTTCTCAGGTGTCCATTAAACACTCACCAAGATGGATCTTGGGTCATAAAACCAACTTGAATCAATTTAAAAGATTGAAATTATGATGGGGCATGGTGGTTTGTGCCTATAATCCCAGCACTTTGGGAAGCTGATGTGGGAGGACTGCTTGAGACCGGTCAGTTTGGGCCACATGGCAAGACCTCCATCTCTTCAAAAAAATTTTTTTTGTAAATTATTCAGGTATGGTGGCACGTACCAGTAGTCCCAGCTACTTGGAAGGCTGAGGCATTAGGGTCTCTTGAGCCCAGGAGTTCCAGGTGGCAGTGAGCTGTGATCATGCCACTGTACTGCAGCCTAGGCAACAGACTTCATCTCTTAAAAAAAAAAAAAAAAAAAAAACTGAAATTGGAATTATTTCAGGTATACAAGGTTAGTGCAATAATCAAAAGTAATTGTCAGCCAGGTGTGGTGGCTCACACCTGTAATCCCAACATTTTGGGAGGCCGAGGCAGGTGGATCACGAGGTCAGGAGATGGAGACCATCCTGGCTAACATGGTGAAACCCCATCTCTACTAAAAATGCAAAAAAAAAAAAAAAAAAAAAATTAGCCAGGTGTGGTGGCGGGTACTGTAGTCCCAGCTACTTGGGAGGCTGAGGCAGGAGAATGGCAGGAGGCGGAGCTTGCAGTGAGCTGAGATCACACCACTGCACTCCAGCCTGGGCGACAAAGTGAGACTCCATCTCAAAAAAAAAAAGTAATCTGTTATAGTCTGAAGAAAATAAATTGTAAACACAGAAAAATCGTTTAACAGAATCAAATAGCCATTCATGTTAAAACTCTCAGCAAAGTAGGAATAGAGAGGAACTTATTTAACTTGACAAAGAGCGTCTACAGAAAGCCTACAGCTAACATCATATTTAATGGTGAATAAGTGAATACTTTCTATCTAAGATTGGGAACAAGGCAAGGATATCTACTTGCACCACTCTTTTAAATATAGTGTACTGGAAGTTACTATAGAGATGGAGAACATAGTAGTTGCCATATATTTAGGGATTGGAAAGGGGATGGGGTAGATATGGCTATAGAGGGGTAACATGAAGAAGCCCTATTGATTGTAACCAGCCACTCCAGGCCAGGTAATCTGTAATCCCAGCACTTTGGGAGGCTAAGGTGGTGGTGGTGGTTACACAAAGCTACACTTGATAAAGTTGCATAGCACTACACACACAAACACACACACACACAAATGAGTGCATGTAAAGTGAAAAATCTGAGTAGGCTCTGTGGGTTGTCTCTGTTTCTTGGTTTTGATAGTATACTGTATTTACGTAGGATATCAACACTTGGGGAGACTGGGTAAAAGGGTACACAGGGACCTTCCCTATGTATTTCTTTGCAACTTCCTATGAATCTGTAATTATTTCTCAAAGTTTTAAGCCTCCTAACCTCCCCAGTTTTGTGTCCCATCCTTTCCCTCAAAAACGTTGTTCTGTTTAATTACAATCCTTTCAAAAATTCTTTTAAAATGCATATATAAGTGTATTTGCAATATCTTTTCCCTCATCCCTTTTCAAGACAAATAGTTTCACATTATACTTATGCTTTGTTGTTTTTTTTTTCACTTAATAGAGACCATTGCATAGTAATCATAAAAGAATTTCTCCATGCTTTATTTTTTCACATTCAGAGATTACATTGATATTTCTACCATAATAACCAGTTTTCTATTAACGGACTTCTGGGTTGTTCTTTTGCTTTTAGAAACAATGATCTGGTGGAAACCTTGCACATTTACTATTTGGCTGGTGTGTAAATACACTTCTAGGATAAATTACTAGAAATTGGTTTTCTAGATTAGAATTTATCTGTCCTTGTAATTTTCAGAAAATGACACTGCCAGGCAGCCCTGCCTATGGGTCATACAGTTCACATACCTACCAAGTATATTTCCCTATATTATTCTCAGTAGTTATTTTAAAATTTTAGGACTTTTGACAATATGTTAATATTAATGGCATTTCAGGCCAGGCATGGTGGTTCATGCCTGTAATCCCAGCACTTTGGGAGGCTGAGGTGGGTGGATCACTTGAAGTCAGGAGTTTGAGACCAGCCTGGCCAACATGGTGAAACCCTGTCTCTACTAAAAATACAGAAATTAGCTGGGTGTGGTGGTGCATGCTTGTAATCTAGCTACTTGGGAGGCTGAGGCAGGAGAATTGTTTGAATGGGGAGACAGAGGTTGCAGTGAGCCGAGATCGCAGCATTGCACTCCAGCCTGGGTGACAGATCAAGACTTTGTCTCAAAAAATAAAATGGCATTTCAGTGGGGTTTTTTTATTTTTCTTATACTTAACATTGTACATCTTTTCATAGTTTCAAAAAACTTTGTATCTCTTTTCTATAAAGTCTGTTCATATTGTTTTGCATTTTCCCAGTGGATTATTGGCCTTTGTAGCAGTTACTGATTTGTGGGAGTAATTTATAGAATAAGCTCTTTGTCTTTGGTATGAGGGTCAAGTATTTTTTCTGTTTGTCATTTGCCTTTTGACTTTTATTATAGTGTTTTGTCTTATTTTGTTTTTTGCCACATTGAAGTTTTTTATTTTTCTTTAGTCAAACTTATCTCTTGTGGCCTCTTGACTTTGTGCCAGTTAGAAATGCCTTCCCCCACAGCAAGGTTATACATTTCACAGTATTTTAATGCTCTCAGGTATAGTCCTATTGAAATCCAGAGTAACCTCTCCACAGAGAGGAGGCTATGTTGCCTTAGGCAGGAGACTTTATTTCTGGCCCTGAGTCTGGTTCCATGGGTCTCCTTGGCCTTGTTGAAAATCTGGGTCACTGTTAGAACTGGATCAGGTTAATCTCACATCCTCCATAAAGTGGTTCTTTATAGGGAAAGGAAGGAAAGGGAGTCATTGAATGATCTTCTGGCTCTTATCCCATCTCACAGCAACCTTTATTCCAAAGATAGACTGGTAGAAGAGGTTTTTGTCCTATTGCTTGGAGAGCTAGTGGTTGGAAGACAGAGTCCCTTTGGTCTCTAGGGAAGGGAAACCAAACTTAAAGGACCATTTTTTTCCACTGATCATTTGTGCATGTGTCCCTTAGACTGCTTCTCCACAGGGTCAGGCTCTCTGAATCTGAGGAATC
Organism: Homo sapiens; assembly: GCF_000001405.40. Lineage (NCBI taxonomy): Eukaryota > Metazoa > Chordata > Mammalia > Primates > Hominidae > Homo > Homo sapiens. The sequence continues at coordinate 47,877,706 of NC_000003.12, read as the reverse complement.
TAAAACTGTCCTCCATCACAATGAGAACTTGGGAGGCTTGTCCACATTTCAGCAGCACAACCCTGTGGACTTTTTTCAGAATGAAGTGCTAGTTAGTGGTCTGTCTTTGCTAAACCTTGTATTTTCAAAATGGGCATGTAAAATGTTTGCTTAGCATAATTCCCACTCACCCTCTCCCCTTAGGAATAGCCAGGCCAGAAGAAGGAAGGCCTGTGGTGAGTGGGACAGGAAATGACATCACCACCCCACCGAACAAGGAGCTCCCACCAAGCCCAGAGAAGAAAACAAAGGTAGGTGCCAGAATGGTGGTTATCTTCTACTGCCATAATTTTTAAACGGAGTATCTTCTGCTGTTATTGCTTGAATCACGAATGAAATTTCTTTTTTCTGAGCTGTTATTGTCCTTCCTCATGTTTGGACATGCTTAGAAAATATCTTGTATTCTCATTTACCACAGTGGCCTAAACCAACTTTAAAATCTCAGCCTTTGACCCTATTATCTTATATATCTGTAAAAAATGTTCTGTAGAGGCCGGGCATGGTGGCTCATGCCTGTAATCTCAGCACTTTGGGAGGCCAAGGCGGGCGGATCACATCAGGAGATGGAGACCATCCTGACCAACATGGTGAAATCCCATCTCTACTAAAAATACTAAAATTAACTGGGCGTGGTGATGCATGCCTGTAATCCCAGCTACTCAGGAGGCTGAGGCAGGAGGATTGCTTGAACCAAGGAGTTGGAGGTTGCGGTGAGCCGAGATCATGCCACTGCACTGGGCTCCATCTCAAAAAAAAAAAAAAAAGTTCTGTAGAGATTGTTTCAACTTCCCTTAACAACAACAAAAAGGACAATTGCAAAAATATTCTGAAATAAATTCTGAATTATTTACTATTATCTCAGCGTTAGATGAAAGAAAAAAAAAGATTCTGAAATATCCATTCATGAAAAGAGAATGCAGATTTTGAAGGTGGATCATATAGCTTCAGATGCATAACTAGTACTTATTGCAAAGTTCAAAAGCCACACTGTAGGCTGTGGCTGCTATTGTCCCATCAAGATACAGGTAGTTTCAGCATGTTGTCCAGGGTCTTCAAAAAATTAAAAAGTTATTAAAAAAAATACAGGTAATAATGGCTGAATCACCTCCTGATGCTTTTCTTTTAGAATAGCCACCAAAAGTTAGTTAATTATTAAGAGTTAATTGTTTTACTGAATTAAATCTTCAGGTGCCAAACTGCCAGAATTTGTGCCACTATCATTAAGAAACTATTCCCAGGCCAGGCGCGGTGGCTCACGCCTGTAATCCCAGCACCTTGGGAGGCCGAGGCGGGCAGATCACAAGGTCAGGAGATCGAGGCCATCCTGGCTAAAACGGTGAAACCCCGTCTTTATTAAAAATACAAAAAATTAGCTGGGTGTGGTGGCACACGCTGGTAGTCCCAGCTACTTGGGAGGCTGAGGCAGGAGAATCGCTTGAACCTGGGAGGCAGAGCTTGCAGTGAGCCGAGATCGCCACTGCACTCCAGCCTGGGCGACAGAGAGAGACTCCATCTCAAAAAAAAAAAAAAAGAAAGAAAAAGAAAAAGAAACTATTCCCCATTTTCTTTCTCTATCCTGGTTTCATTCCATTATTTATTGAGCTCAGAAGAAAGAAATGCTAATTTTAAGTTGCATCTATCCTCATTGCTTATAATTTTACTTTGAATTGTGCAATTTATACTTTTTTTAATTTGTTTTTATTCTTGTCTGTTTGATGTTGCCCTTTAAAAAATAAAAATAAAAAATAAACAACAATCAACCTAAAGCCTTTGGCCACCACTCAACCTGCAAAGACTTCAACATCGAAAGCCAAAACACAGCCCACTTCTCTCCCTAAGCAGCCAGCTCCCACCACCATTGGTGGGTTGAATAAAAAACCCATGAGCCTTGCTTCAGGCTTAGTGCCAGCTGCCCCACCCAAACGCCCTGCCGTCGCCTCTGCCAGGCCTTCCATCTTACCTTCAAAAGACGTGAAGCCAAAGGTAAGTGGTCACCTAACTACTGTGCCGAGGAAAATTGTTCCCCTCTGAGTGTCAGATAGACAGATCCTTGTTGCTAACAGACAACAGAATCAGGCTGGTGGAATTGGGAAAAGGCAAGGGAAATGGGGGAGAGGGTGATTTGAAAATTGGCATGGCTACTCTGGACGCGCTGCCTATGGGTTAGCCCTGCTCCACGAGGAGCAGCCAAAAAAAGAAAAAAGAAAAGGAAATCAATTTGGGGCCCATTGATGCAGACATTAACATTTTGAAGCCCTTTTATGCTCTTACCTTTCCCTTCCCTGTTTGGAGGTAATACTCTATCTACTTAGGTTCTTCCTCCTTTCTCTCAGCTACCTACTCTTTACCTATTTAAGCACTTATTAACCAGTTTCCTCTACTCCACATACCAGTTAGATATTCTTTTTTGGTATAATTCCCACATCAAATGTAATTCTTTGTCTTTCCCTGTTATCATCCTGCAGAAGTTTTATCCATTACTATTGTGATATAACTAGTTCTTCCAGCTTATCTCAGCATGTTCCAGCATGATGTGATAACTTACTTTGCTTTGGGCATTAGGCCACCTCTCACTGAGCTACTTCTGAAGTCATCCAGTTTTCCAGGTCACCCACGGTTTCTGTATTGCCCAGAAACTGGTCACATTTGGAGCAGCATTAGTGTTACAGAATTGCTCCAGGAGGAGAGGATAGTGGAGGCTGTGGCTGCATTCCTTAACATCTTGTGTTATTTGAGAAGGGCCTTTAGGTCAGCCTGATAGTACTCTTTAAATTCATGGTACGAAATAGTTTCCCATGTTAAAATGTCAGTTTTTAATTTAATATGGTGAAGAAAACTGTGGAACCTAGGAGTTGAAGTCTAGGCTGAAGCCCTGGCCAAGAAACTGAAAAATCCTCTCATAAACTAGTAATGATAAAATCTTGTAAAGCTTTCTCTCTGATCCTCATTTATCCAGTTGGTTGCTTTTCTTGATCTTTAGAAAACAATAGGTTTGAATAAGAGGGCAGAGGGGAGGTGCCTGGAGCCCTGGCAGCAGGTCCTCCCTGTTGCTTATTCAGCAGCGGCTTCTGGGGGGTGACAGAGGAGAGTAGGAAGGAGAGGTGTCTAGTGAAATTTCACTCTATAATAATCATATAAATGAAGTGTAGTGTACTAGTTGCTGTATATACATGAACTTTTTTTTAATTTTTATTTTTTTGAGATGGAGCCTCGCTCTGTCACCCAGGCTGGAGTGCAGTGGCACAATCTGGGCTCATTGCAACCTCCACCTCCCAGGTTCAAGCATCTCTTGTGCCTCAGCCTCCCGAGTAGCTGGGATTACAGGCACCCGCCACCACGCCTGGCTAATTTTTTGTATTTTTAGTAGAGCTGGGGATTCACCACATTGGCCAGGCTGGTCTCGAACTCCTGACCTCAGGTGATCCGCCTGCCTCGGCCTCCCAAAGTGCTGGGATTACAGGCATGAGCCACCGCGCCAGTCCTGTTCTAATCTCTTTTATCCAGATGAGGAAATAAAGCTCAGAGAGGCCCAGCGATTTGCCAAATAGCACACTTAGAATTAAGGGGCCAAACCAGGACTGCAGCTCAGGCTTCTGACCCAGATTTGGCCAGTGGCCTCTTCATCTGCAGCTTATTTTGGTAGAAAGATTTGTAGAGACAGAGAGAGAAAAACCTATTCAGAAAAAATAAGTAGATTACGATTCTGGCAGAGAAGAAAATGTAAATTGGGAAACAGCAGAATAGCTCCAGTTAACTTCTGCAGGTTTTTGAAGCCAAGAGCCTGACATCTAAAAGATGCAACATCCTTTTGAGATTTCTATCCCACATAACTTTTTTCTAACTTATTTTATCATTATTACCCTCATGGCAAAATAATAAGACTATGCTAGATTATTCTGAATAATAGTCATAGTCTTAAAAATTTGATGCACATCCCAGAGAGCATCTGGTTTAGTCCTCAAATTTTAGAGCAATAGAAAAGGGAATCCTCTGGCCAAAATCCTACATGTTTCCAGCAGAGCTGGTAGCAGAACCACTTTCCCTGATTCCAGCCTTAGCGTTCTTCACACCATACTTAAGGCCTTTATTTGTGGAAATTGTCATTACCCTACATTTGCAGAGTTAGACTTTGGATGCCAGCCCTTAATTTCTAGTACCTCCTTAGCTGATTTTTCCATTTAACGATATCCTGCTTGTCGCTACCTACATACTGCCCTCTTTATAGCCACTTCTCTTGGAGGAAGAGAGCTGAGCCCACTGTGTCTGTGATTTGGCATACTCTCTTTTGTAATGTGGTAATTTGTTTATCAAAATAGTGTCTTCATCCCCTATCCCCGTAGAAACCAGGCTAAACTGATTCTTTCCCTTATTCACTAGAGACGTCATTCTCAGCCTCCATGTAAAAGGAACTAGAGTGACCCAGATGCCAAGCATCTATACTTGAGAGACTTTTTCCCTTTTGCTTTCAGACTGTAGCTGTGATATCAGTGCTTTTTATCCCTTCTGTTGATCAGGCCTGCCTCTTCTCATCGTCTCTGTGCTGAGACCTTTCATCCTTTATTTCCTGACATCACATATTATCAAAGCTGGTCCTTCATCACCCTCCATTCTAATCTCTTTATCCCGATGAGGAAATAAAGCTCAGAGGCTCAGTGATTTGCTGGAGTAGGGCTACAGCTCACGCTTCTGTCCCAGATTTGGCCAGTGGCCTCTCCATCTGCAGCTCAGTCCTGTTCAGCATTCTCTAGGTGCGTGTTAGCCAAAAGAATGGCTCGATTTGAACATAATTTTTAGTTTTTGTTTGTGTATGTTTAATCTTTGGTCAAGTATAATACATTAGATTTTATTACATTAAATACATTAGTATTTTTGGCATTTCTACAGAGGTTACATTAAAATATATGCGTGTGTGTGTGTGTATGATATATATAGCAGTAGATTTGGAGGCAAACGTAGGTTGTGGTGATGTACCCATCAGGGCTGTTCATTCTCACTGGCTCAAGTTGGATTGAAGTAGTTTTACTCTCTGTTGTGTGCCCTCAGATCACATAGCACCCTGCATGGCCAGTTTGTTGCTTTATGTGGAGGACTTTGCTCTTAGAACCATATGTATTTTCCTGTCAGTAGCTGCTGAACCCACAGTACCTCCTGTTCTCCAATACATGGTTGTATAGACACATCTTGTGTCCAGGTGCAGTGGCTCATGCCTGTAATCCCAGCACTTTGGGAGGCTGAGGCAGGCGGATCATGAGGTCAGGAGATCGAGATCATCCTGGCTAACACGGTGAAACCCTGTCTCTACTAAAAATACAAAAAATTAGCTGGGCGTGGTGGCACGTGCCTGTAGTCCCAGCTACTCTGGAGGCTGAGTCAGGAGAATTGCTTGAACCTGGGAGGCGGAGGCTGCAGTGAGCCGAGATCATGCCACTGCACTCCAGCCTGGGCAACAGAGTGAGACTTCGTCTCCAAAAACAAAACAAAACAAACAAAAAAAGAAGCATCTTGTAGCGTGACTCCTTGGGGCTATTGCTGACCTGCAGGCCTCATTCCCACTTTCCTATTTCCAGCCCATTGCAGATGCAAAGGCTCCTGAGAAGCGGGCCTCACCATCCAAGCCAGCTTCTGCCCCAGCCTCCAGATCTGGGTCCAAGAGCACTCAGACTGTTGCAAAAACCACAACAGCTGCTGCTGTTGCCTCAACTGGCCCAAGCAGTAGGAGCCCCTCCACGCTCCTGCCCAAGAAGCCCACTGGTGAGTATTGCCTTTCTCTCCCATGGGAACTAGGGAGGGGAAAATGGGATCTTGGCTTTGCCCCAGCCATAGCTCTAGCTAGTATCACAAACAGCTGTGCAGGCCTGCTTACGCACCGGTCCTTAGTGGACTACCTGGAACAGTGGTAGCCCTGTGGGCCTGGTACTTAACAAGCCTTGATCTCTGTGTGAGCTTAGCAGTTGTATGTATTCAGAAAAATCTTGAGTGAAGGCAGAAAAATGTACTGCTCATGAATTTCCAGGTAGAATTTACTCTTGCCTTAGTAACCCACAGCACCTAGCACGTGGTGCTCATGGGCTTACATGATGATAAGAAGAGGGCGTGGTGCTCATGGGCTTACATGATGATAAGAAGAGGGCTATTCAAGTCCATAGGCATGTATTGACAGCCTACTTTTAAGGCCACATAGAAGGCTTATCAGGGCAGTAGAGAAGAATAAGACTCAGTGCCTGACCATCTAATTTACCACTCCATTCCCAGGGACTAACACAGTCCCTGGCTCAAAGTAGATATTCAGTAATTGTTAAATAATGAGGAATCTCACTATTGGATGAACTATCCAACAGGTCAGTTTGTTAAATGTTATATTAATAAGTATATTTTGTACAGCCATTAAGACTGAGGGAAAACCTGCAGAAGTCAAGAAGATGACTGCAAAGTCTGTACCAGGTAATAGCCCATCCGCCATTTTGTAGAGCCCTAACTTGAACCCCCACCTCCTCTGTGGCTTAAGTCTCCCTTTTTCTCTCTCTCCCTGAACCCGTGTTATCTCTCACTCCCTTCTTTGCAGCTGACTTGAGTCGCCCAAAGAGCACCTCCACCAGTTCCATGAAGAAAACCACCACTCTCAGTGGGACAGCCCCCGCTGCAGGGGTGGTTCCCAGCCGAGTCAAGGCCACACCCATGCCCTCCCGGCCCTCCACAACTCCTTTCATAGACAAGAAGCCCACCTCGGCCAAACCCAGCTCCACCACCCCCCGGCTCAGCCGCCTGGCCACCAATACTTCTGCTCCTGATCTGAAGAATGTCCGCTCCAAGGTTGGCTCCACGGAAAACATCAAGCATCAGCCTGGAGGAGGCCGGGTGGGTCCAGGGAGCTTGGGGTCCTGGCATGCTGGCCCCTGCATCTTCCCCTCCATTTCCACCCACTGTTCCCAGGCCCACCAAAGAAGCAGGCAGTCAGGACACTGGACTCAGCATCAGGGTATTTCAGCCGGGGCTCTGTAGTGGGTTTTGTGCCCCAGCAGCAGGGAGGCGGGGTAGGCTGAGCTCTGGGCTTTCTCTTCCTGTCTCAGTAAGAAAGGCTCCTGTTCTAGATGTTGGGGTCTGAGTTTACATTTTTGCTTGGATGTAAAAGGATTCTTTTGTAGAAGAAACAGAGGAGGCCTCAGAGACTCTGCAAGTGAGAGAGACACTTGACATGAGCCTAGTTTTTCATGGTTCTTAGCCTGCACAGAGAATGTCAGGATAGGCAGAAGGTAGAACACCTCTTACTTCCACAACCCATGACTTGAGTGGAATATATCTGAAAGAGGACTAGGGTGTCCTCTTATGGCCAGGATGAGTCGTGCTGTGAGCCTCTGGCCTTCCTAAACAGCAGGACTGCACTGCATATAGTGATGGAGAAAGATCACAGTGCTTCACTTTTAGGATTTTCCGGTGGTTAAGATTTTCTGGTTGCATCAGTCCCAGAATTATTTAACTGTTGGTAACCATGGGAACTCTGCGTGAAAAGGTGGTGATGAAAGTCCGTCTGAGAATGTTCGGGTCCCTGGAGTAGTGACCATCTCATCTCCTAGGTCATTCACTAGCTCTACACCACCACCACCATCCAGGGCAGCATACTTAAATTGCTTAATCTGGAGCTGTTAAGAAATTCAGGAGGGACAAAAATGAGGTGGAATCCTGGTGCTGTTGGAAGACACTGATGGCAAGCTGAGATCAGTCTAGAGAAGAGCCTGAGAGTTGCTTGTGGTAGCGACAGTGGCTCTGGTGTGCCCAGCAGGCCTCTGGGCTGTGCTGCTGATGGCCTATCTCCCCGTCTTTGCTCTTATGGTTTCATGGTGCAAAAGTTACAGGAGTTCTTGGGTGGGGAGTTGAGTGACTTGATCTAGTGAATTGTTTTCTGCTTCAACATACCTAAAGAGTCTGACACTTTCTATCAGTATTGACTTCCTGTGACCGTGGCAGCTGCTTGGGGCATATCAGGACATTTGGCATGGGGTGGGGGGTATTGTAATTGGAAAATCATGCCCCAGCACACTCTCAGAATCACTAATTTGGTTGTCTTAGCCTTCCTTTGTGCCTTTTCTTCATTAGCTAGTGTCTTGATCTGTTCCTCATGTCTTAAGACTATGGCCTGCAGCTCCTTCTTTTGTGGTCCTCTACTCAAGGATCTTTGACTTGGTCTACCCTGGGAAATGTATGGTTTTGCCTAGGATCAAAGGCCACCTGCTTTTGCCTGGTGGCCTGACCTGGATTTGAGTCCCCTACAGCCTTCTTCCCTTCTTGGCTTTTGAGCTCTTATCCTCTTGGTTTGAAATTTGCCCTCCCTTTATCTCCATCCAGGCCAAAGTAGAGAAAAAAACAGAGGCAGCTGCTACAACCCGAAAGCCTGAATCTAATGCAGTCACTAAAACAGCCGGCCCAATTGCAAGTGCACAGAAACAACCTGCGGGGAAAGTGAGTTTTATTTAGACCCACCTCTGCAAGGTGAAGATGGTAAAATACTTCTTCCAGCCTGAGCCACATGCCCTCTCTTGCACTTTTTCCCTTTCCCTAACTAGTTTCTACTTCTTCTCCCCTATATTCCCTTCTCTGTGCTTGATGACTCGGCCATCAGAAAATTTTTTGTATTAACCTTGAAAGTTAATAGAGTTGGGAGCCCATTAGCCCTTTGGAGAATACATATGTGTATAATTTTTGGCTGGATAAAATGGATCCAAAGACTTTCATTCATTTCCTTCACACTGACCTTGATGTGAAACCTACCTGGTATGGATGCAAATACAGTGCACCCACATTCGTTATCAAGAAGACATGGCAGGGGTAATTTCCACCACCTGGAACCCTGGAGCCCCTGTGCTTTACCTTGAAGTAGAAGATCCCTCTCATAACGCTGCTGGGTATGGAGATAACTTCATTTGTCCTGGTTCCCCGGGTCACCTCTTAACTGAAAGTTAGGATGCTCATTCCCAATGGAAACCCACTTAGTATAGGTATGCAGCATCAACTGGAGGGCAGAGGTAAGCTGAAACCACAGGTTCTTTCCCCTTGCCTCTGTAAACCTGGAAACCAGGCCCCTCCTGAGTGCTTGCAACACCTACCTTCCTTAGCTGTAGCAGGTAGGTGTGCCTCTGCCAGAGAAGCCCGCACTCCAGCCCTTAGGGACCAGCATGGGAAGTCTCAGCCTAGGGCATTCCTACAGTGAAGAAAGCTGCACCGTGGCTTCTGGGTGACTACTAGAGGTCCTAGGTTCAGACCAAGGCTCATTAAGTAGTTTGCTAACCACTTGGTTACCATCAAAGTTGTGAAAAAGGCTAGAAATGAGTAGGTACAATGAGGTATATGGGTTGGAGTTTCTCAGGATTTCTGTACTCTGTGGAGAACTCTTCAGCCTGGGACCTGCATCATTTGCAAAGAAAGGAAGTTGGCAACTATTCCTTCTTGAGAAGGTCCTAGGATTCTTTGTTCCAGACTCTTAGAGCCAGGGCCTTGGTGTTTCTCAGTTCCAGGGGAAGCCATTCCCGTACTATACAGTGTGGTTGTGCCCCCAGGATTGGGCGTCCTTGCTGCCCTGCTTAGAGCCTGTTCTTTCCGCATGGGCATCTCACAGGGCAGAGGATTAGGCATATGGAGGATTCAAGAAGGTATTTTACCCTTGAGTCAAAAATACTATGCCTTCTCGAGCCCTGAGACAAATGGGCTAAGTGTGGAGGCTGTAGCCGCTCCCCTGGTGTTGGAGATTCTGTATCCATTTGTATGCACATCTGAGCACTGGCCCCTCCTTCCTGTTAGTATCATCCGTGCCCTTGTTGCCAGCTGCCCAGTGCTTCTCAGAGCAGCCTTTGCTTCTGAGAGTGGGTCTGGCTGCAGCCATTCCAGGGCCCAGATTTAAGGGAAGCACCCTCTTTGGGTGAGAACAGGTCCACATGATAAGACTTGCAGAGAAGAGCCAAGGACACTGTGCCCAGCTCTTGAGGAGGGAGCAGAGCAAGGAGGTAGGGCTGTGCCTGGTTGGGCATCAGGTTAGGCTGCTGCCTGGGCCTTGTGAACCACAACCCCGCCCCCAAAGGAGCGGTGATGACCAACATGCAGTGCCTGCGCAGCTCTGCTCCTGTCGTTGTGTTGTCTGTTCACGTTTTTCACTCCCCTTCTTGCTCTTTCACATTTCTTTTCCTGTGCTTTTCCACATCTGTTCTGTAGAAGGTGGGGGTGGAGGTTTAACAACACTTTTTGTTGGTCATTGTGATCACGTGTGGACTCACTGCCTTCCCTGTGTCGGTTCTAACCAGTCCTCTCCCTTTGTGTTGTTTTTTCTATTTTCTAACACTCCAGGTCCAGATAGTCTCCAAAAAAGTGAGCTACAGCCATATTCAGTCCAAGTGTGGTTCCAAGGACAATATTAAGCATGTCCCTGGAGGTGGTAATGTAAGTATAAGCTCTGGTTAGCTGGCATCTGAGATATAGCCCACTGTGGGGTATACTAGGGAGAGAGCCAGGTGCCCATGTAGATAGAATCCCAGTGACCTGAGCTGTAGCGTTCTGTAAGAAGCAGACTAGCAAAGTGAGGGGACCTTGATGCTCCCATGTTAGACAGGGTGTTTCTGGTGAGCCCCTAAACACCAGCATGGTGATATCCACTCAGTATCTTTTTACCCATATGGGTGGGAGGCTTTGGATTTTTCTCCAGCTATGTCAGAGCCTGGGTCTGAGCACAGTGGTCAGCAGCAGACCTGTTGCCTGTCTGGAGTCCGTTCCTGGGATGTGTATGTCGGTCTGCATGCCCTTGAATTACCGTGGAAGTAACTTCTCTGAGACAGATGTCTGGATGGATCTTTCCAGAGCTCATCTTTGAATCCTTGTTATTATAAAATAAGAATTAATCAACATTTTCTTCCTATCCCTTCCCCACGTTTTTTTGAGATGAAGTCTCACTTTGTTGCCCAAGCTAGAGTGCAGTGGTGTGATCTCAGCTCACTGCAACCACCACCTCCCAGGTTCAAGCTATTCTCCTGCCTCAGCCTCCCGAGTAGCCGGGACTGCAGGTACTCGCCACCATGCCCGGCTAATTTTTGTATTTTTAGTAGAGACGGGATTTCACTATGTTGGCCAGGCTGGTCTTGAACTCCTGACCTCATGATCCACCCACTTTGGCCTGCCAAAGTGCTGGGATTACAGGCATGAAACACTGCGCCCGGCCCTCCCATTTCCCTTTCTGCTCTCCTTTTTTTTGTCCATTTTCTAATCCCTTCCTCCTTTTTCTTCCCCTCCTTTTTTAGTCCCTTTTCCTGTTTTTTTGTTTGTTTGTTTGTTTGTTTGTTTGTTTTGTTTTTGTTTTGATACAGAGTTCACTCTGTTGCCCAGGCTGGCGTGCAGTGGTGTGATCTCAGCTCACTGCAACCTCCACCTACCAGGGTCAGTCAATTCTCCTGCCTCAGCCTCCCAAGTAGCTGGGGCTACAGGCATGCGCCACCACGCCCAGCTAATTTTTGTATTTTTAGTAGAGACGGGGTTTCATCATGCTGGCCAGGCTGGCCTTGAACTCCTGACCTTGTGATCTGCCCGCCTTGGCCTCCCAAAGTGCTGGGATTACAGGTGTGAGCCACTGCGCCCAGACTTTCCCTCCTTATCTTTTTGTCCTCTTTCCTCTTCCACCCAAACATCCTTCTTTTTGTCTTGCTGCCATTGTGTGCCAGCTCTATGATGTGTATTAGGGACACAGGTGATCCCAGCTCACAGGGAGGTTCTGGTCTAGGGAGAGACAGGGCGAAGTCTTACTATCGTCGAGTGTGTGAAGAACACCCTGTGTGCTTTCCGCTTGTCACTGTGACAGTGCCTAGAAAAGTGGTACTCTGTGGAGTTGTGCCAGAGGCACCAGAAGCCGCCATGTACAGCCCCTGCCCTCACCGCTCCCTTCCAGGCCAAGTGAGACAGCCTGTCTTGCCTCCGTTTCTTTTGAGTTCATTCGGTTCTTTCTCCTTACTGTCCTGAACCGGACTAGGTCCTGCTCCACTTACCCTTATCATTTTTAGACTCTGTTAACACTCCTGCCTCCTCCTTGGTGATCATGACATCCTGCCCATGGCCTACAGATACCCCCAGCAGTTGTATCATGAGGAATGCGGCCATGAGCTTTCATTCTTGCCCCACACAACTCCTTCCTGCCCCTCCTTCCTGGTCATCTTCTCACCACTGCCTCTTCCTGGCCTGGGTAGAAATGGCATCCTTTACACTCGGGTGGAATTGCTTGACCAGACTAATTAGTCAGCCTGGAATAGGATCAGCTGAAGTGAGGTGACAAAGATCCAGCCCACGAGGGGCCCAGGCAGCTGCTGAGCCTGGCTTTGTCCTGGATGAAAACAGAAGGTGAACAGGGGTTCTGAGGGAACTGGGTCACTTGTGTAGGTGAGACATAGAGATATATTTGTGTGTGTTGTGTGGTGCATATAAGAGCTCTGAAAATAGTCATCATTAATGTATCACCTGCTGTGATCTTTCCACACTGCCTACACATGACCTCACATGTGTAGGGTTTTTTGTTTTGTTTTGTTGTTTTGAGGGTGAATGTATTTTTAAAGCCTTTTCACTTTAGGAGGCTTCCTTAAACAGAGAATTAGGGAGACTACTGTGAGCCATCTTTCCTGGTGGGAAGATGAGGATAAACAACAGCTGACCACAGCTGGACCCAGGTGCTTTGTTTCCTTCCATAATCTCTGTCAGTCCCTCCCTAAAGCCACCACAAGGAAATGTGCAGTTTAAAATGATGAGCCCCCCAGCTGGGCACCATAGTAAGACCCCCGTCTCTACAAAAAAAAGTCTTGCTCTGTCGCCCAGCCTGGAGTGCAGTGGCGTAATCTCGGCTCACTGCAACCTCTGCCTCCCAGGTTCAAGCGATTCTCCTTCGTCAGCTTCCCGAGTAGCTGGGATTACAGGCACCTGCCACCATGCCTAGCTAATTTTTGTATTTTATGTTATGTTATGTTATTATTTTATTTTTGAGACGGAGTCTCGATCTGTCACCAAGGCTGGAGTGCAGTGGTGCGATCTCGGCTCACTGCAAGCTCCGCCTCCCGGATTGATGCTATTCTCCTGCTTCAGCCTCCCGAGTAGCTGGGACTACAGGCGCCCGCCACAATGCCCAGCTAATTTTTTATATTTTTTAGTAGAGACGGGGTTTCACCATGTTAGCCAGAATGGTCTCCATCTCCTGACCTCATGATCCGCCCGCCTCGGCCTCCCAAAGTGCTGGGATTACAGGCATGAGCCACCGCACCTGGGCTAATTTTTGTACTTTTAGTAGAGACGGGGTTTTGCTATATTGGGCAGGCTGGTCTCGAACTCCTGACCTCAGGTGATCCACCCACCTTGGCCTCCCAAAGTGCTGGGATTATAGCAAGAGCTACTGCGCCCAGTCCCAAAAAAAATATCTTTTAAAATAAGGCCAGGTACAGTGGCCCTGGGAGGCCCAGGCAGGAGGATTGCTTCGAAACCAGCCTGGGTTTCAAAGCAATTTTAAATTAGACATGTGCCTGGCAGCATTAGGTGGCATGTGCCTGTGGTTCCAGCTTCTCAGGAGGCTGAGAGGGGAGGATTCCTTGAGCCTGGGTAGTTGAGACTGCAATGAGCCGTGATGGCACCACCACACTTCAGCCTGGGTGACAGAGAGAGACACTGAAAAAAAAGGGAGGAGGACCTGCTGTGCAGACAGAACAGCATTACACCCCCCACCACTCCCCACACACACACACACACCCACACCCACACACACACACACAGAAATAACGCAGTTACCACAGGGATGAGAGGCTCCAAACAGGATCCTAGTTAGTGCTCCAAAAATGCCCCCGACAGACAGACAGACATACCCCTTGATGAGAGCCAGGAGGACACCAGCGGAGGGGAGGGAGGGGAGTGATGAGCCAGTGCCAATGTAGTGGCTTCTTCTGTGGCTGGTCCCAGTTAAGATTTTGTGTCCGTTTTGGTTCCATTTCACCCTTGCAAGGGGCTGTGCATGTGTAGTGGGCACTGAGACCTGCTGACAGCATGTTTTGGTACCTGGAGTGTGCCTGCAGGCTCTCATAGAGCGGCAGGCAGCCTGTGTAAGCACAAGCAGAGCAAGGTGTGTGATGCCGTGATTGCTCCTAGGACCACAGAGAGCCAGCGTGGCTTCTGCAGTCCCCGAGGAGGGGACACTTGGGCCAGCCCATGAAGGAGGCGCCGCACATGGTTCCCTGAGGCTGGAGCATAGAGTGGAGGCAGGGTGGTGTGGGGGAATCGTTTGGAAGCAGATTGTAGACTCCTCCACATAGCCACCTAAGGAGGGAGAGCTGTAGCCTAGAGGTGGTGGACTTTATTAAAGTGAGTGAGGCTCAGTTAAGCTTTTTAAAACTTTTTACTGGGCTGGGCACAGCGGCTCATGCCTGTAATCCCAGCACTGTGGGAAGCCAAGGCAGGCAGATCACCTGAGGTCGGGAGTTCAAGACCAGCCTGACCAACATGGAGAAACCCCGTCTCTATTAAAAGTACAAAATTAGCCAGGCCTAGTGGTGCATGCCTATAATCCCAGCTACTCTGGAGGCTGAAGCAAGAGAATCGCTTGATCCTGGGAGGCGGAGGTTATGGTGAGCCGAGATTGTGCCATTGCACTCCAGCCTGGGCAACAAGAGCGAAACTCCGTCTCAAAAAACAAAAACCAAAAAAAAAAAAAACAACTTTTTATTGTGGGAATTTTCAAACACAGACAAGTAGAAAAAAACAGTAAAATGAACCTGATGTACCTTTTACCCTGCCTCATTTACTATCTACATGAGCAGTCTTGGTTTATCTGTATATGCCTATCCCAAGTATTTTGAAGCCAGTCCTAGATATATTATTTATTTGTTAATACTTCAGCATATAGCTGGGCGCGGTGGCTCACACCTGTAATCCCAGCAATTTGGGAGGCTGAGGCAGGCGGATCATGAGGTCAGGAGATCGAGACCATCCTGGCTAACACGGTGAAACCCCATCTCTACTAAAAATACAAAAAATCAGCTGGGCGTGGTGGCACGTGCCTGTAGTACCAGCTACTCAGGAGGCTGACGCAGGAGAATCACTTGAACCCGGGAGGCAGAGGTTGCAGTGAGGCAAGATCACGCCACTGCACTCCAGCCTGGGTGACAGAGCGAGACTCCGTCTCAACAAAAAA
This sequence comes from Homo sapiens, assembly GCF_000001405.40. Taxonomy (NCBI): domain Eukaryota; kingdom Metazoa; phylum Chordata; class Mammalia; order Primates; family Hominidae; genus Homo; species Homo sapiens. The sequence continues at coordinate 47,862,486 of NC_000003.12, read as the reverse complement.
AAAAGGAAAAAATTGATCCATATATTTAAAATAGTAACACTAATAAGATAATACAAGCTATAACTCTTTTAATCTTAAGCTGTTTTTACTCTACAAGTCCCCACTCCATTCTTTTTTTTTTTTTTTTTTTTTTTTTTTTTGAGACACAGTCTCGCTCTGTCCCTCAGGCATGAAACTATAACACATTTAAAATCATATTTTTGTATAAATAGCTTTAACATTTCAAGTTATTTCTCTAGGATATATTCCTAACATAGGACTCTTATGTCAGAAACTACATCTGTTTCATGGTGTGGGCTACCTAGGTTTTTTTTTTTTTTTTTTTGGAGACAGAGTCTCGCTCTGTCACCCAGACTGGAGTGCAGTGGCGCGATCTCGGCTCACTGAAACCTCCGCCTCCCGAATTCAAGTGATTCTCCTGTCTCAGCCTCCTGAGTAGCTGGGACTACAGGCACCCGCCGCCACGCCCGGCTAATTTTTTGTATTTTTAGCAGAGATGGGGTTTCACCGTGTTAGCCAGGATGGTCTCGATCTCCTGACCTTGTGATCCACCCACCTCGGCCTCCCAAAGTGCTAGGATTACAGGTGTGAGCCAGCAGCTTTTTTTGTTTTGTTTTGTTTTGTTTTTGAGACAAAGTCTCACTCTGTGGCCCAGGCTGGAGTGCAGTGGCGTGATTTTGGCTCACTGCAACCTCCGCCTTCTGGGCTCAATCAATTCTCCTGCCTCAGCCTCCTGAGTAGCCAGGATTACAGGCGTGCACCACCATGCCCTGCTAACTTTTGGGTTCTTGTTCTTGTTGTTGTTGTTGTTGTTGTTGTTTTAAAGACAGAGTCTTGGCTGGGCGTGGTGGCTCACACCTGTAATCCCAGCACTTTGGGAGGCTGAGGCAGGTGGGTCACAAGGTCAGGAGTTCTAGACCATCCTGGCCAACACAGTGAAACCCCGGCTCTACTAAAAATACAAAAATCAGCTGGGCGTGGTGGTGCGTGCCTATAATCCCAGCTACTTGGAAAGCTGAGGCAGGAGAATCGCTTGAACCAGGCAGTCGGAGGTTGCAGTGAGTTGAAATCATGCCATTGGACTCCAGCCTGGCGACAAAGTGAGATTTGGTCTCAAAAAAAAAAAAAAAAAAGACGGAGTCTCGTTTTGTCACCCAGGGTGGAGTGCAATGGCACGATCTCGGCTCATTGCAGCCTCTGCCTCCTGGGTTCAAGAATTCTGTCTCAGCCTCCCGAGTAACTGGGACTACAGTGCCCACCACCACACCCAGCTAATTTTTGTATTTTTTGTAGAGATGGGGTTTTACCATATTGGTCAGGCTGGTCTTGAACTCCTGACCTCAGGTGATCCACCCACCTCAGCCTCCCAAAGTGCTGGGATTACAGGCATGAGCCACTGCGCCCAGCCTAACTTTTGTATTTTTTAGTAGAGACAGGGTCTCACTGTGTTGGCCAGGCTGTTCTCGAACTCCTGACCTCAAATGATCCACCCGCGTCAGCCCTCCCAAAGTGCTGGGATTACAGGTGTGAGCCACTGTGCCTGGCTCATTCTTTTTTTTACTGGTAATTTCCTTGATGGGTAAGCTCAGTGGTTTGTCCTAGAATCTGGATTCTTCTAATTACATCCTCATGGTTTTAATTAACATATTCTGTTGTCCCTCAATTTTCTTTAAATTTATTTGGTTTTGGTTTTTTCCCCACATGCTAGCATGACATGTAAGTAGGTAATGAGGTTTATTCTGTGAGAAATTACATTCATGTCTCATTCTTCGGTTGTCTCTTTTTTTGTGATGTTGGCAATTCCTGGACCTGTGGGTTCAGTAGGCATATGCCGTGGTAAGACTAATTCTAGCATTACTTCTTCATTTACCAGCTGGAATACATCCATAATGTGAAACTGACTGCCCCTCAACTATTCTTTAATTGCATACTAGACAAAAGGTCAAGAGATAGAGGCTTCAAATATGGAACACTGTCTAGAAATCTGTGGCCCTGGCCGATGCAGTGGCTCACACTTGTAATCCAAGCACTTTGGGAGGCCAAGGCAAGTGGGTTGCTTCAGCCCAGAAATTCGAGACCAGCCTGGGCCACTTGGCGAAACCCCTTCTCTACAAAAAAATGCAAAAATTAGCTGGGCATGGTGGTGTGCGCCTGTAGTCTCAGCCACTTGAGGGGCTTGAGCCTGGGAGGTTGAGGCTACAGTGAGCTAAGGTCATGCCTCTGCACTTCATCCTGGGTGGCAGAGTGAGACCCTGTCTCAAAAGAAAACAAGAAAGAAATCTGTGGCTCTACATCTTGGTGAGGGCCCTGGGCTTGGAGAGTGACTGTTAACTTCTTGCAGGTGCTGTTGTGGTTACAGCTAAGATGAGCTTGTCACCATTGCTTGAAGACCCATGTTGGGTTGGTTTAAGCAGCTACCAGATCTTTGGCTGGTAAAAGTACCCTTCCCTATGCCCTCTCTTATGGGGGATAAGGATAGGGAGATGTTTGGATGAGGTCTTCATGTCTCCCTCTTCTTGAATTGGCCATTTCTTCCCCTAACAAATAACAAGATACCTTGTTTTAAACCCAGATAAAGCACTTACAGTGGTGTCATCAGCACATACTTAGGAGGAGGTATCTGTGCTGTATCCTAAACTTCCATTTTGGAGATGCCTATAAATATCTGTATAATGAACTATAGATTGAGGAGAAAAGAAAAAAATTTCTATCTAGGGAAAATTGCAGACTTTTTGGAAAGATGAGACAAAGTAGAGGCTGTGTGTTTTCACAGTAGTAACTACTCTGTATGTAATTATCAAACACGTGAAGCCATTATGGTATAGTTCCTGGTGGTGTCCCTTCAAGAGATGATATGAGAAAGAGACGGATTGAAGCGAGAGCTATGTGAGGCCGTATGGAAGGCACCTTTTGAGCTGGGCATTGAAGGATGGGGAAGAAAACATAATGGGTTTGCTGGGTTAGGCATGAGCCAAGTTTTAGAGGAAAGATTGAGAATGGCTCTGGCAAGCTGGGGATTGTGGGTAGTTATTCTGTGCCAGGCCTTGGGCTGTGGGTGCAAATACAAAAATACTGGTGGCATTATATCTGTCCTCTGGAAACATGGTGAAGACTATATTTCCTGACACCAAAGAAGGGAAAACAGGGCTCAAGAAGGTAGCTCACCATTTAACAGCTTGTGGTGAAACCCACCAGAATGGTGCAACACTGCATGGAGTTGATGTGTTGGAAAGTCAGGCTCTCCCACAGTACCTACCAGAGGACAGCGGGGCCGCTCACAGGAATGCTGGAATCCCCATCCAGCAACCCAGAGGGCATGCATGGCTATAGACTTAAAGATGCACCACCTTTTTTTTTTGAGGCGGAGTCTCTTTCTGTTGCCCAGGCTGGAGTGCAGTGGCACGATCTCGGCTCACTGCAAGCTCTGCCTCCCGAGTTCATGCCATTCTCCTGCCTCAGCCTCCCGAGTACTGGGACTACAGGCACCTGCCACCACGCCCGGCTAATTTTTTTTGTATTTTTAGTAGAGACGGGGTTTCACCATGTTAGCCAGGATGGTCTCGATCTCCTGACCTCGTGATCCGCCCGCCTTAGCCTCCCAAAGTGCTGGGATTACAGGCGTGAGCCACCGTGCCCAGCCAAGGTGCACCACCTTTAAATGCAAATTTTTGCATTTTTAGTAGAGATAGAGTTTCACTGTGCTGGCCAGGCTGGTCTCAAACTCCTAGCCACAGGTGATCTGCCTGCCTCAGCCTCCCAAAGTGCTGGGATTACAGGCATGACCCACTGCACCTGGCTGGGAAAATTGTTATAACATGGATTAAGCAGGAATACTATGATTACACACACACACACACACACACACAACGCGCACACACACACACACACACACACACACACCACCCCCTCACCTCTCCCAAGGGGAAAATGCATTGAAAAGGACTAGAAGTAAATATGTTATTCCAGGTTCTCTGGGCAAGGAGTTGATAGGTAAGGATTTGAGATGGAATAAAGGGGATATTTCATGGGAGCCTTGGTGCTGGTGTTTGGACCTGGTGAAATGACAGAAGAGCTGTCTGGAGCATGCATGGACAGGGTCTGCACAGAAAGACCTGTGGGGTGTGGAAATGGTGGTTTGGTCTGGCTGGAGGTGGGGTTAGAAGTGAAGGCTGGTGGCCGGGCGTGGTGGCTCACACCTGTAATTCCAGCACTTTGGGATCCTGAGGCAGGCGGATCACCTGAGGTCAGGAGTTCGAGACCAGCCTGACCAATATGGAGAAACCCTGTCTCTACTAAAAATACAAAATTAGCTGGGCGTGGTGGCGCATGCCTGTAATCCTAGCTACTCCAGAGGCTGAGGCAGAAGAATCACTTGAACCCGGGAGATGGAGGCTGGGGTGAGCCAAGATCGTGCCAGCCTGGGCAACAAGAGTGAAACTCTGTCTTAAAAAAAAAAAAAAAAAAAGTGAAGGCCAGGCGTGGTGGCTCACGCCTGTAATCCCAACACTCTGGGCTCTGGAAATCTGAGGTGGGTGGATCTCCTGAGGTCAGGAGTTCGAGACCAGCCTGGCCAACATGGTGAAACCTTGTCTCTACTAAAAATACAAAAAATTAGCCAGATGTGGTGGTACACGCCTGTAATCCCAGCTACTCGGGAGGCTGAGGCAGGAGAATTGCTTGACCCCAGGAGGCGGAGGTTATAGCGAGCTGAGATCGTACCACTGTACTCCAGCCTGGGCAACAGAGCGAGACTCCATCTTTAAAAAAAAAAAAGGAAGTGAAGAGCAGGGCCAGGGTGGGTCGAGGGCTCTTTTAAGTACTTAGGGAGATGACCTTGTCTTTGACCAGACTGAGATAGCAGCTTACAGAGGGAGCGAGAAACCCTGAACATGGAGAAGATTTAAAAGGTAGCATGGGGTTGGCTCTGACAGTATACCTTCTCTCTGAATGAGTCTTTTGTGTCCTTCTCTTCAGGTTCAGATTCAGAACAAGAAAGTGGACATCTCTAAGGTCTCCTCCAAGTGTGGGTCTAAGGCTAACATCAAGCACAAGCCTGGTGAGTGGTGCCTCCCTTGCCCACTGGGTCTCCAGGGTATGTCGTCCTGCCATGGGTCAGCTGGGCAGCCAGCTGGCTGGCAAGGGTTTCATCTCTGTGCCTTTAGCATCCCATGAAGACTACCCAGGACACCACAGTCCTCATTCTGTCAGGGAGCAGGAGTTCGGGTGCTAACCTCTAAGTGGAGGAGGAGCAGTTTCTTACAGCAGCCATCTGCACAGGCATTCTCTTGAGTACCTACTGTGTGTGTGGAACTATTGAGCTAGGCCTGGGGAAGTGGTGCACTCTGAGCTGAGAACCTGGATTGGCTCTAAACGAGGATTACAGAAGCTACTGCTGAAGGAGCTGTATAGAGGGCAGTGTTCAGGTCCCACCTATCAGATGCAGGAGCAAAGGGTGCTCCCAACCAGTGAAGCATCAGCCGCTAGCCCTGGCAGGAGAATGGGAGGCGTTCAGCAACTTGCACTAATGCAGTTTCCTTCCAGCAACATGGTTGGCCCAGCGCCCCTGTGGAAGTCGCTGTGCGGAGGCTGGGCTCTTGCCTTGGGTAGTCCCCTAGCAGCCTCGTGTCCTAGTTCCTGGGTCTACAGCAGATTTGTGAGTAGGACTGCTGTAGCAGCAGGCACACTGGCTGGCAGACCTGGTATCCCAGAAGGCTAGCCACCACAGGCCAGATAAGGTGAAGGCAAAACTCTCTTCCCTCAGGGCGGGCGCGGTGTCTCATGCCTGTAATCCCAGCACTTTGGGAGGCCAAAGCGGGCGGATCACTTGAGGTCAGGAGTTTGAGAACAGCCTGGCCAACATGGTGAAACCCTGTCTCTACTAAAAATACAAAAACTAGCTAGGTGTGGTGGTGCATGCCTTTGGAGAATTGCTTGAACCCAGGAGGCAGAGACTACAGTGAGGCGAGAGTATGGCACTGCACTCCAGCCTGAGCAACAGAGCGAAATTCTGTCTCCAAAAAGAAAAAAAAAAAACTCCCTTTCCCTCTCAGCGAAGAGCATGATCCAGTTTAGAATGTGTTCTATTTAGAAAGATCAAAACAGTTCTGTCCTTAACTAACCATTTTTTTCCCCTTTTATCTGGGAAATCTCCTATCAGATACTTCCTTCTCTAATGACACTGAGTCACTTAGGGTCTAGTTTTTGCCAGGGCTGGGTTTCCCAATATGGGACACCGGGAGACCTCGGCCAGAAGCTGTGCGTGGAGGTCTGCCATGTGAGCTGAGAGGAGATGGAAGAACAGGAGAAGGGGCCCAAGGGAAACCACGCTGCTGGGCGCGGGAGGGGCTGGGTACTCATTGAGGGCAGCTCGTCCCGCACCCTTCCCCTTGGTCTCATGGGCACACTCTGGCCAGTGAGCTCTGAACCCTGGGCGTGAGTTCAGACCACTTTCCCTCCCCGTCCTAGCCTGAGGTCACTAGATCCCAGGCCTGCCTTGGTCCATGTCTTTCCTTCCTCAGCGCACAGCCTCGGGGCCACTCTGTCCTTTTTATTATTCCTTCTTTTTGCTAGAGTGTGGTACGGTTTAGGGTCTCAGACAATTTTCACAACCTGTCACTGTCAATCAGCAGATTGGTGGTAACTCTGGGTGAGTCCCTTCTCTTTTGCAGCATCAGTTTTACCGGCTGGGAAGCAGGGACCGTGGCCGTGATGACAGGGCATTCATGAGAATTCAGTGAGGCTGTGCCTGAGAAGCACTGCATGGCCCAGTTAGCGGGAGGGCATTCCCACACAGAGTAGAGAAGCAGAGGCTTCGCCCTGGAGGCTGTGCTCGGAGCCCCAGGCCTGCCCAAGCCTGGCCTGCAGCTCAGTGGCTGTGGCATGGGGTGGTGGAAGGGATGGCTTTCCTTTTCTTGGAGGTATTCCCACTGGCTGGACGGAGAGATTGTCTCAGCCTCACTGTGATATGAGAAGTCCTCTTTAGACAAACGTGTTCACTGTTCTTCATTTGCCACCCAGAACAGGTCACGTCTGTCTCATTTCTAGATTGGGCATATCGCTAGTCCTGGTTTTGCCTGCAGGGATATTCCTCTGCCACCCTAGGTGACCAGTTCCTTTGTGGTTCCAGGTGGAGGAGATGTCAAGATTGAAAGTCAGAAGTTGAACTTCAAGGAGAAGGCCCAGGCCAAGGTGGGATCCCTCGATAATGTGGGCCACCTACCTGCAGGAGGTGCTGTGAAGGTAGCGAGTGGGTCACTGGGGAGACACAGCTGGGGAGGGGTGGGAACTATGCAGTTAGGGTCAGGGTCCTCACAGGTAGGCACCTGTCACCGCCCCTCAGTCTCTTCAGGAGTCATGTCTTCACCCACACCATTGCCGTTTTCCCACCGTGTATCATCAGTCCTGACTGAGGCAGAAGTGAAGAGGCCCCAGCCCAGCCACCCCTCACCTGTCAGCTGGAGGCAGAACCTTGCTCCTGAGAGCCATGGCCTTCCTAATTGAGCCCATCCAGCCATTTGAGAAGGCCACGGACTGGGACACAGACCACCCCCAGGCGAGCGGGGGTTCTGCACCACACAGTTCTCCCCAGCTGTCTCGCGCCAAGGGGAATGTGGGTTCCCGCCCCATGTCAGGCTCCGCTCCTGGGTTAGGAGCAGGACAGCACATTCTTAGCTGCCAGCGACAGCAGGCTGCCTGGGGCCTCCCTCTGCAGGGCCTGCCTGGGGCCTCCCTCTGCAGGGCCTGCCTGGGGCCTCCCTCTGCAGGGCTCTGGGACAGAGCTCAAGTGGCAGAGGTTCCCATCCTCACGACTGGCTGGGCCTCTTCTCCCTTCCCTCTCTCCTCTTTCCTCCCTTCCTCCTTCCACAGTACTGTGAGACCTTTTGTGTGCCAAGATGCTGTCTGTCCTATGTTCCATGTCATCCGTGGGTGGGGGGCCCATGAGGGGCATCTTGCAGACCCCGAGCACAAGGATGGCTGCTGCTGCTCGGGTTCAGGTGCGCAGGGGAGAGGGGCCAGGAGCCGCTGCCCTGGGCCTTCCCTTCCATCTCTGCTCCCCAGTGCCAGCCACTGCCCAGCCCGTCCCCTGTCCCATCCTCTCCTGATGCTCTGACTGAAGCCTTGATCAGCTTCCAGGAACATCTGGGGGGGTCCTTGCTGCCACAGGCTCTCAGTTCGTGCCCCCCATACCTCGTGAGGATGCCGTTCTCACGCCCGTCTCAGTGGGGCGTTAACTTGGCTTTAGTCTCTTTTCCAAGGACACAGCGAGCGAGCGTGGACCAGGATTCACATCTGGGCTTTTCTGACCCTAAGCCTTGTGTTCTTTTCCTTGTTCACATTATATCCCTTTATTAGTTCTGGAATTATTGTTTTTAATCGAGGCCTATTTCTCACTATGCCGATTAGAAACCACTTCTCCCTTGTCACTTTTTGGGTATTTGGCGACACACGCTTTCCAGCTCCCCAGTGGCCTCTCGCAGCTGTTCTCTCTTCTCTGCCTTCCTCACACTGAGTGTTCCATGTCCCCCAAATGTCCTCCTCCTATGACGCCCTCCAGGCCTCCACAGTGTCCCTGGGTTATACCTCCTTGGACACCTTTCTGCCTCCCATGGACCCCTGGTCCCAGAATGGTGCCCCGCACAGACAAGGCCTCAGCACCTGTGTTCCTGACCAGACAGATGTGCAGGCAGGGCTGCCCGGGAGCTACTGAGGACCCCACTCTGTGTGCAGGGGGTGGCCTGGGTTCAGGGAGGGTTTGGGAGGGTGGGCTGTACCCTTCAGGGGGCTACCCTTCAGGCTTATTGCTTACTGTTGTCATGGCTACGTCTTTGGTACCAGCCTGAGGCCTGGCACCTCTGCCCTCAGAGAGGCTTCATCAGAGCCTCACATGCCACAGAGGGGCTCTGAGAGTGTGTCACTGGTCCAGCTGCTCCTGACCCTCGGGAGTCGGTCTCCCAGGTGAGGTGGGGTGGGTGGGGCCGGGGCACCTGCCTGGGATTCTCCAAGCGACTGTGCCTTGAGCCAGTGGGTGCCAGGGCAGCAAGGGTGGGGGCTGTGTGTGAAACCCACCACCATCACCCCATCCCACTCCCCCCCTCGACTGACCCTGCACTGTCTCCCCCACTGTTTCATTGTAGACTGAGGGCGGTGGCAGCGAGGCTCCTCTGTGTCCGGGTCCCCCTGCTGGGGAGGAGCCGGCCATCTCTGAGGCAGCGCCTGAAGCTGGCGCCCCCACTTCAGCCAGTGGCCTCAATGGCCACCCCACCCTGTCAGGGGGTGGTGACCAAAGGGAGGCCCAGACCTTGGACAGCCAGATCCAGGAGACAAGTAAGTGGCTGGGCTCGGCCTAAGGGCCAGCCAGGGGCCCTGCCACTGGCCGCAAATTGAAACTCCTTTGTTTTTGACTAGAGTGTGGCCTAAATTTTAATGAAGTAACCTTTTATTTTCCAGGCATCTAATGATGACATTCTGGTCTCGTCTTCCGTCTCCCCCGTGTTCCCCTCTTGTCTCCCCTGTTCCCCTCTCCCTTCCCTCCTCCCATGTCACTGCAGATTGAGACCTACAGGCTGACGTTCCGGGCAAATGCCAGGGCCCGCACCGACCACGGGGCCGACATTGTCTCCCGCCCCCCACACTTCCCTGGCGGCCCCAACTCGGGCTCCCGGGTCCTTGGCCCCCTTTCCCGGGCTGTCCACTAGACCAGTGAGCGCTTGGGCGCCGTGCTGGGCAGCCCGCTAGGCTCGCCTTCCCTCCTGCTTTGCGTGCCCGGGGCAGCAGCAGCCCTGCCCCACACCTCCTCTCACTCCCCAGCCTGGGCCCATCTCCCTGCTTTGGTCTTGCCCCATCACTGCGCCACTGCTCCGTGGAGGAGGTTGGGAGGGGGTTGGGGTGGTTGAGGCTAAGTTGGGATCTAGGAGAGGAGAACCAGATTCTATCCTCATCTTTTTTTGGTTCTTTGGTCCAAACCCAAAAGAAACTGACATGCCCTCCCTTCTCCCTGGATCTACCTGGAGGGAAGAGTGGAGGTGGATTCCGAGTGGTGACAGGACGCTGACCGTGGAGCTTAAGCCACTGCCTCTCCCTCTGGTCCCACAAATGGGCGCCCCCCCCTCCCCATGCAGGTGGTGTCGGGCCCTTCTTGCTGCCCTGCCCCAAGTTGGGGGTCAGTGCTGCCTGTCCCCATGCTTAACATACCCGCCTAGCTGCTGTCACATTTTTCTTGTTTTGTCCTTTTATTTTTTTCTAATAACCTAAAAACTGGCAAAATAGTTCTGCAGGTTGAAGCCATGTCTACATGAAAGTCCTCAGTAAGTGTTAGAGGGAACAGGGCGGAGATATCCTTATGCCACCCCCGCTGGAGGATGTGGGCAGCTTAGGGCCCTGGAGGCGGTGCGGCAGGGAAGAGGGGTGCAGAGGCTGTGGCTGGTGAGCCGGTCAGGCACACAAGGGGCCCTTGGAGCGTGGACTGGTTGGTTTTGCCATTTTGTTGTGTGTATGCTGCTTTTCTTTTCTAACCAAGAGGCTGGTTTTGGCATCTCTGTCCCATTCCCTGGGATCTGGTGGTCAGCCCTAGGATAAAAAGCCAGGGCTGGAGAACAAGAAAGGGCCAGGAGATGGAATTCCTTCAGGCCGGCACCCACACCCTAGGACATGTAAGCCCTCATGTCCAAGGGAGCCTCATGCAGATAGTAGGAAATCAGGTCTGGAAATTTAAAAATAAAAGGCATGAGACTAAGGCTATCTGCTTCCCTTATGCCCTGACTGGAGAGGGGAGGGAGGAGAGGCAAGGCCCACAGAGGGCATCCCAGCTAGGCCTTGGGATGGCTGCAGTGAGGAGAAATCCCGGGAACTGTATTGACACAAAGATTCTTATTGCACTTGTATTTTTTGTATTAAAGTTTGCATGGTTTCTAATAAAGGATTCAAACATAAGTTTGTAGTGAAATGGCCTGGGAGATTCCAAGGGCTTCTCTGGAGGGGGATTGGCTGCAGTGTAGATTTGCCTCTGAGGAGGCTGCCCCAGACTTGGCCTCCTCATGCCCCCTCCTGACCTCTGCCCTTCTCTGGTCCTGGCATCCCTGGAGAAGGTAGGGGTCTTGACCTAAGTTTAGATTTGATCTCCATGTGCAGGGAGGCTGTCCTGGGCCTGACAGGTCCTCCCCCTTTCTGAGGTAGCAGTGCCTTGTGGAGGTTTGACACCATGTCCCTAGCTCCCCAAGCACACACCAGGAAACTGCAGGGGCTCACGGAGGAAGTGCTGCCTGGGCCAGGGGGACCAGCTTTCCTCCGTAGAGACCATGTGCAGAACACTTCTGCTGTGCCAAGAACATGAGGGAGCCAGTGTTTTGTCAGCAGGAAGAAAGGGCCTGCTGGGATGAAAGTGGGAAGGAAACAGGGTTGCGTAGTCAGGAGACACCTCAGGGGCAACAGCACAGGCCCAGAGTACCTGCTGCCTCCACTGCGTCTGTCCTGGGGTCATGAGGATGCTGAGGTTGACGACAGGTTCCAGGTCCTTTCACTCCTTTGGCCAAAGGTTGGGGGTAGGTGGCCCAAGTGGCGTGCTCTCTAGGTAGACAACAGGAGTGGTCAGAGTTCCCTCAAAGGATCCTCCACTCCAGAGCACCTGAGAAGGCCGGGACCAGAGGCCCTGTGTGATGTGTACTCCGCAGCTGTTTGGGGTGGGACATTTCTGTACTTCTCGATTTGCTTATGGCTCAGCCATTACCTGTGTCAGTCCATGATTCTGTTGTAACAGTTTTAAGAGTAAATAAATAAAGCTGCCTGATGTCCCATCACGCAGGCTTCGTGCTTCTGTCTCGTTTTGCATCTACCACCTCCCTGGATCTTCCTGCCCTCAGCTCAGCCCCTCAGCTGTGAACTTGTGGATGTGGACACGGGAAGGACCACTGTGCCACATAGCCCTGCGCCTTGGCTACCTGTGGAACTCTCCCCTAGTCTGCCTGATAAAGGGCTACTTGACACTTACTTGCTTACTTACTGTCCAAAACTACAAGGACAGTGACAGTTCTGACAGGCTTCCTGTGGTGGGTACCGAGAGCAGCAGCTGTGCCAGGGGACTGGGGTGGTTAACAGCACCGCTGCTTCATGCTCTTTCTTGGTGAAGGGAGGAGGTTCCAACCCCCTTCTCTCTTAAAAGACTTGGGGCCACAGCCAGCCCGTTCCCCAGCAATAAGCATCTCACTCTCTTCTCTACCTACCTTCCTCCTTCCTCTTTGGGGAACCGTGGCCCAGTGTATGGAGGCCCTGAGAGAGGAGCCCCTAGTGGACAGCAGTGGTCACAAGGGATAAATAGAACTTTATTTTAAATAAACATTTGCACTCTGTACACAGCCCCAGCAGAAGCAGGGCTCAGTCGTCAGCTGTCTTGCGCACATCAAAGCTGCCACAGGGTCCTCGCAGCAGCTCTGCCAGTAGCGCAAGCAGCTGCCCGTGCTCCTCCTGTACGCTGGGGGGAAGTGCAGCCAGCTCGCTGCGCAGGCTCCGCTCCACCATGCGGCCCAGGGCCCGCCGCAGCTCCTTCAGCAGCCGCACGGTACGCGAGTCACCCTCCAGCCGCAGCAGGTCACTGTCGCTCAGTGAGATGGTGGCCCGGCGCCCGTCATCTGAGGGAATGGAAAAGATGGTGGGGAACTGTGGTGAGGCCAGGCCCCGGAGGAGCAGCTGCAGAGCGGGGTGGGCGGGAGGCCTGCAGGCACCCACCACGGATGTGCACGTCCCCGTCGGTCAGCAGCAGCACAGCTAGCGGGTGCACCTGAGAGGAGTCCCGGACGAAGACGCTGCCATTGGACTTGACTGCCATGAAATACGTCAGCCATCGGCTCCGTAACCGTGTGGCCTCCCTAGGGAACACAGGGCTGGTGAGGCCACCCTTTTGGACCATCCCAGCTGCCCCATCCAGGCCTGCATGCCCTCACCTGTTAATGGTCGACTTGTGCAGCAGGATGTTGCCTGATTTGGTCCTATATGTGACGCTGTTGGGCTTGAACTTCCCCTGCCGGGTGACCTTGCCCTGCCTCACCTGCAGGGATGGAGGAAAAGACGGGTGGGGCTGAGCAAGGAGCTGCAGACAGGGAAGGAGGCTGGGACCTGGTGAACTCCATTCCCTCCCAGAGGCAGCACCTGGATGAGGTTGGGGTAGAGGCCGGCCATCAGCACGCCCTTCACCAGCTCCTCCTCCTCACTGTACTCGTTGCACTGGGCGGAGGCCAGGGTGCAGTCCGAGGGCTTCCCCACCAGGAAGGCCTCATAAATGTTCTCTGAGAACTGCTTGATGAGTCCTAGGGAGACAGAATGTGTGGTGGACCTACAGCCCCTAGCCACAGGCTGGAGGTGACAGAAACTCAGTGGGGGTGGGAGGGGCTCAGGAGAGCAGGTGTGGGCCCGACTGACCGTGGATGAAGCGCAGGCTGGGTGCGTACAGCAGGTTTTCCTCCAGGTAATTCTCCCGGGAGCTGCGGTCCTGCCAACGCAGCACCTCCTCCCAGCCGGCGACAGCCCGCACAAAGGCCAGGTGGTCACTGCCGCTGTCATGGCTCAACAGTGCTTTCACCTGGGAGGGGAGAAGAGGGCAGCCGGATCACAGGCAGGGGCTAGACAACGCCCCCTCAGAACAGCAGTGGGTGGACGGCTCCAGGAAGGAGCCAGGACTGACCTTGTCCACCTCTGCCCGGTTCTGTAGGCTGCTGCTGAAGGGGTCCCGGGTGAGGCAGGAAACGACCACCAGTAGTGGGTGCAGGCAACGGAAGATGGCAGCCAACACAATGGCCTTGGCCAACCGGGGGTCGGTGGAGATGTGAGCCAGGCGCTGCCCCAGGGTAGTCAGGTACTCCCGCTGGTCCAGCACCCCTGCAACGGCTCAGCTGTCAGTACCACCCTCGAGAGCCACTCCCCAGCCCAGCCCAGCCCAGCCCCTACATACCGATCTCCTGGAGCAAGATCACAGCCTCGTCCACTGCCTTGATGTTTGGACTGTCCACAGCCTTGGACAGGAACTCCACCGCCTATGACAGAGCCAGAGCCCGCCATGAGCCTGCCTCCCACCTGCCTGGTCCCCAGGCCAGCCCCTGCCCCGCCCCGCCGCACCGTCTTCTCAGGCATGTGGATTTTCGCTTGCAGCACCAGGTTCTCAAGAGGTGTGCGCAGGATCTCTGGCACTTGGAAAGGGACCATTTTCTCCAGCCGGCTTCGAGGGAACAAGTGGTAGGCAAAGCCGGACTGGCAGCGGCCCGCCCGGCCCCGGCGCTGGATCACATTGGCTCTTGATACCCACACTGTCTCCAGGCAGGACACCTGGAGGAGGTGGCAAGTAAGCAGCACACAAATGCCACTTCCTCAGTGCTTCCCCACTCCCTGAGTAACCCTCACCAGCCCCCTACATCAGGAACACTGAGACCCCACAAGCGCGGCCTTCTGAAGACACACAAAGCAGGTCTAAGGTAGATCTGGGCTGGGGACCACCTCAAAACGGAGTCCCTCCCCCAGTGGTTGGCCGGGCCCAGGAGGTAGGTGCCACCTTGGTCTTCAGGTCATAGCGTTCTTCCTTGTGCAGCCCACTGTCCACCACATGCACGATGTCATTGATTGTGATGGAAGTCTCAGCAATGTTGGTGGCCAAGACAATCTTGCGCACCCCAACTGGAGGCTGCTGGAATATGGCCTTCTGATCCATCATGGGGATGTTGGAGTGCACTGGTGGGCAAGACACACACCAGTTATGGGCACTGCTTCCACCAGAATTCCCCCCTGGAATGTGGGCAGGGCAAGGATTTTGACCCCATTTTGATGAAACAGGCGCAGATAAACACTATGCCCAGTGAAAAGTGCCACAGCTTGGTCAGAAACCGGGGCCCCTGGAGTCCCAGTTGGGTCAGTCCCTAGGACAGAGGTCAGGCTGGTTTCCAAAGGTCCCTGGTCCCTCCGCCGGGGCTCTCACCTGGCAGGATGAGGTACTTGCTCTCGTGCATGCCCAGGGCCTCCTGGAGGCGCTGCTGCACTCCTTTGATCTCCTGCCACCCAGGCAGGAAGCACAGGATCCCACCTGTAAAGGAGCCCTGGGGCATGAGCCAGCTGTTGCTGCAAACGTGGCCAGGGCTAGCATGGGACAGATGGGGAGGCACCCACCTGGTTCCCCGCGAGCATCGATGTGCAGAACCAGATCAGTCACAAGGTCCAAATCGAGTGCGCATTCATCCTCAGACTGGGGTGGGGGAAGAGAGGCCACAGTCACAGCCCCGGGGTAAGGGGTCATGCCAAGGACACAGCCACCTGACTCAGTGAGACGGAGCCGCTTGACATCAACTCCAATCCTCACGTGTGCCACGCAGGCAGGGTTAGTCCCCAGTTTCTATCAAGGAAACCGAGGACTGGGGAGGGTAACTTGCCCCAGGCACCAAGCCCCAGGGCCAGGGAGGAGGGGCATCCACGGAGGAAAGGCCAGGAGCCTTGGGTGGGATGGGGGTGTCCCTCACCTCATGGTGCCGGTGCCGGTGCAGGTACTGGTGCTTGCCCAACTTGGCCAGGATGTCCTCTAGGTAGTGCTCCTTGACTGGGTACATGAAGCCAGGCACCTTGATGACGGGGCAGCCACCAAAGTATCGGGAGAAGCGCTCATTGTCCCCTGTGGCACTCATGAGCACCAGCCGCAGGGCCGGGTTGAGCCGCTGCAGGCCCTTGAGCAGGATCAGCAGAAAGTCTGTGTTCACGTCCCGCTCATGCACCTCATCCACGATGACGTGGCTCACGCCCTCCAGGCTGGGGTTGCTCTGCAGCTTACGCAGCAGGATACCCACAGTGCAGAAGAGCAGGGCCCCGCCTCGGGATGGGGGCTTACTTTCCAACCGCACCTGGAAGCCCACATTCCGGCGCAGGGAGGGGCCCAGTTCGTGGCTGACCCGCTGTGCCACAGACACAGCAGAGATGCGGCGAGGTTGGGTGATGATAACATTGCAGCGGGCACCTCGGCCCTCGGTCACATAGCGCTCCAGCAACAGCTGGGGGATGCGCGTGGTCTTCCCACAGCCCGTGTCCCCAGAGATGACCACCACCGGGTGCTGCTCAATGGCGTTGAGGATGGTGTCCCGATGTGGGTCCACAGGTAGCTGGGGGGCCTCCTGCCAGACCGGCCCTCGCCGCCGCCACAGTTCTAGCAGACTCTGGCTGAGACGTACCTCCTCTGCTTCCAACAGGGGCACATAGGGCTTGCCTGTGATAGGGTCACTCAGAGGCCCTGAGTCCTTGCCCAAGGGCAAGATGTCATCACTCTGCAGCCGGAGTTCTGGGGCGATCCATGAACTCTCCACAGGGTACTGGAGGGCAGGGAGGCAAGCAAAACAATGAAAAAGAAATTCCTCATTCACACACAACCAGCCACTCTGCAGGATTCGCCTGGGTCAGATGTTGTGGCCCAACCCGCTGGGCAGAGGATTAATTTAGTCCATGACTGCCCCGGGATCCTTGTGGGCAAGACTGGGCTGTTCAGGCCAGGGGGATCCCAGGCCCCAAACTCAGTGAAGAGAATGGGGAGGTACTACTGCCTGTCGCAGGTGGAGGCCTTCAGTCTGGAGAGATGGAGGCAGACTACAGGGAGCAGGGGTGGTGAGGGATGCAGGGCCTCTTACATGGTTCAGGAAGGTCTCTATCTTGCGGAGGATGGGCTCGGGCACCTGGATGGTGCATGGTCGGCGCTGGGTCTCACCCAGCTCACGCAAAGAGGCCAGGTTATACATGGCGTGTGTAAGCGGTTCGTTGTTCCTGTCCACCAGGCCCAGGCTCTGCAGGGGGACATGCAAGACTCAGTCTATGCTCTGGGGCTCCCCAAAAACCAGCCCAGACAAGCTCAGGAGCTCCAACGCATAAGTTGTGCCAAGTAATCTCTAAGAGATTTTGGATTTTGGCTGACATGGTGATGGAGGGAGAAATTATGAACTAGGAAAATGTTAACTTACCAAAATAAACGTTTTAAAAAATGAACTAAAGTTAATTCAGGCCGGGCGCGGTGGCTCACGCCTGTAATCCCAGCACTTTGGGAGGCCGAGGCAGGCAAATCACCTGAGGTCAGGGGTTCGAGACCAGCCTGGCTAACATGGTGAAACCCCATCTCTACTAAAAATACAAAAATTAGCCAGGTGGGGGGCCGGCACCTATAGTCCCAGCTACTAGGGAGGCTGAGGCACGAGAATCGCCTGAACCCTGGAGACACAGGTTGCAGTGAGCCGAGATCATGACGGTGCACTCCAGCCTGGGCGACAGAGCGAGACTCTGTCTCAAAGAAAATAATAATAAAGTTAATTCAAGAAAAGCTAAACCTGATGTGTCACAGCAGAACAGCCCTACGTCTGGAGAAGGCCCTGAGGAGAAACCACTCACTGTGTGGCTACAGCCCCCCCAACACCACAATAGGCCACTGTCACCTCTGTGAATTCCCAACATGTACCCTCAGACCAGCCAGGCCAGGCCCTCGATGCTAGAACGCACCCCACAGACTCCCTCTTCCTTTGCTGCCTCATCAAAGCCTTCCTCCCCTAATCCTTCCATCCCGCCTCCCAATCCCTACATGGCACCCGACCCATCTGTGACCCCATCATATACAGATGCACGTGGAATTTCCTGTAAATGTCGATTATAATGCAACTTGATCAAACAAGCCACTGGAAGGAAAACACTGTGTCTTACCTCCCTACATACCTAAAGCCACCTCACCAGAGATAAAACATAGCATTCCAATACCTCACGCACATGGGTAAAACTAGTCTTGTGTTCCTGTCACCTCTAATGGCTGGACTCTGCTCACCCTTCGGAGCCCAGATCAAACACTCCCTCCTTAAAGAAGTCTTCCCCCAACAGGGGCCAACCCCCTGCCTCTGGGCGTGCTGGCACCATCAGCTATAAGGACCTAAAGGACAGGAATCTGGTCCTCATACCACAGGAGGTGCCAACACAAGCTCCTTGCTGCAGGAACAGGCTTCTGCCCTCTCCCCAGACTTCATGGGTTTTACCCACCAGCCTCACTGACAAATGGCCCTCCAGCCACTGCAAAGCTTGCTCCTTCCCAGACAGGCCCCTACCATGCCAAGGTGCTTCTGCTCACAGTGCGTGTGCATCAGGCCAAAGCTCAGATGCCTCCAGTTCTACTCAGTCCTTGTTCTGCCCTCGAGTCACAGGTAGCATATCTGTGCCCTCTTTATCTCACCAATTGCCTGTCCCCTCTTCCTCGTCTTTCTCCAGGTTCTTGTTACCTCTCACCATCAGCTGTAACTAAAACATGGTTCCCAGAGCCAACTGTACCCATGAAATGGTGCACCTGACCATTCAGAGTAAAGCAGGCCCATTTCTATCTTGGTCTGCAAACTAAACCTCCACCAACATGGGTTGAGATTACTAACTCCTCAGGCAGTCAGAGACAATCCCAACTCCCTCCCACTACTGTGCCATCAGCTAACTCCACCAGCCCCTTTCAAGAGAACGGCCATGGCCAGGAGCGGTGGCTCACGCCTGCAATCCCAACACTTTAGGAAGTGAAGGTAGAAAGACTGATTGAGCCCAAGATTTTAAGACCAGTCTTCGCAACACAGTGAGACCCTTGTCTCTACAAAAAATGTTTAAAAATAAGCTGGGAGTGGTGGTGCATACCTATGGTCCCAGCTATGCAGGAGGCTGAGGTGAAAGGATCGCTTAAGCCTAGGAGATCGAGGCTGCAGTGAGCCATGATCGTGCCACTATACTCCAGCCTGGGCCACAGAGACCCTGTCTCAAAAAAAAGAGAACTGCCAGCTGTCTGCCACACTGTCTCTACCTTGATCCTGACTGCTTCCTCAATCATCACTGCAGTCACAAGTCACATTATTCATTCTGCCCACAAAACCCGGGTTATCAGGATCATACTGGACACCAGGTCTGCCTCTCAAAACAGGCCCGGCTCCTCCCGGCTTTATACTATTCAGAACAATGAGCAAGTTTCCTCCCGGCCTCACCAGGTTCAGGCCAACAGTGTGGAAAATGCTGGGTCACGGGCAAAGTATCTCCACAGGGCCTCTGGAAAAGCCATGGCAACAGCCACAGGGCCTACAAGCGAGGCCTGCATACCAGCTGTCTTTGTGCCAGGCAAAAGGCCTGCTGTGGTGGTTTCATTTCCTAGAAAATGGGACCCATTTGCCACTGGCAGAGGGGAGCTTCAAGACATTCTCATGCACCACACCCAGGACCTTCCTGGACTCACCTTCAGTTTCTTGCAGGCCAAGGCTGCCGCCTTATTCTCAGCCTCTGCTTTGCGGCGCCCTTTGGCAACAAAGGTCATGGGGCAGGGCCAGAGCAGGGTGAGTGTAGACAGCTTGGTCTTGGTGCCCACAGTATGGAACTGCATGAGGTTCTACATGGAAGGCAAGAGAGATGGTTACAGAAATGTAGGGAATGGGAAGAGACTTGGGGCATTCTCAGAATGCCAAGGAGCCCAGAGACAGAATGAGCCACCATCTCAGCAGGTGCCAGGCGTGAGCCATGCTAGAGGTGCTGCTGCATAGCCAGGAGCAGGCCCATGGGCTCAGGCACCCTAGTCCCAGGCTCGCTTCTCCTGCTATACCTCGACTTCCACTGCAGAAGACAGTGCTTGGGCAATGCCATCACCTGCCCTCCTAGCCCACTGTCATCTCGGCAACATCGTGGCAGCTGTGGGTTGAAGCTGTCAGCATGAGCTAAAAACCAGGCACATCCTGCGGGAGCAAAAAGACCCTGCACCTGGACAGAAGCTCTGCTTAACTGTTGTACTTAGGCGAGTTAAGGAAACGCCACACTTTGAGACGAATTAAGAGTCCTTTATTAAGCCGGCGGCCAAAGAGACAGCTAATGCTCAAAATTCTTTCGGCCACGAGGAAGGGGCTCGATTAACTTTTATACTTAGGTTTAGGAAGGGGAGGGGGACTTAAATGTAATAATTCTACAGAAGTAAAAACATGCAAGAATCAAAAGAATCAAAATGGTTACAGAGTGATAAACAACTTAAAAGACAAATGGTTACAAGAAGAGCAACAGTACCAGGTGCAAGATTCTAAATCTTTCATTATAATTAGATATAGGGTCTACGCCAGACACGAACTCAAGGTTTTATGTTGTTATCTCTTGGAGAAAATTCCTGGGAACTTCATATATTGTTGGTGTTCGTACCTTATCAGTTAATTAGGCTCCTTTGAAATGCTGAGGATCTGTTTACCCAGGCCAACTCCTTACGAAAGGGGGTTGGGTGAGGAGCCCTTAGTGTCTTGTAAATTAAGGGGTCAATTGGGGTTTGTACGGCTTTCTTAGCTAGAGAGAGTCTTATTTTACATGAGAAGCAAGGCTAGGTGATTAAAGAGACAAGCAGGACAAAATTCAAAGCAACGAGTTAAAGTAAAAACAAGGTTAGGCATTTCATGACCAAAGCCCCTTCGCCTGGCAGCAAGAGAGAAATTCATACCTCACCAAGACCCACACCTCTAACCCTTCCCCACTGACAATCCACCGCCCAGAAGAGGTATGGGTCTTCTGCTCTTGCGGCCCCCAAGCCCACTCCCTGTGCTGCTGAGGCTTGACCTCCATTCCATCACACCTGCTGCTTTTCCTCCCAAGCAGGAGTTCCTCCACCTGGCCTAGGTTTGGGCTGGAGGAACACACCCCCTCAGCCCTCTCTAAACCTGCCTTTAGGGAACACCAGACATGACCAAGTAAACGGCCCCCACACAAACTTCTAGGAGACCCAACTCACCTTAGCTGTGGAGGATGACGTTGCAATCTGAATCACCTTGGCCAGAAGGTTCTTGGGAAGTGGAAACTGGGTCAGAGCCCTAATGGCACTGTCGTCATCTGTCATCTCAAAGGAACTCCCCCTGGGAGGACCAAAAGTTTAACTGAAAGAATTCTCTCTTCCTGGACCAATTTCCCTGAGGCTCTGCGATGTAGGGGTGAGGACGCTGCGCTGCAGCAGGGAGCCAGAAGGGCAGAAGGCATGAAATGGATGGGAAACCGGGCGTCTCTGCTCCTCCCACAGCCACACTGCATGGGGACTGCTCCCTCCATTCCCTCACACAGATAAGATAGCAGAGAGCAGGGGCTCCATGCTGCTGTTCTGCAAAAGCCCAGCCACATAGAAGACCACAGCTGGCTGTCCCCCAAGAATGGGCAGACACACACTGAGTGATGGGGCACACAGGCTGAAATGTGAGGCAGGGGCGCTCCCATCTCAGAGAAAGCTAGCAGAGAACATTCGCCCATCCCCGTGTCAAGGCACAGCCAGCCTCTGCTGCATCCCCATCCTCCATCTGTACCTTGAGTCCCTGAGTGGAGCGTGGGAATCCTGCTGGGTCATGGACAAGAAGTCGGTAACATCTATGGTCCCTTCTTCTAGCTCTTCCTCCTCGTCCTCCTCTTCTTCCCGGCCTAAAGAGCGGGATAGGCCCCCAGGTCCCCCTGGTCGAATACTCTCTGGATTCAGCTGCCGCCAGGAAGTAGGGGGCATGGTGGGTTCCGGACGCCACCAGCTGTCGGCAGGGGAGCCAAAGCGATCAGCTAGCACTCGGTATTTGGCTGCGTCAAACAACTCATTCCGGGGACCTAGCAGACCCCAACCCTGGAGGGGAAAAGGGACGTTTTAAGGATTGATACCATCTTTACACCTCAGTCGGCCTGGTCCGTGTCCAGCTACACCGTTAAGTTGTGTTGTGCAGCCGTGGTTTTTCATCTGTTTACCCACTTCAGCCCCTAGTCCAGAACTGGGCATGGAACTCTCAAAGATGCCTAGCTTTGATGCAAACAAATAACCCCACATGGCAATGGGTGAGCAGAAGATACTGTTTGTTTTTTGTTTTTTTGACACAGGGTCTCGCTCTGTCACCCAGACTGGAGTGCAGTGGCACAATCACGGCTCACTACAACCTCTGCCTCCTGGGCTCAGGTGACCCTCCCACCTCAACTTCCAAAGTAACTGGGACTAAAGGCATGCACCACAACGCCCAGCGAATTTTTGTAGCAACAGGGCTTCACCATGTTGCCCAGGATGGTCTTGAACTCCTGGACCCAACAGATCCGCCCGCCTTGGCCTCCCAAAGTGCTAGGATTACAGACATGAGCCACCGCACCAAGCCCAAGAAGATACATTCACATAATGATCTAGGAAGCTTCAGTAAATACAGCAATTAAAAAGTACGTAGGGCCGGGTGCGGTGGCTCACACCTGTAATCCCAGCACTTTGGGAGGCCGAGACGGGCGGATCATGACGTCAGGAGATCGAGACCATCCTGGCCAACACGGTGAAACCCTGTCTCTACTAAAAATACAAAAAAATTAGCCAGGCGTGGTGGCGAGTGCCTGTAGTCCCAGCTACTTGGGAGGCTGAGGCAGGAGAATGGCGTGAACCTGGGAGGCGGAGCTTGCAGTGAGCCAAGATCATGGCACTGCACTCCAACCTGGGCGACAGAGCAAGATTCCGTCTCAAAAAAAAAAAGAAAAGAAAAGAAAAAAAAATACGTAGCCAGACGGGCACAGTGGCTCACACCTGTAATCCCAGAACTCTGGGAGGCCCAGGCAGGTGGACTACTCGAGGTCAGGAGTTGGAGACCAGCCTGGCCAACATGGCGAAACCCCATCCTCCTAAAAATACAAAAATTAGCCGGGCGTGGTGGTGGGCACCTGTAATCTCAGCTACTCAGGGGGCTGAGACAGGAGAATCGCTTGAACCTGGGAGGCAGTGGTTGCAGTGAGCTGAGATGGGGCTGCTGCACTCCAGCCTGGGCAATAGAGACTCCACAAAAAAACAAACAAACAAACAAACAAAAAAACCTATGTAGCCCACACCATGAAACGGATACAACTTCTGTTATAAGAAGTTATATATAAGAATATAAGAATCCTGAAGGCTGGGCACGGTGGCTCACGCATGTAATCCCAGCACTTTGGGAGGCCGAGGTGGGCGGATCACCTGAGGTCAGGAGTTTGAGACCAGCCTGACCAATATGGAGAAACCCCGTCTCTACTAAAAACACAAAATCAGCTGGGCATGGTGGTGCATGCCTGTAATTCCAGCTACTTGGGAGGCTGAGGCAGGAGAATCACTTGAACCTGGGAGGCAGAGGTTGCGGTGAGCTGAGATCGCACCATTGCACTCCAGCCTGGGTAACAAGAGCAAACCTCCGGCGAAACTCCGTCTCAAAAAAAAAAAAAAAAAAAAGAGAATATAAGAATCCTATGTTAGGAATACATTCTAGAGAAATAACTTGAAATGTTAAAGCTATTTATACAAAAATATGATTTTAAATGTGTTATAGCTTCATGCTTTTCTACAGAAAATATAAATTAAACATTGCCTAAGTCTCTAGCATGTACGCAGCAACATGTTGGCCACCTAAGCATCATCAGGAGAGACAAGACCTGGTCCTTGCCCTCAAGCAGTTCGGAATATAAGAGGCAGTTAGCCAGGGGTGGTGGTATGTGCCTGTAGTCCCAGAGACTTGGGAGGCTGAGGCAAGAGGATCACTTGAGGCCTACAGATCGAGGCTGCAGTGAGCCATGATCACACCACTGAACTCCAGCCTGGGTGACAGAGCAAGACCCTATCTCCAAAAACAAACAAACAAACAAACAAGGAATCTAAGCAGCAGAAGAGAAATGCAGATGGCCAGGGTCTAAGGAACAAAGACGTGGGTGAGATGAGTGAGCAGCTGGGAGAACAGGAGCAACTGCAAAGAAAGCACAGGTTGCAGGAGCTGCCACTGGGAGTGGTAAAGGCGACAAAGTCTGCGGGACAGCAAGAACAAGGCCTGTCAGGTGAACATCAGGGCCATGTGACAGCAGACAGCACGGGCCACGGGCCAGGAACCTCTCTACAGTGAGCTTTCAATCCCACCCAACTCATGACAAGCTGGAGAGTGACCATGGCCTGCCTTCATAAAACTTTCTCCTTGGGTTTTTGAGATAATTAAATTTAATTTTAAAAATTCTATTCACAACAGTAACAAAAACCATCACCTACCTAAGGTGAACTAAGGTGGGTCAGAAAGGTATGGACTAAGCACACAACTTGGCAAAAGGATGTAAATCCATGGAGATATATGTTCCTGGATGATAGAACTTTTATGTGTGAGGAGACAAAAACCTCTTAAATTAATCCATAAATTGAACACAATTCCAATCAAAGTCTGCAGAGGCTTCTTATTAAGCATTTGACAAACCAATTCTAAAGTCTGTCTATTAAGAATAGACGCGTGAAAACCGCAGGATTATGGGACAGACGATGGGGCCAAGGTATGCCACACACACATTCGCGAACCCTTGGGGCAGGGCCCGATCCAAGGCTCAGCTGCCACACTTTTGCGTCACCGCCTCCCTTCTGACAAGAATGCCTCTGGTTCCACAGAGCAGCAATACAAGCATCCCTCCTTGGCCTGGCTTCCCCAGCAGGACAGCACCGTTCTCCCCCTGCCTTTGCAACCACTCTTTCACTAGACCAGAGGATCTCGTCCCCACAGGCTCACTGCTGGTCCTGGCCATGCTCCCACACCGGTCCTGAGCTGTACCAACATCCACCAGCCACTGTTCTTGCCATAACCTAGGCGCCAACCCATTGCTCGTCCACAGCTCCCCCTGCTGGCGCATGCTGCCCCTCCAACCCATTCTCCCTCCCACCTCCTCAACTGTCCAGGAGCTGTCCGTGCAACTTCTCTAATACCTTTTTGTTGTTGTTCCTTTTTAGAGACAGAGTCTCACTCTGTCACCCAGGCTGGAGTGCAATGGCATCATCTCGGCTCACTGCAACCTCTGCCTGCCAGGTTCAAGCGATTCTCCTGCCTCAGCTTCCTGTGTAGCTGGGATTACAGGCGTACGCCACCAGGCCCGGCTAATTTTTGTATTTTTAGTAGAGATGGGGTTTCACCATGTCGGCCAGGCTGCTCTCGAGCTCCTGACCTTGTGATCCACCCGCCTCAGCCTCCCAAAGTGCTAGGATTACAGGCCCTCATGCCTGGCCCTCTAATACCGTTGAAGAAACCTCCTCCACAGCTGCCGCTGGTATTCTCTTCCATCCAGTGTCCCTGTCTCTGGTCTTGCCAAAAACTACTGCTGTCAGTGATTTTCCCTAAAAGCAAACTTGGCTGTGTCATTCTATCAATTACCACTAGTCAGAAGCCCTGGCAGCCACAGGATCAAATCATTCTGCCCCTGTGACAGTGAAGGCCCTGGAGTTCTAGCTCCTCCCTGCCCGTCTACCGCATGGCCCAGCAGGCAGACCCACATTCATTCTCATTCCCCATAGCCACGCATATTCACCCGGGCTCTAAGCCACATTGGCCTGAGTCTGGAGTGCCTTGCTCCAGCCCTCGGCCCTGGCAAGGACCATTCTTCAAGAATAAGCCTCTTCTATTTAGGAGGCTGGGGTGCATTTATGTCCTCCCGTGGACACCTTCTTCTTGGCTGTGGCTGCTGACTCAGTCCCCTTTGTGCTGCCAGCACGTCTCACCAAGCCTATGGGCAATGCAGAAAAAGACATCTGATTTGGGGGGAAAGGGAAACGCTGAAGAACTGGGAGTACAGCTATTAGAGAATAAAAGGCTGAGTTCTAGAATAAAAAACAACTCCTATAACCACAACAAGATCTCATCTCACACCCATTAGGATCGCTATGATCAAAAAAACAAAAACAACTAGGCTGGGCACGGTGGCTCACACCTGTAATCCCAGCACTTTGGGAGGCAGGCAGATCGCGAGGTCAGGAGTTCAAGACCAGTCTGGCCAATATGGTGAAACCCTGTCTCTACTAAAAATACAAAACTTAGCTGGGCGTGGTGGTGCGCACCTGTAGTCCCAGCTACTCGGGAGGCTGAGGCAGGAGAATCGCTTAAACCCAGGACGTGAACGTTGCAGTGAGCCGAGATTGCGCCACTGCACTCTAGCCTGGGCAACAGAGCAAGACACCATCTCAAAACAAAACAAAACAAAACAAAACTATACACATAGATGGGGAAGAGAAAAAGAGATGGAGAAAAATGTGATAATGACCTGCTTCAGACAGGCTGGGATGGCCGGGCACAGTAGCTCATGTCTGTAATCCCAACACTTTGGGAGGCGGAGGCAGAGGCAGGCGGATCACCTAAGGTCAGGAGACTTTGAGACCAGCCTGGCCAACATGGTGGAACCTCATCTCTACTAGAAATACAAAAATTGGCCAGGCGTGGTGGCAGGCACCTGTAATCCCAGCTATGAGGGAGGCTGAGGCAGGAGAATCACTTAAATCCAGGAGGCAGACAGAGGTTACAGTGAGCCAAGATCACGCCATTGCACCATTGCACTCTAGCCTGGGCGAAAGAGAAAGACTCCATCTCAAAAAACAAAAGTCTGAGTTTAAAGTGCCTTCAAACATCCAGCCAGCCAGTCAGCCAGGCAGAGAAGGATTTCTCAGCTTCAGCATAATTGCTATTTTGAGCAGGGTAATTCTTTGCTATAGGGGGCTGTCCTGTGTACTGTAAGCTGGGAAGAAGCATTCCTGGCCTTGATCTTACAGCTGCCAGTAGCACTCCTCCACCTGTGTCCAACGAAAATCCCTACAGACATTGCCAAATGGCCCCTGGCCACTCTCAGCACTTTTTTTCAACATAGTACTAAAAGTACTAGAAAGTGCAGGCAGACAAGAAAAAAAGGCATCCAAACTGGAAAGAAAGAAGTAAAATTATCCCTGCTTACAAATGACATATCTTATATATAGAAAACCCAAAAGAGAGCCAGGCACAGTGGCTCATGCCTATAATCCCAGAACTTTGGGAGGCTGAGGCGGGTGGACCACCTGAGGTCAGGAGTTTGAGACCAGCCTAGCCAACATGGTGAAACCCCATCTCTACTAAAAGTACAAAAAAATTGGCCGGGCGCAGTGGCTTACACCTGTAATCCCAGAACTTTGGGAGGCTGAGGCGGGTGGACCACCTGAGGTCAGGAGTTCGAGACCAGCCTAGCCAACATGGTGAAACCCCATCTGTACTAAAAGTACAAAAAAATTGGCCGGGCACAGTGGCTCACACCTGTAATCCCAGCACTATGGGAAGCCGAGGCAGGCAGATCACCTGAGGTCAGGAGTTCGAGACCAGCCTGACCAACATGGAGAAACCCCATCTCTAGTAAAAATACAAAATTCCAGGCGTGGTGGCACATGCCTGTAATCCCAGCTACTCGGGAGGCTGAGACAGAACTGCTTGAACCCAGGAGACGGAGGTTGCAGTGAGTTGAGATTGCGCCACTGCACTCCAGCCTGGGCAATAAGAGCGAACCTCCATGTCAAAAAAAAAAAAAAAAAAAATTAGCCAGGCATGATGGCACATGCCTGTAATCCCAGGCACTCGGGAGGCTGAGGCAGGAGAATTGCTTGAACCCAGGAGGCAGAGGCTGCAGTAAGCCGAGATCGCGCTGCTGCACTCTAGCCTGGGCAACAGAGCAAGACTCCATCTCAAAAAATAAAAAATAAAATAAAAAATAAAGAAGTTCCTCAAAAAATTAAAAATAAAACTACCATATGGTCCAGCAATATCTGCTCTGGGTATATACCCAAAGGGAATGAAATCATCAGCTCATAGGGATGTCTGCACTCCCATGTTAACTGCAGCATTATTCACAACAGTCAAGATACGGAAACAACCTAAGCATCTGTCAAAGGATGAATGGTACATATACACAACAGGATATTATTCAGCCTTTAAAGAAGAGGAGATCTGGCCAGGTGCAGTGGCTCATGCCTGTAATCCCAGCACTTTGGGAGGCTGAGACAGGTGGATTGCTTGAGCTCAGGAGTTCAAGACCAGTCTGGGCAACACTGGAAGACCCCATCTCTACAAAATTAGCCAGGTGTGGTGGCGCACACCTGCAGTCTCAGTTACTCCAGAGGTTGAGGTGGGAGGATCTCTTGAGCCCTGGAGGTGGAGTCTGCAGTGAGCCATGATCGCACCACTGCATTCCAGCCTAGGCCACAGAGCAAGACCCTGTCTCAAAATAAATAAATAAAAGTAAAAACATGGATAAACCTGGAAGACATTATGCTAAGTAAACCAGACACAAAGAAAATACCACATGGGCCAGGAGTAGTGGCTCACACCTGTAATCCCAGCACTTCAAGAGGCCAAGGCGGGCAGATCACTTCAGGTCAGGAGTTCAAGACCAGCCTGGCCACCATGGCGAAACCCCATCTCTACAAAAAATACAAAAATTAGCTGGGTGTGGTGGCACATGCCCGTAGTCCCAGCTACTCGGGAGGCTGAGACATGAGAATTGCTTGGACCTAGGAGGCGGAGGTTGCAGTGAGCCAAGATCACGCCACTGCACTCTAGCCTGGGCAACAGGCCGAGACTTGGTCTCAAAAACAAAACAAAATGAAAATACCACATGATCTCATATGTGGAATCTAAAATAAGCTGAATACACAGAAACAGAGTAGACCTGGTAGTTACCAGGGGCAGGAAGAAAAGAGAAATGGGGAGATGTAGGTCCAAGGATGTAAAGTTACATATATATAAGAAGAGTAAGTCTAAAGATCTAATGTACACCATAAGGACTATAATTAATAATACTGTATTATAAACTGGAAATTTGCTAAGAGAATACATTTTTTTTCTTTTTTGGAGATGGAGTTTTGCTCTTGTTGCTCAGGCTGAAGTGCAGTGGCGTGATCTCAGCTCACTGCAACCTCTGCATCCTGGGTTCAACCGATTCTCCTGCCTCAGCCTCCCGAGTAGCTGGGACTACAGGCATGCACCACTATGCCCGGCTAATTTTTGTATTTCTAGTAGCGACAGGGTTTCACCATGTTGGCCAAGCTGGTCTCGAACTCCTGACCTCGTGATCCGCCAGCCTCAGACTCCCAAAGTGCTGAGATTACAGGCATGAGCCAGCGCCCAAGAGTACATTTTAGGTGCTCTTTCTTTTTTTTTTTTTTTTTTTTTGAGAGAGAGAGAGAGTCCTGCTTTGCTGCCCAGGCTGGAGGTCAGTGGTATGATCTCGGCTCACTGCAACCTCTGCCTCCCAGGTTCAAGCAATCCTCCCACCTCAGCCTCCCAAGTAGCTGGGACTACAGGCAAACACCACCATGCCCTGCTAATTTTTGTATTTTTTATAAAATACAAAAAAGGCTTTTCGCCCTGTTGCCCAGGCTTGTCTCAAACTCGTGGACTCAAGTGATCCGCCTACTTCAGCCTCTCAAATTGCTGGAATTACAGGCATGAGCCACCATACCCAGCCTTAGGTGCTCTTACCACAAAAAAAGATAACTATTTGAGGTGATGGATATGTTAATTTGCTTGAATATAGTATTCATTTCATTCTGTGTTTATGAAAGTGTATGTGAATATGAAACACCATACTGTACACATTAAATAAAGACAATAAAAAAATAATTATGCCAGGAGCCGTGACTCACACCTATAATCCCAGCACTTTGGGAGGCTAAGGTGGGAGGATAACTGGAGCCCAGAAGTTCAAGACCAGCCTAGACAACATAGCGGGACACCATCTCTACAGGAAAAAAAAAAAAAAAAAAAAAAGAGGCCAGGCACAGTGGATCACACCTGTAATCCCAGCACTTTGGGAGGCCAAGGCAGGCAGACTGCTTGAGCTTAGGAGTTTGAGACCAGCCTGGCCAACATGGCAAAACCCTGTCTCTACCAAAAATATAAAAACATTAGCTGAGCATGGTGGCACACACCTGTAGTCCCAGCTACTTGGGAGGCTGAGGTGGGAGGATCACTTGAGCCCGGGAGCCAGAGGTTGCAGTGAGCTGAGACTGCGCCACTGTACTCCAGCCTGGACAACAGAGTGAGATCCTGTCTCAAAAAGAAAAAGAAAAAAAAAAAAAAAGAATTAGATGTTCCGTGAGGAACAAAATCATCCATGGTTGAGAATCACTGAGGTAGACCTACCCTATGGGAGATGGATATTTTCGAGACATTAAACACAGAGAGAATGGTTGAACCTGTAAGAGACAAGATTCCCCAGGGAGGAAAGAAAATTAGCTGGGCATGGTTGTGTGTGCCTGTAATCCCAGCTACCTGGAAGCTGAGGCAGGAGCTCTGGAGTTCAAGACCTGCCTAGACAACATAGCTAGACCCCATCTCAATCAATCAATCAATCAAGATGTTTTAGAGGGTGGAAGAGGAAAAGGTACTTGAGAGTGACCTAGAGAGAAAAGAGAAGCAGAGGTCTTCCAGTGGCTGAGGACGAAATGCATGGCAGTGCCAAGGCTACAGAGCACTGTGGGGATACAGAGGTACACAGAGGCCAGGCAGTCAGCGCACATCTGTAATCCCAGCACTTTGGGAGGCCGAGGCAGAAGGATCGCTTCAGCCCAGGAATTAGAGACCAGCCTGGGCAACAGAGTAAGACCCTGTCTCTATTAAAAAAAAAAAAAAGATATTAACTGGCTCTCAAGTTAATATAAAATGGATCATTTTATCAGCCCCTCCAGATATAACCATTCATTAAGAATAGTTCAAGATTCAACAATAAGGAAAATGCCAAGACGATGGGAGAGAGGAATAAAAAAAAAAAAAAAAAAGAAAAAGGAAAAGGCCTTCAGAGAGAAAACTAAATACCTAAAGTGTGCAACAAGGAAAAGTATTTAGAGTGGTCCACTAAAGCCTTTTTTTTCTGTTTTAAATTGAGTAAAATACACATAGGCTGGGTGCAGTGGCTCATGCCTGTCATCCTAGCACTTTGGGAGGCTGAGGCGGGAGGATGGCTTGAACCCAGGAGTTCAAAACCAGCCTCAGCAATATAGTAAGACCCCATCTCTATTTAAAAAAAAAAAAAAAAAGTAACTAGAGGGCATGAACGAAGATGGCCAAGTCAGCAGAGTGGAGAAAATACAAGCACAGAGAGCTGTTTGCAGTGGATCAGAGCCAAGGGAAAAAATCAGAGCACTGAATATTTTTGAGGCCTATAGAAAAGAACCAGAAGAGGAAGAATCTGAAAATTAAACAAAAGGGCAAGAGAGGAGATGCAGAAGAGACACAGAAAAGGGCACTGTTACAGTCTGGGTATCTGCCCCCTCCACATCTCATGCCAAAATGTGATCCCCAATGACAAAGGTGGGCCTGGTGGGAGGTGTTTGGGTCATGGGGGCAGATCTCTCATGAATGGCTTGATGCCCTCCCCACAGTAATGACTGAGTTCTTGCCCTGTTAGTTCACACAGGAGCTAGTTGTTTCAATGACTCTAGCTTCTCTCTTGCTGTGGGACACACCAGCTCCCCTTCCCTTCCACCATGACTTCCTGAGGCCTCACCAGAAGTCAAGCAGATGCTGGCACCAGGCTTCTTGTACAGTTTGCAGAACTGTGAGACAAATAAACCTCTTTTTTTTTTTTTTAATACATTACCCAGTCTCATGTATTCCTTTATAGCAATGGACTATTACAGGAACAGAGAAAAGAGATGGGTACTATGGGGGCCCAGAATAGCAACAGGGCCTCTTCAAGTGCAGGAAAGAGAAAGGAACAGTAAAATCCTGGAGACCATGAGTAGAAGAGAAGCTGAGGGAATACGCATCCTGTGGCTTTTTCTTGTCAGAGCAGAGATGAAGACTTAGCAACCTGGCCGGGTGCGGTGGTTCACACCTGTAATCCCAGCACTTTGCGAGGCTGAGGTGGGAGGACTGCTTGAGACCAGGAGTTTGGGACCAGCCTGGGCAACATGGAAAAACCCCATCTCTACAAAAAATACAAAAACATTAGCCAGGCATGGTGGCGAGGCCTGCAGTCCCAGCTACTGGGGAGGCTGAGGTGGGAGGATGGCTTGAGCCTGGGAGGTCGAGATTGCAGTGAGCCATGATCATGCCACTGCACTCCAGTCTGGGCAACAGAGCAAGACCCTGTCTCAGAAAAATTAGAGCTAGGCACGGTGCCGCATGTTTGTAAACCCAGCACTTTGGGAGGTGGAGGCAGGAGGACTGTTTGAGGCCAGGAGTTAGAGACCAGCCTGAGCAACATAGTGAGACCTCGTCTCTACTAAAAATGAAAAAATTTATTATTATTTTTTTTTTGTGACGGAGTCTCATCCTGAGGCCCAGGCTGGAGCGCAATGGTGTGATCTCGACTCACTGCAACCTCCGCCTCCCAGGTTCAAATGATTCTCCTGCCTCAGCCTCCCGAGTAGCTGGGATTACAGGTGCCTGCCACCACACCCACCTAATTTTTGTATTTTTAGTACAGACAAGGTTTCACCATGTTGGTCAGGCTGGTCTCAAGCTCCTGACCTCGTGATCTGCCCACCTCGGCCTCCCAAAGTGCTGGGAATACAGGCGTGAGCCACCGTGCCTGGCCTAAAAATGAAAATATTTTTAAAAATTAAAAAAAAAGTTGGCCAGGCATGGTGGCTCATGCCTGTAATCCCAGCACTTTGGGAGGCCGAGGTAGGCAGATCACAAAGTCAGGAGATTGAGACCATCCTGGCTAACAAGTTGAAACCCCATCTCTACTAAAAATACAAAAATTAGTCGGGCATGGTGGCGGGCACCTGTAGTCCCAGCTACTTGGGAGGCTGAGGCAGGAGAATGGCATGAACCCGGGAGGCAGAGCTTGCAGTGAGCTGAGATCTCGCCAGCCCAGGCAACAGAGCGAGACTCCGTCTCAAACAAAAATTAAAAAAAATTAAAAAATTTAAAAAAAGTAAGACAGGACTACATTGCGATAGAGAAAAACCTACATGAAATGATGAGAAAAGAAAAACAGAAACCAACATGGAAATATATCCCTCACGCTGTGTGTCGGAAGTTTTTCATAAAGTAGTTCCTCTCTGTAGTTTTTAAAACCACAGAAGATAGGCTGGGCGGTTTTTAAAACCACAGAAAATAGATTACGAGCTCACGCCTGTAATCCCAACACTTTGAGAGGCCTAGGCAGGTGGATCACTTGAGGTCAGGAGTTCAAGACCAGCCTGGCCAACAGGGTGAAACCCCCTCTCTACTAAAAATACAAATATTAGCCAGGCGTGGTGGTGGGCACCTGCAATCCCAGCTACTTGGGAGGCTAAGGCATGAGAATCACTTGAACCTAGAAAGTGGAGGTTGCAGTGAGCCAAGATCGCATCACTGCACTCCAGCCTGGGCAACAGAGTGAAACTCTGACTCAAAGGAAAAAAAAAAAAACCAAAAACACAGGAAAAAAAAAAAAAAAATATATATATATATATATATATATATATCTCATTGGCTGAACAGTAAGAAAGGAATCAGGAAGTGGGAAGGGCTCAGGGCAGGTGAG
The DNA here is from genome assembly GCF_000001405.40 of Homo sapiens. Taxonomy (NCBI): domain Eukaryota; kingdom Metazoa; phylum Chordata; class Mammalia; order Primates; family Hominidae; genus Homo; species Homo sapiens. Next base: position 47,829,228 of record NC_000003.12, on the reverse strand, counting down.
TGGTAGAACACTGGGCCAACCTCTACCAATAAAAACAAAGGGCAAGGAGTTTCCAGGAGGAAGGTCTCAGTGGCTTTCACTGAGGAAGGGTCACCTTGAACAGCTGGCAGGCTGCAGCTGCAGCCTGCCGCTCAGCATCGATCTTCTTGCTGCCATAGCCTTCTACCTCCACGCTCTTGGGCCATTTTATGTGCAGTGTGACTTTCTGGGGAAGAGAAGAGAGAAATCAGAAGTCTTGCCACTCCAGACTAGAGTTGTTGCAAATTACATGGAAAATAAACAGTGGTGGACCTCACAGCAGCAGACCTCACAGCAGCAATGTGCTAGGTTCAGAGTTGAGAACAGAGGACAGAACCCCAATCCCATCATTAACTCCTTATAAGGCTCTAACTGTCTCACCGTGAAACAATCTGTTCTACCCCAAGTTGTTTTGCTCCTTCAAGGTGCCATGTTCTAGCCAGAGGCCAAGCCGGGATCCATCTTCATCTTTTTTTTTGAGACAGAGTCTTGCACTGTTGCCCAGGCTGCACTGTTGCCTCACGCCATTCTCCTGCCTCAGCCTCCCAAGTAGCTGGGGCTACAGGTGCCCACCACCACGCCCAGCTAATTTTTTGTACTTTTAGTAGAGACGGGATTTCACTATGTTAGCCAGGATGGTCTCGATCTCCTGACCTTGTGATCCGCCCACCTCGGCCTCCCAAAGTGCTGGGATTACAGGCATGAGCCACCGCGCCCAGCCTCATCTTTTTTTTTTTTTTTTTTTTTGTGGGGGACAGGATCTCACGCTGTTGCCCAGGCTGGAGTGCAGTGGCACGATCACAGCTTACTGCAGCCTCAACCTCCTGGGCTCAAGCAATCCCCTCATCTCAGCTTCCCTAGTAGCTGGGACTACAGGCCTGCACCACAATGCCTGAGTAACTTTTTCATTTTTTGTAGAAATGGGGTCTCACTATGTTGCCCAGGCTGGTCCCAAACCCCTGGGCTCAAGGGATCCTCCCTACTCCGCCTCCTAAAGTGCTGGGATTACAGGCACGAACCACCACAACCAGGCCCCATCTTTATCTTTAAAAATCATCCAGACTGAGAGCAGTGGTGTCTCCCACAATTTTGGGAGGCTGAGGAGGGAGGATCCCTTGAACCAAGGGGTTTGAGACTACCCTGAGCAACATAGCAAGAACCGGTCTCTACAAAAAATAAAAAAAATTAGACGAGTGTGGTGGCACCTGTCTGTAGTCCCAGCTACTTTGGAGGCTGAGGCGGGAGGATCACTTGATCCCAGGAGTTTGAGGTTACTGTGAGTTATGATTGTGCCACTGCACTCCAGCCTGGGTGACAGAGAGACTCTGACTCTGTCTCTACAAAAATAAATAAAATAAATGTTAAAAAATCATCCAGAATGGTTTGCTGGCATGCTTCTATGGTTCCAGAATCTATAAGACTGTAAGGGCAAGAATTATCATTAACTCTAACCCTCTGCAGTCCTTAGTCGATGGGGGCAAAAACCAAGGATCCGTATAGGCGCCTGTCTTAGATAAGATGGCACCTCATTTGCCCTGTGTTCCTCTTCCCTAAACCAGGCACGTGTATTCTGGCTCTTCTTCAAACCTAGCTTTGCTCTGAGTCTCTGCTGACCATTTTAATTCAGGAAACCCATTCTATGGCCTCCTTGACAAAGAAACCTAAGACAGAAAGGACAAACAGCCTCCTTTCTGAGTCATACCAATGTTTTTCCTTGCCACCAGCAGAGTTACCTTTTTCTTCGGTCCATTTGTGTGCACGTAGACTAGTTTGTCTTTTGCATGTGAGATGCCGAGGGCTCTTCCAATCACACTGTTGAGAAGATTTTTGGGCTGTGGGAACTCTTTTAATAGGTCCCTAGAAGCTAAGAAAATAAGAACAAAAGCATTACAGTTGTTCTTTTTCTTTTAAAAACTCCATGGGGTGTGTATCAGGGCAACCCTGGGCTGGATTCTGAGGATGTTGGCTCATGACCCCAAACCACCCAGGAGCATCTTGGAAAAGAAAAGAGGAATGACTTCAGGGTTTACAGGGAAGAGTGGGGCCAGACCCACTTGAATAACCATCTCCTGAAGAAGGGCCAATGACCCACACACCACAGAAGGGATCCTACCAGCATCCTCTTCTCCGCCCAATCTCCTCATTTCATACATCACCTACAAAAGCCTGGTTGGTCAATAAACCCCCCAGTCTGATGTCTGAAAGAAGACACTAAACAAACAAGCAAGCAAAAAATACAAAAACAAAAATCCACCACACACACAAACTGGAGATCAAGACAATGCAAGGCTCTTCCTAAAATAAGACACACACACGAGAGACCTGGCCCCATGTATCTCAAGTGATGAGATCCAGATGCTGAATACCAGGCCCCAGCTCTCAACCGTATCTAAGCACACTGCAAAAGACTCCCACAGAACCAAACTATGTGTGGGGACTGATTAAAGACCTCTACATCTGGCTGGGCGTGGTGGCTCACGCCTGTAATCCCAGCACTTTGGGAGGCCAAGGCGGGTGGATCACAAGGTCAGGAGTTTGACAACCTGGCCAACATAGTGAAACCTTGTGAAACCTCGTCTCTACTAAAAATACAAAAAATTAGCCAGGCCTGGTGGCAGGCGCCTGTAGTCCCAGCTACTTGGGAGGCTGAAGCAGGAGAATCGCTTGAACCCGGGAGGCGGAGGTTGTAGTGAGGCAAGATCGCGCCACTGCAATCCAGCCTGGGCAACAAGAGTGAAACTCCATCTCAAAAAAAAAAAAAAAAAAGAAAGAAAACCTCTACATCTGAGCAGGCATGAATTACTCCTCCCCCAAGTTCTCTGGAATCAAGGGGAAAATTGATGCATCAGATACCATGAGAGGTACCTCGCTTCTTTTTCTTGTTTTTTGGATTAATCTCAGAGCAGAAAGGGAAGAGATATCTACCTAGGGTAAGCTTGTACCAGACACAAGGCTTAACCAGGTCATGAAGAGGTCTGCTAGGAACATGGGGGGCCATATCATTCTCCACTCTAGCCTCTGGCAGCTCCAAAAGGAGCTGTATATATGCACATGTGCACCTGCGTGTACACTGATCACCTGGGGAGCTTTTTCACCGCATGGACATCCAGCTCCCCACAGGGGACCTGAGAATGGGAGCGATGTTGGAGGCGACTCTATATTTTCAAAAAGTGCTTCCAAGCGTTCTGATGTAACTCTGCTGCCTGGTTTGAGACTGTTTCCTTGGGACAGACTCCTGTGTCAAGTGGCCAGGATGGAGGACACCTGATCCTGTCTCCCTCTAAGCGGTAACTTGTAAAGCAACTAAGAGTCAAGCAGTTAAGCAGTTAAGAAACCATATCTAAGTGGACTTGGCCGGGGCGGGGGGGGTTTCGTCACAGAGGGACCCAACTTCGAGTAGCCCATTACACCCACTGGTTTAACAATAGAGCTGCACTGAGACCACCACCCCGCCCCCACCTTCAGCTCTATAAGGTTGGTGGAGGCTGGCGCTCTCTACCCATCCTTGATGCTTTCAACAGTTTTATCCTCTGCACTATTTGGGAGGCACAAAGCTGGAATCCACCAGAACAGTCATTCTGTCTCTATTTGAGATCCTGATGTCCCAGGAGTTACTTTGGGCTATTTCTCACACTGGTGAGGGCATGCTTGTCCCTAGAAGCTCTAGCCCTTGGCCACTCATCCTGGCAGGAGTTGGACTTTTACTCGTTTTCCCCACTCCCTCGAGGTCTCGCACCTCTCACCTATTCTTGCCGGGAGCAGGTACTCTAAGGGTCCATTCGGGCCTGTGCCACGCTAAGCTTTACAAACAGCAAGGCCGCTGCCCGCCGACGGATGGCGAACTTGGCCACTATGGAAGAGAGGACCCCCGGCCGCCAGGCCCGATTTCGGCCCGCGCCCCTAGCTCTGCCATCCCAGGAGTCAAGGGCGCTGCGGACCGCCCGCCCCCGCCGATGCCCTCACCGTTCACCAAGCTTCCGTCGCCTTCCCCAGGCCCGCCGGGGGCCATCCCTGACTCGGCCTCGGCGGCTTCCTTGGTGTGGTCGGGGTGGGCGCAGCTTGAAGAGAAGCCGCGCGAGCGACCCTGTCGCCCAGCAGCGCGGGGACCCAGCGGCTGCAGGCGCGGAGAGATGCCGGCGGCCAGCGCCATGAGTCTCCTAGCGGCCGCCATCGTGCTCCCGCCGACCCCGAGGCCTGTGCGCGGCAGGGACCGGGCGAAGAGAACGGGAGCGGCCGGCCCGAGCGCCGCGCGCCCCCTGCGGGCCGGGCGGACCCGAAGCCCAAGCCTAGGCGAGGGCATCAGCAGCCCGTCCTCGCTCACCACAGCCCTGGGCCTTCAGTAGGCGGGCTCGGCGCTGCCCAGGGCTAGGACCCTGCAGAGCTCACTCTCCAGCAAATCTAAACCAGCAGTCGTGTGGATGGAAGGCAGGAAGATGGAATGAGGCTGTTGGGGGGAAAATAATGCTAGGCCTTAGCTCAATGTCATCTAAGGAAGCGAAGTTAGTTCCCTCTAGGTCCTACCAATTGTTCCTAACTACCTCTCACGTGCCTCTGGCAAATTGGCAGCCCCATCTTATTTAACGGCTTACAAAGTAAACCTGGTGAAGATCTGGAGCCAGGGCCAGGCGCCGTGGCTCATGCCTGCAATCCCAACACTTTGGGAGGTTGAGGCGGATGGATCCCCTGAGCCCAGGATTTTGAGACCAGTCTGGGCAGCATAGTGAAACCCCAACTCTATTAAAAGTTTAAAAAACGAAAAAGAAAATCTGGAGCCAGGCCAAGGAAGACCTCTTCAGGAAACAGATTTAATCCCCAGGGCTGGAGGGGAAGGTGAAAACACCCAGCTTTGGAAACTGCCAAGAATTGAGCTGGTCCAGCGTAAAGTCCAGCAGTGAAAGTGCTGTTCCTCGCCAGGCGCAGTGGCTCACGCCTGTAATCCCAGCACTTTCGGAAGCCGAGGCAGGCAGATCACCTGAGGTCAGGAGTTCGAGACCAGCCTGGCCAACATGGTGAAACCCCATCTCTACTAAAAATACAAAAATTAGCCGGGCATAGTGTCGCGCGCCTGTAATCCCAGCTACTCGGGAGGCTGAGGCAGGAGAATCGCTTGAACCCAGGAGGCGGAGGTTGCAGTAAGCCAAGATCATGCCACTGCACTTCAGCCTGGGTGACAGAGCAAGGCTCCATCTCAAAAAAAAAAAAAAAAAAAAAAAAGGAAAAGAAAATGGTATCTGAAAGCTGAAGGAGACAACAGTCTAGACAGAAAGGCCCCACCTGGACAGCAGGACCCAAGCCCTTTGTGGCACTTGAGGAAGCCCTCAGGATAGCACTCTTTTCTGACAGCCATTTGGCATAAGGCTGAAATGCCATGATTTCTTAGTTGCCTCTAAAGAAGCCAAAATGAAGAGCTATACACAAAGCAACACTGGCCATGAGTTGTTAATTGTTGAAGCTGGGTGACAGGTACTTGCAGGTTCATTATACTATTTTTTCTAGTTTACAACACATGTGTTGAACAGATGTTTAGATTTTTATGTTAAAAAAAAATCAGCCAGGCGCAGTGGCTCATGCCTGTAATCCCAGCACTCTGGGAGGCTGAGGCAGGCGGATCATGAGGTCAGGGTATCAAGACCATCCTGGTCAACATGGTGAAACCCCATCTCTACTAAAAATACAAAAATTAGCTGGGCATGGTGGCACGCGCCTGTAGTCCCAGCTACTTGGGAGGCTGAGGCAGGAGAATTGCTTGAACCCGGGAGGCGGAGGTTGCAGTGAGCCGAGATTGCGCCACTGCACTCCAGCCTGGCAACAGAGTGAGACTCCGTCTCAAAAAGACAAAAAAAAAAAAAAAAACAACAACCAGGGATGCCAACCAACTAGTTTGTTCCCAGGGGGGTCTTTGTCTCGGTTTGGTTGTGTCCCCACCCAAATCTCATCTTGAATTGTAGCCCCCATAATTCCCATGTGTCATGGGAGGGACGTGGTTGGGAGGTCATTGAATCATGGGGGTGGTTTCTCCCATATTGTTCTCATAGTAGTGAGTAAGTCTCAAGAGATCTGATAGATTAATAAGGGGAAACCCCTTTCTTTTCTTTCTTTTCTTTTTTTTTTTTTTTTTGAGATGGAGTCTCGCTCTGTTGCCCAGGCTGGAGTGCAGTGGTGCAATCTCGGCTCACTGCAAGCTCCACCTCCCAGGTTCACACCATTATCCTGGCTCAGCCCCCCAAGTAGCTGGGACTACAGGTGCCCGCCACCACACCCGGCTAATTTTTTGTATTTTTAGTAGAGACAGGGTTTCACTGTGTTAGCCAGGATGGTCTCGATCTCCTGACCTCATGATTCGCCTTCCTTGGCCTCTCAAAGTGCTGGGATTACGGGCGTGGGCCACTGCGCCTGGCCTTTCTTATTTTTTATGTTTATTTTTTTGAGACAGAGTCTTGTTCTGTCACCCAGGCTGGAATGCACTGGCACGATCTCGGCTCACTGCAACCTCTGCCTCCTGGGTTCAAGCGATTCTCCTGTCTCAGTCTCCCAAGCAGCTGGTACTACAGGTACGTGCCACCATGCCCAGCTAATTTTTGTATTTTTAGTAGAGACAGGGTTTCACCATATTGGCCAGGCTGGTCTTGAACTCCTGACCTCATGATCCACCCACCTCGGCCTCCCAAAGTGCTGGGATTACAGGCATGAGTTAACACACCCGGCTGGGAAAACCCCTTTCACTTGGTTCTGTCTTTCTCTCTTGTCTGCCACCATGTAAGATGTGCCTTTTGCCTTTCACCATGGTTGTGAGGCCTCTCCAGCCACATAGAACTGTGAATCCATTAAACCTTTTTTTCTTTATAAATTACCCAGTCTTGGGTATGTCTTTATCAGCAGCATGAAAATGGACTAATGCAGTCCCCTTTTCCTATTCATTTATTTCAACTGGGTTCTAACAGCAAGAGTCACCCTGAGCAAGTATTTCACCTCCACAAACCTCAATGACTCTTGTAAGATAAGGGCAACTCTTTACAGCAGCTCTTGGAACTCTTCTGCTTCTGTGTTCTTCTCCTCACTGGTCTAGAGCAGGAGTTGGAAAACTACAGCCTGCAGACCAAATCCAGACCCCTGCCTGTTGTTAGAAAGTTTTATTGGAACAGAGCCACACTCATTTACTATGTTATTTGCTATTATCTATGACTGCTTTCATTCTATAATGGCAGAGTCAAATAACTGCAACAGAAAGCATATGCCCCACACAGCGTAAAATATTTATTACCTGATGATTACAAAAAAAAGATTACCAACTCCTCCTCTAAAGGACCTTAAAGACCAGGTACGGTGGCTCATGCCTGTCATCCCAGCACTTTGGGAGGCCGAGGAGGGTGGATCACCTGAGGTCAGGAGTTCAAGGCCAGCCTGGCCAGTGTGGTGAAACTCCATCTCTACTAAAAATACAGAAATTAGCTCTGGGCATGGTGGCAGGTGCCTGTAATCCCAGCTACTCAAGAGGCCGAGGCAGGAGAATGGCTCAAACCCAGGAGGGAGGTTGCAGTGAGCCGACATTGCGCCATTGCACTCCAGCCTGGACAACAGAGTGAGACTCCATCTCAATCAATCAATCAATCAGTAAAGGACCTTAAAGAAAGTTAGAAAAAAGGGCTGGGCACGGTGGCTCATGCCTGTAATCCCAACACTTTGGGAGGCCGAAGCGGGCAGATTGCCTGAGGTCAGGAGTTTGAGACCAGCCTGACCAACATGGAGAAACCCCATCTCTACTAAAAAAATACAAAAAATTAGCCAGGCATAGTGGCACATGCCTGTATTCCCCGGTACTCGGGGGGCTGGGGCAAGAGAATCACTTGAACCCAGGAGGCGGAGGTTGCGGTGAGCCAAGATCGCACCATTGCACTCCCACCTGGGCAACAAGAGCGAAACTCCATCAAAAAAAGAAAAAAGAAAGTTAGGAAAAAGGCCAGGCATGGTGGCTCATGCCTGTAATCCCAGCACTTTGGGAGGCTGAGGCAGGCAAATCACTTGAGCCCAGGAGTTGGAGACCAGCCTGGGCAAAATGGTGAAACCCCGTCTCTACTGAAAATACAAAAAAATCAGCTGGGCATGCTGGTGCATGCCTGTAGTTCCGGTTACCAGGGAGGCTGAGGCACAAGAATCACATGAATCCAGGAGGCAGAGGTTGCAGTGAGCCGACATCATGCCACCACATTCCAGCCTGGGTGACAGAGTGAGACTCCATCTCATAAATAAATAAATAAATAAATAAAAATAGAAAGAAGAAATAAAACAAAGGCAAAAAAAAAAAAAGAGAGAGCCTTACGCATGCACCCCTTTCTTTACACCAACATTAAGCCTTCTCCGTATTCTTGGAGGAGAGAAAGTTGATTCCTTTCCCTGTGAAAAAGGAGGGAAGTTCTGAAAAAAGAAAGCATTTACTGGCTCAGCAATCTCTCTATCCACTTCTGGATCGGGGATGACATCTGGTACTACATGTGCTAAACAACTACATCTAGCAGCACAGAATTAAGGCGTAAAGGATCTGCTGAATACACGGGAGAATGCTTTAGGAACCTATACTTTGGAGGCCCCAGAAAAAGGCAACAAGAGGAAGTCCAAGATAGTTCAGGCTTTGGGGCAGAGCAGAGAACTTCCGCAGGGACAGTGGAAGGGACCACCAACACCTAAAGAAACCAGGAGTCTCAGCCTATATTTTGGCAACTTACCCAACCATATATACATATATTACACGTGGTCAAAATGGCAAGAAAGGATCCACTTGGCTGGCAAGGAGACGGGTAAGAGGAGCTACAGGAGCCAGGTGGGCACCCGACTGCCCTACCAGGTCATCCGTCCTCATGGCTTCCCCTTCCACATAAGCCGCAGGTCTCTTTTTTTTTTTTGAGATGGAGTCTCGCTCTGTTGCCCAGGCTATAGTGTAGTGGTGCGATCTCAGCTCACTGCAACCCCCGCCTCCTGCGTTCAAGCAATTCTCCTGCCTCAGCCTCCCAAGTAGCTGGGATTACAGGCATGCACCACCACACCCAGCTAATTTTTTGTATGTTTAGTAGAGATGGGGTTTCACCATGTTGGCCAGGCTGGTCTCAAACTCCTGGCCTCAGATGATCCACCCACCTTGGCCTCCCAAAATGCTGGGATTACAGGCGTAAGCCACCATGCCCGGCCAGCCACAAGTCTCTTGACGTAAACCACCACATCAAGAAGAGGGCACACATCTATTTGAGGCAATGGACAGGAAAGATCAGTTTTGTGGCCCCCAAGATCCTGCCAGAAGTGTCATCCCATGGTGCTGTGTCTCAAATCTGAGTAGGTGGGGCCGAGTGACAGGGGACAGCCAGAGGTGAGTTTCTTGATGTACTCACCCTTTACCCTGGAAGGAAGCCTTGGGAAGACATTGGCAGTGGAGGAAGGGGGGTCAAGGAGGTAGGGAGGTGATCATTTTTTTTCAGTTCCAAATCTGATTCTGCTGAGTACTGTGATCAATATAAATGGCCACCATTTTCGGTGCACTGTTTTCCTTATATAAACACCAGAGAGACTGTTGCTGCAACACATCTCCTTAAGGGCAGGAGCACCAGTGAAGCCTCTAGGGAGCTAGAAAGCACAGGGGAGAGGCCTGATCGCTATCCGCAGGCCAAGAGGGGCTGTTGCTTCTAGCTGAGAGAGAGAAGGCAAAATGCACACACCCACGGATGCCTCCTGGAGGCGCAGCTGTGAGGAGAGACCACCAGGCTCAGGGGTCTGCACTCCTCTGGGGAAGAGAGCACAGCACTTGTGGGGCTGCCCCAGAGGCAGCAACTGCCCATCCTGCGATCAGTGTTCTCCTCCGCGTGTGCTCAAGAAGGCACTGCCTAGCCAACTGCCTGGTTAACCCCGACTAACCGTCTTCAAGCTTAGCCAAAGCACATCTGACACTCTCAGAGCCACTCACCTGCCATGTTGGAAATGTTAACGTTCAGCCTTTTCGAGTTACAGGGCATTTTAAGAAAGAAAAAAAAAAGGGCAATCAACTCTTGTTTTGGTAACGGTAGGGGGGTGGCATTTCTTTAAAACCTAAGTCAAATGGTCAGGGGGCTAGAAGTACTCATTTCTATCCTGCTGTCAGTAGTCAGGGCCGCAGCAGCAGGAGTGTGAAAACTGCCTGGGACGCAGCAGCAGCATGGGCTGCAGAAACTGAGGTGCTCTGTGTTCCCCACACTCCTCCTGAGCTCTTGACCTTCAAAGCACTTTACAGACAGACCCTAGAGTAGACATGCTGTCTCTAGATGAGACAATGACCCTATGACCTAAAACAGGGCTCCTTCTGCTAGGCAGAGGGGTGTGAACAGGCAGCCTATGGGGCAGAAAAGAGCAGCTATTAGGACAAAAAGGCTTCCAGGAGCACTGGCCTTAGCAGGCCTGGAAAAGGTATATTAATAAGTCTGAGGGAGAAGAGGAGGCGCTCATGTGCAGCGATGCTTCCCTGGGTCCTATCCCTGGCGCCATCCCTGGGTACTGATAGGGCCTGAGGTAAGCTGCCACTTACCTGGTGCTCTAACATTCTCCCCAATCAAAAGGACAGCCTACCTTGCCAAGTGGACTGAGAGGCACATTTTAATGTCAGTAAAGTGCTTTGAGGTGCCACATGGGAGACAGGAAAGTGATCTGTGTGTATTCCCAAAGCCTCCAAGATGGAAAGCACTAGGGTTGAGTCAGGGCTATCTGTTCCAGCCCTGCTACAAGCACCCTGCTCTCTGAGCCACCTGATCAGGGACTTCTAGGAGCCTCGAGGCCCCAAGCCCTGCGGATTCTCCATGCGGGTGCTGAGAGAACCACCCAAACTGAGCCTAGGCTTTAGTCCAGGCCACACAAGGAGGCCCAAGAAGACTGCAGGGTCCAGGCCATGAGTCAAGGGATCATGAAAAAATCCAGACTTTTCCAAGTAATTTCTCCCTCAGGGCTCCAATAGCTCTGCTAATCCCACCCTTCCTCACTCACTTTCTGGAGGGCTGTGGCCCTGGCACCAGGGCTCCCATTGCCACCCACCTCCCCACAGACCCTGGACCAAGCTGTTGCTGGAGGCAAGGCTCCTCCCTTACCTCGAGAGATGGTCCCTCCTGGGGTAGGGTTGACACACATGGGTGGAAGGCGGGGTGGGGGAAGTTTGCACTGACGCTGCCTGTGCTGGGCCCGATCTGGGGAAAGAGAGAGGGCATCAGGGCGACATGTTCTCACCCCTCACAGTCACAGACCCCTGAACTGACTCACTCAGAGCATCCGTGAGGAGCTCTGGGCAACAGGGCTGCTGGACAGTGCTGGGAGCAGCCACAGGTTCTGAGGAACAGCACTAACAACGCCACACAGGAAGAAGGCAAGCGTCTCATATGATGTGATATGTGACAGCCTTAGAGAGAGCCCTCAAACTCTTCCTGTTCCCTTAGCTACCCCCTATGAGGTTAACACCCATCCTATATACTTCTCTTAGTCTTAAGTTGTGAGGATGTGACAGGACAACAGGAGAAAGCTGAAAGCCTTGGTACTACATCAACTCAAAAGCACCACGTGTCTGCTTCTTATGGTAGCTACCTACGCCTTTGCTATGCGTTCCCCAGATGGCTACCTCAGCCACCAAATCTCAAATCATTCTTTCCCTCCAAGAGCTGGGTAAGAGAGGGACGACTGGACTATGTGGGTCCAGCTTGAGAGCTAAAACCAGACGCACACTTACCAGCCTTCTCCCTCTTTCTAAAAGAGAACAACCTGCCATTCCAAATACTTCCATTCATTTGGGGGCTAAATGCTACTTATTAGTAACCAGAAAGTACATTTCTAAGAAGTCCCAACAACTTGAGGTACATGAACGAAAATTAAGGCACTGAGTCTTCCACGGGAAGGTGGAAATACATGGGTAAGGAAGGTGGAAATATATGGGTAAGGAAGGCTTAAGGTCCTTTTAAACCACCTAAATGGTGACATTCAGAGAGTCACTAGTCTTGGGGCTGGGAGAAATGCATGCACTCTTTGCTCTCTTTGCCCCTCTGGTTTCAGTACAGTAAATGGGGTAGAAGGGGAGCAGAGATGGCCACACACACCTGAAGCTTGAGAAACCACCTGTTCTACAAAGATGTTCATTTGTGGAATGCAAATTGACTCATATACAATTGGTAAAGAGGAGAAAGATATCAGTAAAACAAGACTCTTGTTTCAAAAAATTCTGAAAGCAAAGGAGCTGAAAAAGCAGGAGTAGAATTATAATCTTCAGCAGGAAAGAAAAAGCCCTTTCAGCTATTTTTTTTTTTATTAAAATTGAGTGCCTATACCTATAGAGAATCAAGGTGGTAGATACAAAGGTGTTCACTATACAATTTCTTCAATGTTTCAGTATTTTTGAAATTTTTCACAACAAAATGTTAGGGGAGAAGCAAGTCCTGCACTCCAACCCTCCTCCCCCACAGTCCCAGCTGCACACACTCCTTCACCACAGTGGCTGTTTCAGAACTCCACCTCCACCTGGGCTTCCTCGGTAACTGCCAGCTCTGCTCACATTAGAAGGCTCTTTGTAGCCCGGCGCGGTGGCTCACGCCTATAATCCCAGCACTTTGGGAGGCTGAGGCCAGCGGATCACAAGGTCAAGAGATCGAGACCATCCTGGCCAACATGGTGAAACCCCGTCTCTACTAAAAATACAAAAATTGGCAGGGCATGGTGGCGTGTGCCTGTAGTCCCAGCTACTCAGGAGGCTGAGGCACGAGAATGACTTGAACCCGGGAGGCGGAGGATGCAGTGAGCCGAGATCGCGCCATTGCACTCCAGCCTGGCCACAGAACAAGACTCCGTCTTAAAAAAAAAAAAAAAAAAAAGAAGACGGCTCTTTGTACATTTGCAGCATCACATCACCCTGAGCTGCCTGTCTAGGTAGTCCAAAGCATCTTCCCAAGCACCAATAATTGTTTTTTGTCATATTTTGGTCAAAAAGTTGCAGTTGCATTGGCCCAATTCTATTTTTCCCATAAGCTCTCTTATAATATTATAGATGTGTGATTTTTTTCTTTTTATTTTATAGGTATGTGATTTTACAGAAAACATACATAGAGTTACAGCAGACGTGCTTGTAGGATCTTCTAGAACTAAATGCCTAGGATCAAGGTTTATTTTGAAACTAATTCCAGTTCTGCCTTGAAGCTAAGGTTGGAAATGACCAGCTCAACCTCTCCATTCCTGTTTAAGGAGGGTCCTCATTCACATCCAGGGATGCTGGATTGAAAAAAAAAAAAAAAGAATAAATGATTCAATGATTAGTTATTATCTCATTAAGCATTTTCAGCAATTGGGAGAGAGTTGTTACAATCCCATAACTTCACTGAGCCCACTTCTGACCATGTACCTGGAGAGAAAATGCACATTCTTGCTATTGATCCAGTGTTTTTCAAAGTTTTGTGCTGGCTGTGAAAGACTCAGCTTGCTCTTTTTTTTTTTTTTTTTTTTTTTTTTTTGCTCTTTTTTATTGTTCAGCTTGCTCTTTGTAGCCTGAGTCCGATGGCATTACAGGTAAGAAATCAGACAGCTAAGTTAAGATGCTCGCAAGGGCAGTAACAAGTAACTTACCAGGAACATGGGCATTCTTACCAACAGCTTTGTTAAATTACATAATGAGAAAGATGGTAGCTAGCCACAAGACCCAGTGGGCCACCATCCACAATGCTGCATGGAATTGCTATAGCTGTTTCCATCAGAACCATCAAATGGCCCATCCTATTGAGGCTATAAGCTCCAGAGTACCAAGAAGCATCTCTGAAACAGAGCTCTCTTCACCCTAGTGTCTCCTACACAGCAGGTGCTCAATCATGCAACCTCACAGCACACTGCATGCTGAGGCAAGGCTATAGCTCTCCAGTATTTATCAAGGGCATACCATGCCCAAGAGTAAGGGTTGAGCACCGACCATAGCCAGGTGCTTTTCCTATATTTCAGCTCTAATATCTTCACTGTAGTCCTGAAGATAGCAGGTAGGAAACAAGATCAGGTAAGTTAACACCTTGCTAGTATTAGGGAAAGCCAGATTCAAGCCCCAGTCAATGAAACTCGGGAACCTCAAGCTTCACATCAACTTACATTTCCTCTCAAGGTTCATGACACCCTAGGAACTCATAATTTGATGATGAAGAGCAAAGAAACATGTAAAAGGAAAACTCAAGCCAAGCACAGTGGCTCACACCTGTAGTCCCAACACTTTGGGAGGCCAAGGCAGGAGGATTACATGAAGCCAGGAGTTTGAGAACAGCCTGGGAAACATAGGAAGACCCTGTTTCCACCAAAAAAAAAAAAATTATTTTTTTAATTATTTTATTTCTTAAAAAAATACAGAACAAAACAAAACAAAACTAACTAACAAAAAACGGCCGGGCGTGGTGGTTCACACCTGTAATCCCAACACTTTAGGAGGCCAAGGCGGGTGGATCATGAGGTCAGGAGACTGAGGCCATCCTGGCTAACATGGTGAAACCCCATCTCCACTAAAAATACAAAAAATTAGCCAGGCGTGGTGGCTGGCGCCTGTAGTCCCAGCTACTCGGGAGGCTGAGGCAGAAAAATGGCATGAATCTGGGAGGTGGAGCTTGCTAAAAATACAGAGAGACAGGGTCTCCCAATGCTGTCCAGGCTGCTCTCAAACTCCTGGCTCAAACAATCTTTTTGTCTTAGCCTCCCAAAGTGCTGGGATTACAAGCATGAGACACGGCGCTCAGACAGGAAAAAAAAATTTTTTTTTCTTTTTTTTTTTTTTTTTTTGTTTTGAGACAGAGTCTCGCTCTGTCACCCAGGCTAGAGTGCAGTGGTGTGATCTCAGCTCACTGCCACCTCTGCCTCCTGGGTTCAAGCGATTTGCTGCCTCAGCCTCCCAAGTAGCTGGGATTACCATGCCCGGCTGATTTTTATTTTTATTTTTATTTTTTTTTAGTAGAGACGGGGTTTCACCATGTTGGCCAGGCTGGTCTCGAACTCCTGATGTCAAGTAGTCCACCCACCTTAGCCTCCCAAAGTGCTGGGATTACAGGCCTGAGCCACCGCGCTCAGCTGAGGATCGTGATTTTTATTGGGCTTTCCATCTCTTTACAAAATCAGTACTATTAATTCAGAGACACTCACCATGAGAAAACCTGCTTTCATCGACCTTTTACAAGTGGGTAGACAATAAAGCCCACTGGTTAGTAAGTAAACACAAAGTGCTAATTTTAGCTAAAAAAAAAAAATGTGCTGCCCACACTAATCTCAAGTTCAGTTTTTTCCTTCTTACATACAGCTGGCCAAAAAAAAAAAAAAAAAAAAAGCCCAGGATGACAGAAATAAATTTTTTCAAACAATATGAAAACAGATGGAGTGGCTGGAGATACACAAGGAGGCAGGGACATGCTGCTCTCTGAGCCCTAGTACGTCCAGCCCTCCTTCTGGCCCCATTCAATGGGTTACACAGGGCACCACTTGGCCAGGGGTTTCCCAGGCCTCGAGGAACACAACTTAGAGAGAGAGAAGACACAATCAGGAAGACCTATTTAATCAGCAGTTATAGACGTTCTGTTATGGTTCTTATTTATTTGTAAAATATCCTCAGACAGAAGCCTCAGAATCAGCTTCAACACGGGCTACAGGCCCTTTACTCTTCAGTCTCTTGAAGAAAAAAAGTCATGTTCTAAGAAATACAAAGCTCTCAGGATCTGGCCCCTAAAGTCCCCACAGGCTACTTTACCTCCTATAAACACATTGTGAACTCTACCCTATAGCCCTGTCAAGGCTCAATTCTGCCATTGCCTATGCAACCCCCTCACTCAGTGTGCTGTAGAGCACTAATTTCAAGACTTGCCAGAATTTCTTTTTGTTTTTTGAGATGGAGTCTCGCTGTTTCGCCCAGGCCAGACAGTGGCGCGATCTCGGCTCACTGCAAGCTCCGCCCCCTGGGTTCACACCATTCTCCTGCCTCAGCCTCCCGAGTAGCTGGGACTATAGGCACCCACCACCGCACCCGGCTAATTTTTTATTTTGTATTTTTAGTAGAGACGGGGTTTCACCATATTGGCCAGGATGGTCTCAATCTCCTGACCTCGTGATCCGCCTGCCTCGGCCTCCCAAAGTGCTGGGATTACAGGCGTGAGCCACCGCGCCCGGCAAGACTTGCCAGAGTTTCTATGATCACTAACGAAAGAATGACTTTGATATAGTGTGGATATTTGTCCCTACCCAAATCTCATGTTGAAATGTAATCTCCTGCTGGTGGCTCACGCCTGTAATCCCAACACTTTGGGAGGCCGAGATGGGCGAAATCACTTGAGCTCAGGAGTTACAGACCAGCCTGGCCAATATGGCGAAATCCCATCTCTACTAAAAATACAAGAATTACCCGGGTGTGGTGGCACACGCCTGTAGTCCCAGCTACTCGGGAGGCTGAGGCAGGAGAATTGCTTGAACCCGGGAGGCAGAGGTTGCAGTGAGCCAAGCTCGTGCCACTGCACTCCAGCCTGGGCAACAACAGAGTGAGACTCCGTCTCAAAAAAAAAAAAAAAGGAAATGTAATCTCTGCTGTTGAAGGGTCACAGAATGGATCCCTCATGGCTTGCTACTATCCTTGTGATAGTGAGTAAATTCTCATGAAATCTTTTTTTTTTTTTTGAGATGGATTCTTGCCCTGTCGCCCAGGCTGGAGTGCAGTGGCACAATCTTGACTCACTACAACCTGCACCTCCTGGGTTCAAGCAATTCTCGTGCCTTAGCCTCCCAAGTAGCTGGGAATACAGGTGCACACCACCACGCCTAGCTAATTTTCTGTATTTTTAGTAGAGACGGGTCTCATCATGTTGGCCAGGCTGGTCTCAAATGCCTGACCTCAAGTGATCCGCCCACTTTGGCCTCCCAAAGTGCTGGGATTACAGGTGTGAGCCACTGCGCCCAGCCTCTCATGAGATCCTGTTGTTTATTTTATTTATTTATTTATTTATTTTTGAGATGGCATCTCACTCTTGTTGCCCAGGCTGGAGTGCAATGGCACGATCTCAGCTCACTGCAACCCGTCTCCCAGGTTCAAGCGATTCTCCTGCCTCAGCCTCCCAAGTAGCTGGGATTACAGGTGCCCACCACCACACATGGCCTTTTTTTTTTTTTTTTTTGAGACTGAGTCTTGCTCTGTTGCCCAGGCTGGAGTGCAGTGGTGTAATCTCGGCTCACTGCAACCTCTGCCTCCCGGGTTAAAGCTATTCTCCTGCCTCAGCCTCCCAAGTAGCTGGGACTATAGGCGCAGACTGCCACGCCTGGATAATTTTTTGTATTTTAGTAGAGATGGGGTTTCACTGTGTTGTCCAGGCTGGTCTGGAACTCCTGAGCTCAGGCAATCCGTCCACCTTGGCCTCCCAAAGTGCTGGGATTACAGGCGTGAGCCATCATGCCCAGCCAATCTTGTTTAAATTGTGTGGCACCTCCCCAACTCTCTCTCTCTGGATCCTGATTTTTGCCACGTGACACGCCTGCTCCCGCTTCACCTTCTGCCCCTGAGTGAAAGCTCCCTGAGTCCTCCCCAGAAGCCAAACAGATGCCAGCACCATGTTTCCTATACACCCTGCAGAAATGTGAGCCAATTAAACCTCTTTTCTTATAAATTACCCAGTCTCAGGTATTTTTTTATACCAATGCAAGAACAGCCTAATACAGACTCAATCCAACTTCCACCAGTGTTTACTGAGGCCTACTATGTGCGAAATGCTGGCCAGGTGCTATGCATCGTAAAAGCACACAACAGGCCCTGGCTACAGGGAGCTTCCAATCTAGTGACAAAATGATTAATTCAGAATAGACTAACCATGAGAACGAACAGGTATGGTACCGAGGAAGATTGGAGAAAGATTGCATTTGGTCAACAGAATTAGGAAAGGTTCATGAAGGAGATGGTATAAAATACTAGCCTAGAAAAATAGGATTTTAGAGGCCAGCCACGGTGGCTCACACCTGTAATCCCAGCACTTTGGGAGGCCGAGGTGGGTGGATCACTTGAGGTCAACAGTTTGAGACCAGCCTGGCCAACATGGTGAAACCCCGTCTCAACTAAAAAAAAAAAAAAGAATTAGCCGAGCTTGGCAGCTGGTTCCTGTAATCCCAGCTACTACGGAGGCTGAGGCAGGAGAATTGCTTCAACCCAGGAGGAGGAGATTGCACTGAGCCGAGATCGTGCCACTGCACTCCAGCCTGGGCGACAGAAGTGAGGCTCCATCTCAGAAAAAAAAAAAAGGATTTTAATAAGCAGGGAGTACGCAGAAGGGGGCACTGGGAGGAAGCATGGCAAAGGCCATGGCAAGGGTTGGCACAGATTCTAAGCACCATGCAAAAGGAAGGCTATAGGAAAGGCCTTTGGAAAACCACCCAAAGAAATGTGCAAGAACTACATACTGGGGAGAGACTTTCACAGCCCTCAGAGCTGCCCATCCCAATAAGGAAGGGCATGAGGTCACAAGCACAGTTGCAGTCTTACCTTTTCTGAATGAGTCCAGGCTGAACATTTCTGGCCAGGAGGGAAAGCTGGAATCCTGAGAACAAGGAGGGCCAAGAGGCAATGGTTAATATTCCTGGTCCAGCAACCCACAAAGAAGACTTCAGTAACATGGAGAGCACTGTTCAGAAAATGAAAAAAATGAAACTCTTCACTAATGAGCCCCAACTGCTGCTCCCCAGTCTTGAGGACTGGAAGGCCAGCTCCACTCTAGAGTAATTGTCTTTGCTTCTTTCTAATTGAGCACTTTCTTCCCTGTCCTAAAACTCCCCATATCCTGTTAAACAGAGGGAGATGCATTTCATCATGAGAGACATGTAGTTCTATCTAGTTCATCATAATACTTACAGGTTTCCTTCCCAGTTCATCATAATACTTGCAGGTTTCCTTCCTAGTTATCATAATACTTGCAGGTTTCCTTGGGACTTCCAGGAAGAAACGAAATTCTACATGGACCCCTTCTGTCATGTGGCATCAGGAAACAGGACTGATGACTGCCTTATGGGCAAACTGCCTTACTGGGCTTTCATAAAACCTAGTCAAGACCCTAAAAATGAGATTTGACTGACAGGATCAAAGAATAACTGTACAGTGATTCAGAATAAAAAGCTTTTCATAGCAGTCTCTATGAAATAACAAATATTAAGTTAAAGCACAACTATTAGCCAAAAGTTTTGGTGCATTTTGCTTATTAGTATATTTAACTGAGGACTATACTTAGAGATGACAAGAAAAAAAAGCAACACATCTGGTTTAACAATTTTGTTTTAAAAAATACTCAAACTCAGATTTATAGATGTTTTTATAATCCAGTACTCCTTGATTAGTGCAGTAACCTTAAATGGACTTTGTTTAAAAACATCTACACAGTGTTTAGCCAATCAGAATCATGTCCAACATTGATTGGAGTCTACTGGGGCCAACACTCCGGCTCCTGACTCCTGTTCCCTCTCATTCTCAAATTGTGGGGAGGTGGGGAGTGGAGGGCTGACCTGGGGCGGAATCTTTCAGGTCCATAGCAGGTCTGCCCTGATGGCCTCCACTCCCCAAGGGATGCTGGAAATTTCAGCCCATAGGATATGGTATATCACAGAGAAAACTTCAATACAATATCAACAATGATAACATTTACTTTAAGAAGTTACATTCCGGCCAGGCGCGGTGGCTCACGCCTGTAATCCCAGCACTTTGGGAGGCCGAGGTGGGCGGATCACGAGGTCAGGAGATCGAGACCATCCTTGCTAACACGGTGAAACCCCGTCTCTACTAAAAAAATACAAAAAAATGAGCCAGGCATGGTTGTGCGGGCCTGTAGTCCCAGCTACTCAGGAGGCTGAGGCAGGAGAATGGCGTGAACCCAGGAGGCAGAGCTTGCAGTGAGCCAAGATTGTGCCACTGCACTCCAGCCTGGGCGACAGAGTGAGACTCCGTCTCAAAAAAAAAAAAAAAAAAAAAAAAAGAAGTTACATTCCATAGACACCTTCTATCCAAATGAAAATAAAAAGTGTGTAATTTGACATTCTAATTTAAAAGAAAACCAGAATATTATAAAATCTAAAACATTTTAAGTGAATATTACTTAAAAAACAATACTCCCTGACCAACATGACCCCGTCTCTACTAAAAAAATACAAAAAATTAGCCAGGCACGGTGGCAGGCGCCTGTAATCTCAGCTACTCGGGAGGCTGGGGCAGGAGAATCGCTTGAATCCGGGAAGCAGAGGTTGCAGTGAGCCGAGATCGCACCATTGCACTCCAGCCTGGGCAACAAGAGTGAGACTCTGTCTCAAAAAAAACAAAAACAAAAAACAAAACTCGGCTGGTTGCAGTGGCTCATGCCTGTAATCCCAGCACTTTGGGAGGCTGAGGTGGGCGGATCACCCTGAGGTCAGAAGTTCGAGACCAGCCTGGCCAACATGAGGAAACCTCGCCCCCAGTAAAAATACAAAAATTAGCCAGCTGTGGTGGCGCATGCCTGTAATCCCAGCTACTCAGGGGACTGAGGCAGGAGAATCGCTTGAACCCGAGAAGCGGAGGTTGCAGTGAGCCAAGATCACACCTCTGCACTCCAGCCTGGGCAACAGAGCGAGACTCCATCTCAAAAAAATAAAAATAAAAAATAAATTTAAGAAAAAAAAAAAAGAAACAATACTCTATTGCTACGAAATGGTAAACTGGCTAGGCACAGTGGTTCACACCTGTAATCCCAGCGCTTTGGGAGGCTGAGATGAGAGGAGCACTTGAGACCAGGAGTTCAAGACCAGCCTGGGCAACATAGTGAGACCGCATCTCTAAAAAAAATTTTCAGAATTAGCCAGGTGTGGTGGTACATGCTTGCAGTCTTAGCTACTCAGGAGGCTGAGGCAGGAGGATCACTTCGCCCAGGATTTTGAGGTTTACAGTGAGCTGTGATCACGCCACTGCACTCCAGTCTGGGTGACAAAGCAAGACCCTGTCTCTCTTAAAAAAAAAAAACAAAAAGTAAGGCGGGTGCAGTGGCTCATGCCTGTAATCCCAGCATTTTGGGAGGCCGAGGCAAGCAGATCACCTGAGGTCGGGAGTTTGAGACCAGCCTGACCAACATGCAGAAACCCCGTCTCTACTAAAAATACAAAATTAGCCGGACGTGGTGGTGCATGCCTGTAATCCCAACTACGTGGGAGGCTGAGGCAGGAGAATCACTTGAACCCAGGAGGTGGACGTTCCAGTGAGATGAGATTGCGCCACTGCACTGCAGGCTGGGCAACAAGAGCGAAACTCTGTCTCAAAAAAATTTAAAAAAAAAAAGCAAAATTTAATGGCTAGGTGGGGTGGCTCATGCCTGTAGTCCCAGCACTTTGGGACGCCCAGGTGAAGGATCGCTTGAGGCCAGGAGTTCAAGACCAGCCTAGGCAACACAGTGAGACCCTGCCTCTAAAAAAAAAATTTGTAAGTTAATTTGCTTGCAAATAGACTCTTGATTTTGCTTTTTTTTTTTTTTTTTTTTTTTTGAGACAGAGTCTCGCTCTGTCACCAGGTTGGAGGGCAATGGCGTAATATCAGCTTACTGCAACCTCCACCTCCCGGGTTCAAGCTATTCTCCTGTCTCAGCCTTCCAAGTAGCTGGGACTACAGGCACACGCCACCATGCACGGCTAAATTTTTTTGGATTTTTAGTAGAGATGGGCTTTCATCATGTTGGCCAGGATGGTCTCGATCTCTTGGCCTCATGATCTGCCTGCCTCGGCCTCCCAAAGTGCTGGGATTACAGGCATGAGCCACCGTGCCCGGCCAGTTTTGCTTTTTAAAAGTCCCTAAACCTCTAGCCCAATATGTCAATTTAGGCTCATGTACCATTCTTTTTCCTGTACTAATCTAAAAAAACGATACTATGAGAATCAAGACAGGATCTTTTAGAGACAGAATTTACAGAGCTCTAGAACATTTCATAGAGATCCAAAAGAAAGCGGTCTTCCTTGTAATGCAGTCAGTAATGGTGTTTTGTTTTGAGACAGAGTGTTGCTCTTGTTGCCCAGGCTGGAGTGCAATGGCATGATCTCTGCTCACTACAACCTCCACCTCCCGGATTCAAATGATTCTCCTGTCTCAGTCTCCCTAGTAGCTGGGATTACAGGCACCCGCCACCACGCCTGGCTAATTTTTGTATTTTTGGTAGAGACAGTGTTTCACCATGTTGGCCAGGCTGGACTCGAACTCCTGACCTTGTGATCCGCCCGCCTCAGCCTCCCAAAGTGCTGGGATTACAGGCATCAGCCACCACGACCGGCCATAATGCAGTAATGTTTAAAAATCTTTGTAGTGGGCCAGGCTTGGTGGCTCACGCCTGTAATCCCATCACTTTGGGAGGCTGAGGCAGGCAGATTGCCTGAGGTCAGGAGTTCGAGCCCATTCTGGCCAAGATGGTGAAATCCTGTCTCTACTAAAAATACAAAAAAAATTGGCCAGGCACGCCTGAGCGCAGTGGCTCACTCCTGTAATCCCAGCACTTTGGGAGGCCGAAGCAGGTGGATCACAAAGTCAGGAGTTCGAGACCAGCACGGCCAACATGGTAAAACCCCATCTTCACTAAAAATACAAAAAATTAGCCAGGCGTGGTGGTGCACGCCTGTAGTCCCAGCTACTCAGGAGGCTGAGACAGAAGAATCGCTTGAACCCGGGAGGCGGAGGTTGCAGTGAGCCAAGATTGCACCACTGTACTCCAGCCTGGGTGACAGAGTGAGACTCCATCTCAGAAAAAAAAAAGAAAAAAATTGGCCAGGCACGGTGGCTCACACCTGTAATCCCAGCACTTTCGGAGGCAGAGGCAGGCAGATCACAAGGTCAGGAGTTTGAGGTTAGCCTGACCAAAATGGTGAAACCCCATCTCTACTAAAAATACAAAAATAAGCCAGGCGTGGTGGTGCGCACCTGTAATCCCAGCTACTCAGGAGGCTGAGGCAGGAGAATCGCTTGAACCCAGGAGGCAGAGGTTGCAGTGAGCCAAGATCCCACCACTGCACTCCAACCTGGGCAACAGAGTGAGACTCCCATCTAAAAAAAAAAAAAAAAATACAAAAAAATTAGCCGGGCTTGGTGGCATGAGGCTGAGGCAGGGGAATTGCTTGAACTAAGGAGGTGGAGGTTGCAGTGAGCCAAGATTGCACCACTGCACTCCAGCCTGGGCGACAGGGCAAGACTGTCTCAAAAACAAAAAACCTTGTAGCTCAATGTGTCTCTTAAGTAATTTACAGATAAGTAAAATGCTATTATATCAAGATTTCCTGCATAATGAAATACAATTTAACTCCAGGTAGAGTCACTTGGGGATGGTTCCAGGACAGAGACTCCACAATGACTAAAAATGATACCCTTCTGGCTGGGCACAGTGGCTCATGCCTGTAATCCCAGCACTTTGGGAGGCTGAGGCAGGCTGATCACCTGACGTCAGGGGTTTGAGACCAGCCTGGCCAACATGGTGAAACCCAGTCTCTACTAAAAATACAAAACAATCAGCTGGGCATGGTGGCAGGCGCCTGTAATCTCAGCTACTTGGGAGGCTGAGACAGGAGAATTGCTTGAACCTGGGAGGCAGAGGTTGCAGCAAGCCAAGATCGCGCCACTGCACTCCAGCCTGGGGGACAAAGCGAGACTCTGTCTCAAAAATAAAACAAAATAAAATAAATGATATCCTTCTTCCAAAATGGTCAGAAATAGGTTTAACACATACCTCTTGTTTTACAGTACAGCTGAGCATCAGATCCACCACTGCTCTGTGCACGGCTAAATCAACTTACCTTATAAAAGCAATGACAGTCTCAGATTTTGTAGGCTTTTGAACTGGAGCTGAATTCTCTCCTTGCTATTCCTCATCACGAGGCTGGGCCTCCTCCTGAGAAGTACAACGCTGAGTCAATACAGTGGAGGCCCCATAGGGAAAGAAAGTTGCTCCAACCATCATTTACTAGCTCTAACAAGGACAAATTTTGTTAGTGGCATGAAGGGCACATACTGGACAAAATGGCCTTACAAATCAGGACTTACCATGACCCATTCTAGGCCCATTAAATTGTAAGCTGTCCTACACCAGCACCTGTAGAAGTGCTGAAGTCTTCTGACATCATCTAAGAAGATGTCAAGGTAAAGAAAGCCTTGTAAGCCTGAAAAGCATTTTCTGGAAGCCCAGAGCAAAACCTACTTCCACTTTGAGTTCTAATCCCATAATAATTATGATAATCTAACATAAAGAAGCTATAATACTCTTCAAGATTGGGAAAATAACAATAACTCAAAGTTGAATACCATTTTTACAGTTCACAACATACTTCCATAGACTTTACCCCATTTAATCCAGGCAACTATCCAGTGAGGTAGGAATTATCTTTCCAGAGAAGAAAACTGAAGCACAGGTTACACAACCTGCCCAAGATCCCATAGCTGCCTCAGGGCAGATGGAAATCAGCATTGAAGCATGCTGACTCCAAAACCCTCCATGCTTATACTAGGCTAATTTTCTTATTTCCAGGATATTATGCTGTTGCCTAAATGTACTACGGTTCATTCCTTGAGACATATTATACTGTTATCTTCAAAGGCTGAAAGGGGCAAGAAAGGTCCAACAGCTAATAAAACTTGTGTGTGGTTTTTGTTTTGTTTTGTTTTGAGAAGGAGTTTCGCTCTTGTTGCCCAGGCTGGGGTGAAATGGCGCGATCTTGGCTCACTGCAACCTCGGCCTCCTGGGTTCAAGCAATTCTCTTGCCTCAGCCTCCCAAGTAGCTAGGGTTACAGGCGCACGCCACCATGCCCGGCTAATTTTTGTATTTTTAGTAGAAACGAGGTCTAGCCATGTTGGCCAGGCTGGTCTCAAACTTCTGACCTCAGGTGATCCACCCGCCTCGGCCTCCCAAAGTGCTGGGATTACAGGCGTGAGACACCGCTCCCGGCCCTAATAAAACTTTGTATCACAGCTACATAAATTAAAACACTTGAAGAGCAACTATCTTTTAGGGATAAAGAGCCAACACCGGTAGAAAACGCAGCAAAGGATGTAGTTTCTGCACATCGCCTTAAATCTCTAAGATTTAAGTGTAAATTACAAGATGTAGTTAAAACCCACAATGACAGTGGGGTTACCACCTTGCAAGAAACTTCAAGGGAAATCACCAGACAACGTCTCATTTCACTCTGGCCCATAAGCTGCAACTAAAACCAGGTTGAAAGCCTGTAAGTGGCCTTCTGCAGTCTACCTGCTAGTGTATGGCAAACCCTCATGGAGTGGGGTTGTAAAGTGAAACAGCCTCTGCCTTGAAAAATCATAATTCAAGTGACCAATGTTGCTACACAACGACTAGATATGCCATATCCCTGGCTTAGGGTTTCTGAGGACCCCTGGGACTCCAGTTCACTGCAAACAAAGGACCCAACATGCATTTGGTCTTCCCCTGCTAAATGGGACAAGTTACCACCAGCAAACAAAGAATACCTCACCCCTTGGCCTCCCCCAGTGACAAGGTCGGTGCAAAAGGGGGCAAACTAGGGGGGCCAGAAGGCACCGGGCCTCCCTCTGGACGAACGGTCCGGGCAGCACCGGGAAGGAGGAGAAGTAGACAAAGGTCTCGGGGCACTCAGGAGGCTTCCTCCAGGCCCTGCCTGGGGAAACGGCGCATCCCGAGGCGAAGGCGTCGTTGCGCCAATGAAGCGGCCTCTCCCACGGCCTCCGCGGAGCCCCTGGCTGCGAGGCCCGCCCCGGCGGACCGGTCTGGCCCCCGCCCCCGCCCGGGCTCCATGGCAACGGCAGGCCGAGGCCTGGCTGCCCACGGATCGGCCGGGCCGGCTTCCCGGGCAGGCCTAGGATGCCCGGCCTGCTCCTCGGGCCCGCCGGCGTCTCCGCCCCACTCTCCGCCAGGCTGGCGGTCGGACCGGGCCCCCTCCTCACGACGACCACCCCCGGCCGCGGCAGGCTCCTCAAGAGGGCACGAAAGGGGAGAATAAAAAGCCCAATTCACCTGTTGTTACAGATGTGAAACAAGCCTCTGTGCACCGCGCATGAGCCGCGGCTCCCCCAACCACGGCCGGACTACAACTCCCAGCAGCGGCGGCGCGGCCCCTTCCGAGTCCCGTGGCGGAAGTCCCGCCACCGGCCCGGCGTTCCCCACCCGGCGTCACGGAGCCCGCCTGCGGCGCACGGCTCCGCTCCCCCGCGGGCCTGGAGCCCGGCCCCACCTGGGACTCGTCGTAGCCGCTCGGGGCACCCAGCGCCCGGGATGCCCCAGCACCCGGCCCAATGGGGCGCGGCGGCGGTGCAGGCGGGACTTCCGGCGGAGTCGCGAAGGGGACGGGTTGGCGCCGGCTGCTCTGGGGTCGCAGAGCGAGCGGGTTTGGGTGGCGGGGTCGGGCGTCAAGTTGCTGCCTTTCTCGGCGACTTAGCTGCCTGCAGTGTGAAAGCGGGAAGGGTCTTCTCGCCCTCTGCGAGCCACCCGCGCCTCCTGATGCGAATAAACAGCCCGGGTCATGGCTGAGCGGGGAACGGTTTCCAGCTCGGGCTCCGGGATTCCACCCGCCTTCCCCGCCACAGCTCGTAGCCACGCCTCTTCTCTTCCCCATCTCCCCTCTAATCTGTTTTTTTAGGGAGGTGAGCATTTTTGTCTTGTCTCCCCAGTTTGCAGGGAAGATGAAATCAACGTGTTGGTTCGTTGATTTCGTAAACTGTACAACGTTAGGCAAAGGACAAGGTGGCACTTGCTGGTCGCGGGGAGAGTGCCAGTCATAGTTGCTGGAAATCTGGAGGTCCGCCCGGCCACATCACCTCTTAGGAATGAGAAAGGGGATTGTCCCAATTACACGCTGTAGTCCTCTAGATAAGGTTCAAGTATAGGTTCAGTGGAATTCAGCTTCAAAAGGAAACAACGCAGTGGCGTAGCTCTGAAGCTGGGTCAGGATTTTACAGAGTATGGTTTTAAGATGTGGCCTTTAGGCCGGGCGTGGTGGCTCACGCCTGTAATCCCAGCACTTTGGGAGGCCAAGGCGGGTGGATCACCTGCGGTCAGGAGTTCAAAACCAGCCTGGCCAACATGGTGAAACCCCGTCTCAACTAAAAATGCAAAAAAATTAGCTGGGCGTGGTGGCGGGCGCATATAATCCTAGCTACTTCGGGAGGCTGAGGCAGGAGAATCACTTGAACCCGGGAGGCGGATGTTGCAGTAAGCCGAGATCGTGTCATTGAACTCCAGCCTGGGCGACAAGAATGAAACTTAAAAAAAAAAAAAAAAAAAGATGTGACCTTTGAGGCTGTATGAAGAATTAGTGCCATATCCCGTCACTTTTGTGTGCAAACAGTTCAACATGTATCTCTTTTCTTTCTCTCTACATTGGCTAGAAGACCGGGGTGTGGGGGTGGAACATCATTTATTCATTCAAATAATTAGTGCATCTGAACAGGGCATGGTGCTGTGTTGTGTGGAGAATAGAGAGATCCCTGCACGGACATCTGAGTGCTCTGTGTATCAGTTGCTAAGCTGGTGTGGAGGCTACAAAGGCCCTGCCTCAAGGGACTTAGAGCCTAGTAGAGAAGATGACAACATTGTGTGAAGGAAATGGAAAGTGGTAAATGCTGGAAAGGAGGTATTAGGTACTCCAAGAGTTCAGAGAAAGGAGTGGTTACTCCTGAATGGCAAAATGAAAGGAACGTGAACAAAGACATACGAGTGGAACAAGGGACAAATCCTAGGAATATTCAGTAGTTCAGTGTGACCACAGGGTTGGATGTGTGTGCAAGCTTTACAGGAAATAGAACTGAAAAACTGTTGGGGAGTGCCATACTAAGGAATTTTTACTTTTTTTGGTAAGACATTTAAAAAATTATTAGGAGAGTAAAATACTGCACTTTTTTGTTGTTGTTGAGACAGAGTCTCTACTCAGTCACCCAGGCTGGAGTGCAGTGGGGTGGTTGCGGCTCACTGCAACCTCTACCTCCCACGTTCAAGCGATTCTCCTGCCTCAGCCTCCCAAGTAGCTGGAATTACAGGTGTGCACTACCATGCCCAGCTCATTTTTGTATTTTTACTAGGGATGGTTTCACCATGTTGGCCAGGCTGGCCTCGAACTCTTGGCCTCAAGTGGTCCACACACTTTGGCCTCCCAAAGTGTTGGGATTACAGGCGTGAGCCACCACGCTGGGCCAATACTGTAATTTAGAAAGCTTCCTCTGGAAGTGAAAGGGTTGAATCAGCTGGGAAAATAGAAACTAGCATGCTAATTAGATCCCGAGAGAGAATGAAAGATTTAACTCAACAGTGAGAAAAGCAAGAAAGAAAAAAAAGGGGGGGTGACTGTTGAGCAGCAGACTGAGCCCAGGCCACAAGTGTGTGGAGAGATGACTTTGAGATCTGTACCATAGTGACTGAAAGGATTATGTACTATTAACATAATTAAGGGACACAAGAGTTGGAAAAGATGATGGATTCAGCTTCACTCAGATTATGTTTGCAATGTTGTTGGGAAAGTTAAGTGATAAAGTCGTGGTCCCTGCTCCAAAGAAAGTTATAGTCTGGTAGAGAGGATGAGAATAGCATGCAAATGTCTTTTTTTTGTTGTTTTTTTTTTGAGACAGGGTCTCACTCTGTCACCCAGGCTGGAGTGCAGTGGCACCATCATGGCTTATTGCAGCCTTAACCTCCCAGGCTCAATTAATCCTCCCTCCTCAGTTTCCTGAGTAGCTGGGACTACAGGCACATGCCACCACGCCCAGATAATTTTTTATTTTTTGTAGAGAAAGGGTCTCACTATGATACCCTAGGTTGACCTCAAACTCCTGGCCTCAAGCGATCCTCCCACTTCAGCCTCCCAAACTCCTGAGATTACAGGTGTGACCCACTATGCCCAGCCACAAATAAATCAAGACCTAAGGCCAGGTGTGGTGGCTCATGCCTGTAATCCCAGCACTTTGGAGGCCCAGGCAGGCGGGTCACCTGAGGTCAGGAGTTCAAGACCAGCCTGACCAACATGGAGAAACCCCATCTCTACTAAAAATACACAATTAATCGGGCATGGTGGCACATGCCTGTAATCCCAGTTACTCGGGAGGCTGAGGCAGGAGAATCACTTGAACCCAAGAGGCGGAGGTTGCAGTGAGCCAAGATCATGCCATTGCACTCAGCCTGGGCAACAAGTGCGAAACTCCATCTCAAAACAAACAAACAAACAAACAAAAAAACAAAAATTCAAGACCAAGTGGATGCACTCCAAAAGAGGCTCCTGTAGGCCAGTAGGGGGCAAAATACTTGAATAGACATCTCCCACAGGCACAGTGGCTCAAGCCTGAAATCCCAGCCCTTCAGGAGGCTGAGATGGGCAGGTCAGTTGAGCCCAGGAATTTGAGATCAGCCTGGGCAACAAGGCGAGACTCCTCTCTACAAAAATACTAAAAGTAGCTGGGTTTGGTGACATGCGCCTGTAGTCCCAGCTGCTCAGGAGGATAACATGGGAGGATCGGCCAGACGTGGTGGCTCATGCCTGTAATCCCAGCACTTTGGGAAGCCAAGGCAGGCGAATCACAAGATCAGGAGTTCGAGACCAGCCTGACCAACATGGTGAAACCCTGTCTCTACTAAAATACAAAAATTAGCCGGGCGTGGTGGCACATGCCTGTAATCCCAGCTGTTCAGGAGGCTGAGGCAGGAGAATCGCTTGAACCTGCGAGGTAGAGTTTGCAGTGAGCCGAGATCACGCCATTGCACTCTAACCTGGGCAACGGAGCGAGACTCCGTCTCAAAAAAAGAAAAAAAAAAAAGTTGGGAGGATCAATTGAATTGGGAAGATGAAGGTTGCAGTGAGCTGAGATCACACCACCGCACTCCAGAATGGGCGACAGAGTGAGACCCTGTCTCATAAAAAAAAAAAAAAGAAAAGGCCAGGCGCAGTAGCTCACACCTGTAATCTCAGCACTTTGGGAGGCCGAGGTGGGTGGATCACCTGAGGTCAGGAGTTTGAGACCAGCCTGGCCAACATGGGGAAACCCGAACTCTACTAAAAATACGAAAATAAGCCGGGCGTGGTGGCTCACGCTCGTGATCCCAGCTACTCGAGAAGCTGAGGCAGGAGAATCACTGGAACCTGGGAGGCAGAGGTTGCAGTAAGCTGATATCGCAACACTGCACTCCAGCCTGGGTGACAGAGTGAGACTACGTCTCAAAAAAAAAAAAAAAGGAAAGGAAGAAAATTTTTGCCCAGAGCAGTAGTTCATGCCTGTAATCCCAGCCTTTGGGAGGCTGAGTCCTGCAGATTGCTTGAGCCCAGGAGTTCGAGACCAGTCTGAGCAACAATGGTAAGACCCCATCTATACAAAAAATTGAAAAAATTTATCCAGGCATTGTGGTACATACCTGTAGTCTCAGCTACTCAGGAAGCTGAGGTAGGAAAATTGCCTGAGCCCAGGAGGTCGAGGCTGCAGTAAACTGTGATCCTGCCATTGCACTCCGGCCTGGGTGACAGAGCAAGACAGCCACCTTTAACTCTGTCTTTAACATGGCTGTTTTTCTGTGTGTGCAAAGAGAAGGGTCTCTGGTGACCCTTCCCCTACTTATAAAGACACAGTCCTATCTGATTGGGGGCCTGCCCTTATGTCCACATGTAACCTTAACTACCTCTCTAAAGGCCCTATTTCCAAATGCAGTCACAGTTGAGGGTTAGGGCTTCAGTATATGAATTTTGAAGGACACAATTCAGTCCGTGACATCAATTTAATGAAATAATATGCAGCAATCAAAAAGAATGAGTTAGGACAGGTGTGGTGGCTCACGCTTGGAATCCCGGCACTGGGAGGCTGAGGCGGGCGGATCACTTAAGGTCAAGAAGAGTTCGAGACCAGCCTGGCCAACGTGGTGAAACCCCATCGCTACTAAAAATATAAAAATTAGCTGGGCGTGGTGGTGGGCGCCTGTAATCCCAGCTACTTGGGAGGCTGAGGCAGGAGAATTGCTTGAACCCAGGAGGCGGAGGTTGCTACGAGCGGAGATTACGCCACTGCACTCCAACTTGGGTGACAGAGTGAGACTGTCTCAAAAAAAAAAAAAAAGAACAAGTTAGATCAAATGTACAGACATGGAAAAATTTGAAGGAAATATTGGGGTTTTTTTGTTTGGATTTTTTGAAACAGTGTCTTGCTCCATCGCCCAGACTAGAATGCAGCGGCGCGGCGCAATCATAGATCACTGCAGCCTCAAGCTCCTGGGCTAAAGTAGTCCTCCCACTTCAGTAATCAGAATAGCTAGGACTACAGGCAGGTGCCACCAAGCCTGGCTTTTTTTTTTTTTTTCTTTTTTGAGATGGAGTCTCCCTCTGTCACCCAGGCTGGAATGCAGTGGTGCGATCTCGGCTCACTGCAACTTCTGCCTCCCAGGTTCAAGTGATTCTCCTGCTTCAACCTCCTGAGTAGCTGGGATTACAGGCGCCCGCCACCATGCCTGGCTAATTTTTGTATTTTTAGTAGAGACAGGGTTTCACCATGTTGGCCAGGCTAGTCTCAAACTCCTGACCCTAACTATCTGCCCACCACGGTCTCCCAAAGTGCTGAGATTACAGGCGTGAGTCACCCACCCAGCATTTTTTTTTTCTTTTGAGAGAAGGTCTCTCTCTGTCATCCACGCTGGAATGCAGTGGTGGGATCTCAGCTCACTGCAACCTTGACCTCCTGGGCTCAAGCAGTCCTCTCACCTCAGCCTCTGGAGTAGTAGAGACTATGGGCATGCACCAGGTCTGGCTAATTTTTGTGTTTTTTGTAGAGATGGGTTTTACCATGTTGTCCTGGCTGCTCCTTTTGCTGTGATTACGGTTTTGTTTTGTTTTGTTTTGTCTCTGACCCAGGAGTCTTGTTTCTACCGGCATGGAAGAAATAGTAGCAGGCTCACTAACAGCTTGTAAGTAGGGTAAAATTCCAGACCTGCATCTACACAGTTCCTCACAGTATAATGAACACCCGTATTACCCATCACCCAGCTTCAGGGATTATCAACTGAAGGCCAACCTTGCCTTATCTATAGGTCCCCATGTCCTAATGCCCAACAGATTTTAAAAAATCATACCACTTCATCTGTAAATATAACAGGGTGCATCTCTACAAGATTCCTACTTTTTCAGCATAACCATAAAACCAATATCATACCTTCAAAAGCTAGTAAATCCTTAGTATTATTGCAAAATTCCTAACAATAGTAACAATAGATAAATTCTTTTTTTTTTCTTTTTGAGACAGAGTCTTGCTCTATCGCCCAGGCTGGAGTGCAGTGGTGTGATCTCGGCTCACTGCAAGCCCCGCCTCCCTGGTTCACGCCATTCTCCTGCCTCAGCCCCCTGAGTAGCTGGGATTACAGGCATGTGCCACCACGCCTGGCTAATTTTGTATTTTTAGTAGAGATGGGTTTCTCCATGTTGGTCAGGCTCATCTCAAACTCCCAACCTCAGGTGATCCACCTGCCTCAGCCTCCCAAAGTGCTGGGATTACAGGCAAGAGCCACCAAGCCCTGCCTTTTTTTTTTTTTTTTTTTTTAACACTCAGTCTCACTTTGTTACCCAAGCTGGAGTGCAGTGGCGCGATCTCAGCTCACTGCAACTGCCGCCTCCCAGGTTCAAGCGATTCTCCTGCCTCAGCCTCCTGAGTAGCTGGGACTACAGGCACGTGACACCACGCCCAGCTAAGTTTTGTATTTTTAGTAGAGACGAGGTTTAACTATGGTGGCCCCGCTGGTCTTTAACTCCTGACCTTAGGTGATCCACCCACCCCAAAGTGCTGGAATTACAGGCTGAGCCACCGTGCCCAGTCTTAGGAGTTTTTTTTAAATTAAATTTTATTTATTTATTTATTTATTGAGACAGCGTCTCGCTCTGTATCCCAGGTTGGAATGCAGTGGTGCGATCTTGGCCCACCACAACCTCTGCCTCCTGGGTCCCGGTTCAAACACTTCTCCTGCCTCAGCCTCCCGAGTAGCTAGGATTACGGGCGCACACCACCACGCCGGCTAACTTTTTGTATTTTTATTAGAGATGGGGTTTCACCATGTTGGTGTTGGCCAGGCTGGTCTTGAACTCCTGACCTAGTGATCCGCCCACCTCGGCCTTCTAAAGTGCTGGGATTACAGGCGTGAGGCCACTGAGCCCGGCCCAGAATTAATTTTTATTAATTTTTTTTTTTTGAGACAGGGTCTCACTCTGTCTCCCAGGCTGGAGTGCAGTGGCATGATCTTGGCTCACTGCAACCCCCGTGTCCCGAGTTCAAGCGATTCTTCTGCCTCAGCCTCCTGAGTAGCTGGGACTACAGGCGCATGCCACCATGCCTGGCTAATTTTTGTACTTTTAGTAGAGACAGGGTTTCACCATGTTTGTTTGGTTGTTTTTTGAGACACAGTTTCACTCTTGTTGTCCAGGCTGGAGTGCAATGGCACTATCTTGGGTCACCGCAACCTCCACCTCTCAGGTTCAAGTGATTCTCCTGCCTCCGCCTCCTGTGTAGCTGGAATTACAGGCATGTGCCGCCACGCCCGGCTAATTTTGTATTTTTAGTAGAGACAGGGTTTCTCCATGTTGCCAGGCTAGTCTCGAACTCCCGACCTCCGGTGATCTGCCTGCCTCGGCCTCCCAAAGTGCTGGAATTACAGGTGTGAGCCACTGCGCCCGGCCTGGGTTTCACCATATTGGCCAGGCTGTCTCGAACTCCTGACCTTGTGATCCGCCCGCCTTGGCCTCCCAAAGTGCTGGGATTACAGACATGAGCCACCGCGCCTGGCTGATTTTTTTTCGTTTTCTTTTTTATTAGAAACAGGATCTCACTCCACTGTTATCTGCCTGTAATCTCAGCACTTTGGGAGACCGAGGCGGGTGGATCACCTGAGGTTGGGAGTTTGAGACCAGCTTGGCCAACATGGTGAAACCCTGTCTCTACTAAAAATAAACAAAATTCCCCGGCCGGGCTCAGTGGCTCACACCTGTAATCCCAGCACTTTGGGAGGCTGAAGCGAGTGGATCACCTGAGGCTGGGAGTTTGAGACCAGCCTGACCAACATGGAGAAACCCCATCTCTACTAAAAATACAAAACTAGCTGGGTGTGGTGGCGGGCACCCGTAATCCCAGCTACTCAGGAGGCTGAGGCAGGAGAATCACTTGAACCCAAGAGGCAGAGGTTGCGGTGAGCGGAGATCACGCCATTGCACTCCAGCTTGGGCAACGAGAGCAAAACTCTGTCTCAGAAAAATAAACAAATAAACAAAATTAGCTGGGCGTAGTGGTACGTGCCTGTAGTCCCAGTTACTTGGGAGATTGAGGCACAAGAATCATTTGAACCCAGAAGGTGAAGGTTTTGCAGTGAGCCAAGATTGCACCATTGCACTGCAGTCTGGGCGACAGAGCCAGACTCTATCTCAAAAAGAAGAAACAGGATCTCACTCTGTCATCCAGGCTTGGGTGCAATGGTGCAATCATAACTCACTACAGCCTTGAACTCCTGCGCTCAAGGGATTATCTTGCCTCAGCCTCCCGAGTAGACAGGACTACAGACATACATGCTAGCTTTTTTTCTTTTCTTTTCTTTTTTTTTTGTAGAGATTGGGGTCTCATGTTAACCAGATAAACCACCACACCCAGCCTTTTTTTTTTTTTTTCTTTCAGACAGGGTCTGTTGCTCTGTCAGGCTGGAGTGCAGTTGTATGATTATGGCTCACTGTGGCCTCAACCTCCCAGGCTCAAGCAATCTTCTCACCTCAGCCTCCCGAGTAGCTGAGACCACAAGCGCATGCCACCACACCCAGCTAATTTATTGATTGATTTTTTGTAGAGATGAGGTTTTGCCTTGTTGCCCGGGCTGGCCCTGAACTCCTGGGCTCAAGTGATTCTCCTCCCTTGGTCTCCAAAAGTGCTGGGATTACAGGTGTGAGGCACCAAGCTTAGCTTTCCGGGATGTTTTTTAGCCCTTACTGTTTTTGTTTGTTTGTTTGTTTGTTTGAGACGGAGTCTCACTCTGTCACCCAGGCTGGAGTGCAGTGGCGTGATCTCGGCTCACTGCAGGCTCCGCATGCATCCCGGGTTCACGCCATTCTCCTGCCTCAGCCTCCCGAGTAGCTGGGACTACAGGTGACTGCCACCATGCCCAGCTAATTTTCTTTTTGTATTTTTAGTAGAGATGGGGGTTTCACCATGTTAGCCAGGATGGTCTCGATCTCCTGACCTCGTGATCCGCCCACCTCGGCCTCCCAAAGTGCTGGGATTACAGGCATGAGCCACCGCACCCGGCCAGCCCTTACTGTTAAAAATGGTACTGCCAAAGGACCAACATTTAGGCTTTTAAAAAATCTGAATGAGCCCGGATGCGGTAGCTCACACCTGTAATCCCAGCACTTTGAGAGGACGAGGTGGGAGGATCACTTGAGCCCAGGAGTTAGAGACTAGCCTGGGCAACAGAGTGAGACCCTGTCTCTACAAGAAATAAGAAAAAAATCATCTGGACATGGTGGCATGCACCTGTAGTCTTGGCTACATGAGAGGGTGAGACGAGAAGATACTTTGAGCCCAGGAGGGAGAGGCTGCAGTGAACCATGATCTTGCCACTGCATTTAAGTGTGGGTGACAGAGCAAGACCTTGTCACACACACACATACACATACACACACACACACACACACACACACACACACACAGGGCCAGGATTTCAAAACCAGCCTGGGCAACATAGTGAAACCTTGTCTCTACAAAAAATAAAAAATTAGCCAGGCGTGGTGGCATGCACCTTTGGTCTCAGCTACTCAGGAGACTGAGGTAGGAAGATCACCTGAGCCGAGGAAGGTCGAGTCTACAGTGAGCCACCATCATGCCACTGCACTCCAGCCTGGGTGACAGAGTAAGACACTGTCTCAAAACAAGAAAAAGAAATCTTAGGCCGGGTGCAGTGGCCCATGCCTGTAACCCAGCATTTTGGGAGGCCAAGGTGGGCGGATCACAAGGTCAAGAGATTGAGAACATCCTGGCCAACATGGTGAAACCCCATCTCTACTAAAAATATGAAAATTAGCTGGGTGTGGTGGCATGCACCTGTAGTCCCAGCTACTCAGGAGGCTGAGGCAGGAGAATCGCTTGAACCTGGGAGGCAGAGGTTGCAGTGAGCCGAGATTGCCACTGCATTCCA
Organism: Homo sapiens; assembly: GCF_000001405.40. Classification (NCBI taxonomy): domain Eukaryota; kingdom Metazoa; phylum Chordata; class Mammalia; order Primates; family Hominidae; genus Homo; species Homo sapiens. Next base: position 47,793,054 of record NC_000003.12, on the reverse strand, counting down.
GCCAGGTGACAGTTAGACTCTGAGGAAAAAAAAAAAGAAAGAAATCTTAATATCTACCAGAGAGGACAGGCACAAAATCTGCAGTGGAAATCAATGTGATAACATTCTTCCCAACAGTAATAGGGAGCAGAAGACAATAGAGCAGTTTTCAATTTGCTAAGGAGAAATAACTGTCAACTTATAATTCTATACCCAGCGAAACTATTTTTCTAGAGTGGGAAAAAGAGAGAGATTTTTGGTTATATAATACATAAGAGATGGTTCCACTAAAGAATATACTTTGCAGCCAGGCTTGGTGGCTCATGCTTGTAATCCCAGCACTCTGGGAGGCCAAGGCAGGTGGATTGCCTGAGCTCAGTTCAAGCCCAGCCTGGCCAACATGGTGAAACCCCGTCTCTACTAAAAATACAAAAAATTAGCCGGGCGTGGTGGTGGGCGCCTGTAGTCTCACCTACTCAGGAGGATGAGGCAGCAGAATGGCTTGACCCCAGGAGGTGGAGGTTGCAGTGAGCCAACATCGTGCCACTGCACTGCACTCCAGCCTGGGTGACACAGCAAGACTCCGTCTCAAAAAAAAAAAAAAAAAAAGAAAGAAAGAAAGAAAAAAGAATATTCTTTGCAGGAAGAAAAATTAATCAAGTAGAAAGGAATAGGATATAATAAACAGCACCATTCACTGATATTAGTAAAATATATTGCAAAATTTCAATTTACTACTTACTATTCAAATAACTTTTTGTGCAAAAATAAAAGATGGAACTAAAATCTTAGGTAAAAATAAAAGAGAATATGTCTGTTGGAATGCTTTAGGCAACAAGGAACAGAAAACCTGACTCAAAACTGGCTTAATTGACTGGGTGCAGTGGCTCACACCTGTAATCCCAGCCCTTTGGGAGGCCGAGGCGGGTTGATCACCTGAGGTCAGGAGTTCATGGTGAAACTTCGTCTCTACTAAAAATACAAAAATTAGCCGGGCATGGTGGTGCATGCCTGTAATCCCAGCTACTGAGGCTGAGGCAAGAGAATCGCTTGAACCCGGGAGGCAGAGATTGCAGTGTGCTGAGATCGTGCCATTGCACTACAGCCTGGGTGACAGAGCAGGACAAAATCTCACAAAACAAAAAACAAACAAAAAAACAAAGCAAAACAAACAAAAACAAAAAACAAAAAAACTGGCTTAAAGTACAAGGAAATGTATTATCTCATATAATAGGAAGCCCTTAGGTAGGTAGGACACAACTCGTGGTAGATTGATTCAGTGGCTCACTGTGTCATTAACATGAACTGCTTTCCATCATTCGAGTAGGCCTTATCCTCGGGTTTCTTGCAAGAGGGCTTCAGCAGTTCTCATAAAATCTCTAGAGTCTCTTCATGCTTCACTGGCCACAACTGGATCCCATTTTGTAACTATATTTCTGGCAACGGAAATAGAATCAACCCTTAGGGCAATCATGCCTGCTTGTGATTCAGGAGGAAGAATCAGGTCTTATTTAGGAGGAAACTAAAGACACTCAATAATTCAGGATTTTGTTAGAGAAAATTGTATTAAAATTTTGTGTATAAAACAAATATCAGTGTAACTTTTTTTTTTTTTTTTGAGACGGAGTCTGGCTCTGTTGCCCCGCTGGAGTGCAGTGGCGCGATTGTGGCTCACTGCAACCTCCGCTTCCAAGGTTGTAGTGATTCTCCTGCCTCAGCCCCCCGAGTAGCTGGGATTACAGGAGCCCGCCAGCACGTCTGGCTAATTTTTGTATTTTTTGCAGAGACGGGGCTTCACCATGTTGGCCAGGCAGGTCCCGAACGCCTGACCTCAAGTGATCCACACATCTCAGTCTCCCAAAGTGCTGGGATTACCGGCATGAGCCACTGCACCTGGCCCAGTGTAACTATTAAAAGAATAGGCTGGGCTGGGCACGGTGGCTCATGCCTGTAATCCCAGCACTTTGGGAGGCAGAGGCGGGCAGATCATGAGGTCAGGAGGTCGAGACCATCCTGGCTAACACAGTGAAACCCCGCCTCTACTAAAAATACAAAAAGTAGCCGGGCTTGGTGGCGGGCGCCTGTAGTCCCAGCTACTCGGGAGGCTGAGGCAGGAGAATGGCGTGAACGCGGGAGGCGGAGCTTGCAGTGAGCCGAGATTGCGCCACTGCACTCCAGCCTGGGCGACACAGCGAGACTCCATCTCAAAAACAAACAAACAAACAAAAAGACCATCCTGGCTAACATGGTGAAACCCCGTCTCTACTAAAAACACAAAAAAATTAGCCGGGCATGGTGACCGGCGCCTGTAGTCCCAGCTACTCCGGAGGCTGAGGCAGGAGAATGGCGTGAGCCCAGGAGGCGGAGCTTGCAGTGAGCCGCGATCGTGCCACTGCACTCCAGCCTGAGTGACAGAGCGAGACTCCGTCTCAAAAAAAAAAAAAAAAAAAAAAAGAACAGGCTGGGCGTGGTAGCTCACGCCTATAATCCCAGCACTTTGGGAGGCCAAGGTGGGCGGATCACGAGGTCAGGAGATCGAGACCATCTTGGCTAACACGGTGAAACCCTGTCTCTACTAAAAATACAAAAAATTAGCCGGGCATGGTGGCGGGCGCCTGTAGTCCCAGCTACTCGGGAGGCTGAGGCAGGAGAATGGCGTGAACCCGGGAGGCGGAGCTTGCAGTGAGCCACTGCACTCCAGCCTCGGTGACAGAGGCAGGAGAATGGCGTGAACCCGGGAGGCGGAGCTTGCAGTGAACCGAGATTGTACCACTGCATTCCAGCCTGGGCAGCAGAGCGAGGCTCCGTCTCAAAAAAAAAAAAAAGAAAAAGAATTGAGGTGCCCGGGCACGGTGACTCATGCCTGTAATCCCAGCTTTGGGAGGCCGAGGCGGGCGGATCATGAGATCAGGAGTTCCAGACCAGCCTGACCAACATGGTGAAACCCCGTGTCTACTAACAATACAAAAATTAGCCCAGCATGGTGGCACATGCCTGTAATCCCAGCTACTCTGGAGGCTGAGGCAGGAGAATCACTTGAAACCGGGAGGCGGAGGTTGCAGTGAGCCGAGATCACACCACTGCACTCCAGCCTGGGTGACACAGCAAGACTCAAAAAAAAAAAAAAAAAAAAAAAGAGTAGAGGCTGGACGTGGTGGCTCACGCCTATAATCCCAGCACTATGGGAGGCCGAGGTGGGTGGATCACTTGAGGTCAGGAGTTCCGGACAAGCCTGGCCAACATGGTGGAAAAAAAAATAAAAAAGAAAAAGAAAAAGAAAAAACATGGTAAACAAAAAAAAAAGTTTATGACAGCAATGCATCAAAACATATCTATTATCATAATGGACAAACAAGGTTTAAACATGGGTGCTTATTCTGCTCACAACACATAAACCAGTGACAAGTAAGCCAGTCCCTTTCACATTGGGTCTTTGAGTGGAAAATGTAATTTTTCTCTTTTTTGTTTTTTTTTTTGAGATGGAGTCTCGCTCTGTCGCCCAGCTTGAGTGCAGTGGAGAGATCTCGGCTCACTGCAAGCTCCGCCTACCGGGTTCACGCCATTCTCCTGCCTCAGCCTCCTGAGTAGCTGGGACTACAGGCGCCCGCCACCAGGCCCGGCTAATTTTTTTTGTATTTTTAGTAGAGACGGGGTTTCACCGTGTTATCCAGGATGGTCTCGATCTCCTGACCTCGTGATCCGCCCGCCTCGGCCTCCCAAAGTGCTGGGACTACAAGCATAAGCCAACGGGCCCGGCCGGAAAATGTAATTTTTCTACTAGGCACTAGAGGTCAGCAGCGTATTAATTTCCCCACAGGGCTCCATTACTTCTGTCATAATGTCAGCCAATCACCAACCTGTTTCTTTCTTTTTTTTTTTTTCTTTTTTGAGATGGAGTCTCCCTTTGTTGCCAGGCTGGAGTGCAGTGGCGTAATCCTGGCTCGCTGCAACCTCCGCCTCCCGGATTCAAGTGATTCTCCTGCCTCAGCCTTCTGAGTAGCTGAGATTACAGGCATGTGTCACCACGCCCGGCTAATTTTTGTATTTTTAGTAGAGGCTGGGTTTCACAATGTTGGCCACCACACCCAGCCGTTTTTTTGTTTTTGTTTTTGTTTTTTTTTTGAGACGGAGTCTCGCTCTGTCGCCCAGGCTGGAGTGCAGTGGCGCGATCTCGGCTCACTGCAAGCTCTGCCTCCCGGGTTCACTCCATTCTCCTGCCTCAGCCTCCTGAGTAGCTGGGACTACAGGAACCTGCCACCACTCCCGGCTAATTTTTTGTATTTTTTAGTAGAGACGGGGTTTCACCGTGTTAGCCAGGATGGTCGCCATGTCGTGACTTCCTGATCCGTCCGCCTAGGCCTCCCAAAGTGCTGGGATTACAGGCGTGGCGCCATCTTGACTCACTGCAACCTCCGCTTCCCGGGTTCAAGCGATTCTCTTGCCTCAGTCTCCCAAGTAGCTGGGATTATAGGCATGCGCCACCACGCCCGGGTAATTTTGTATTTATTTATTTATTTAGAGACAGAGTTTTGCTCTTGTTGCCCAGGCTGGAGTGCAATGGTGTGATCTCGGCTCACTGCAACCTCCACCTCCTGGGTTCAAGTGATTCTCCTGCCTCAGTCTCGCGAGTACCTGAGACTACAGGCATGCACCGCGACGCCCGGCTAATTTTGTATTTTTAGTAGAGATGGCGTTTCTCCATGTTGGTCAGGCTAGTCTCGAACTCCTGACCTCAGGTGATCTGCCTGCCTCAGCCTCCCAAAGTGCTGGGATTACAGGCGTGAGCCACAGCGCCTGGCGTCGCTTTAGTTCTTTCCCACTCTTTTATTGTCCTTTATTTTTAACTCTACTACTCTGTCCCTCTCTTTAACTCTACTAGTATGGCTCTACTCTTAGTGGTTCACCAAAATTAAACACGCATCATTAATTTGTCAAAGATTAATTAGTGTTCATCTTTTTTTTTTTTTTTTTTTTTCAGAAGGAGTCTCTCTCTGTAGCGCAGGCTAGAGTGCACTGGTGCGATCTCGGCTCACTGCAACCTCCACCTCCAGGGTTAAAGTGATTCTCCTGCCTCAGTCTCCTGAGCAGCTGAGATTACAGGCACACGCCACCACACCCGGCTAATTTTTTTGTATTTTTAGTAGAGACGGGGTTTCACCATGTTGGTCAGTCTGGTCTCGAACTCCTGATGTCGTGATCCACCTGCCTTAACCTCCCAGAGTGGTGGGATTACAGGCGTGAGCCACTGCGCCTGGCCTATATGTTTTTATTTTGCCATTATTATTATTCTTATTATTATTATTATTATTATTATTTGAGATGGAGTCGCACTCTGTCACCCAGGCTGAAGTGTAGTGGTACGATCTTAGCTCACTGTAACCTTCCTCTCCCCGGTTCAAGTGATTCTCAATTCTTCAAGCCCACCACAATGCTCCACTAATTTTTCTTTTTTTTGAGACAGGCTGGTCTCGAACCCCATCTCTAGTAAAAGTACAAAAAGTAGCCAGTCATGGTGGTACACACTTGTGATCTTAGCTATGTGAAGGCTGTGTCACGAGAATTGCTTGATCCTAGGAAGTAGAGGTGGCAGTGAGGAATTTTTTTTTGAGACAGATTCTCGCTCTATCACCTAGGCTGGAGTGCAGTGGTGTGATCTCGGCTCACTGCAACCTCCACCTCCTGGGTTCAAGCGATTCTCCCGCCTCAGCCTCCCAGGTAGCTGGGACTACAGGCCTGCACCACCACACCCAGCTAATTTTTGTATTTTTATTACACGAGGTTTGGCCATGTTGGCCAGGCTGGTCTTGAACTCCTGACCTCAAGTGATCCACCTGCCTCGGCCTCCCAAAGTGCTGGGATTACAGGCACGAGCCACTGTGTCCGGCTGACTTTTTTTTTTTTTTTTTGGAAACAAGGTCTCACTTGGCAGCCCAGGCTGGGGTGCAGTGGTGTAATCATAGCTCATTGCAGCCTCAACTTCCAGGGCTCAGGCAATCCTCCCACTTCAACCTCCCAGGTAACTGGGACCACAAGCATGTACCACCATGCCTGGCTAATGTTTTTTTTTTTTTGAGACGGAGTCTTGCTCTGTTGCCCAGGCTGGAGTGCAGTGGCGCGATCTCGGCTCACTGCAAGCTCCACCTCCTGGGTCCACGCCATCCTCCTGCCTCAGCCTCCCAAGTAGCTGGGACTACAGGTGCCCGCCACCATGCCCAGCTAATTTTTTGTATTTTTAGTAGAGACGGGGTTTCACCATGTTAGCCAGGATGGTCTCGATCTCATGACCTCGTGATGCGCCCGCCTCAGCCTCCCAAAGTGCTGGGATTACAGGAGTGAGCCACCGCACCCGGCCATGCCTGGCTAATTCTTTTTATTTTTATTTTTTTATTTTGTTGTTGTTTTTGAGACGGAGTCTCGCTCTGTTGCACAGGCTAGAGTGCAATGGCACGATCTCGGCTCACTGCAACCTCCGCCTCCCGGGTTCAAGCTATTCTCATGTCTCAGCCTCCCGAGTAGCTGGGATTACAGGCACCCACCACTGCGCCCGGCTAATTTTTGTATTTTTAGTAGAGACGGGGTTTCACCATGTAGGTCAAGTTGGTCTCGAACTCCCGACCTCAGGTGGTCCGCCCGCCTTGGCCTCCCAAAGTGCTGGGATTACAGGCATGAGCCACCACGCCCAGCCGGCTAATTCTTAAAAAATTATTTGTAGAGACAGGGTTTCACTATGGTGCCCAGGCTGGTCTCAAACTCATGGTCTCAAGTGATCCTCCTGCCTAAACCTCCGAGAGTGCTGGGATTATAGGGATGAGCCACCATGCCCTTTTTGCCAACTCTTTTTGTAAATAAAGTTTTATTGGAACCCATCCATGTTCATTCATGTACATATTATCTGTGGCTGCTTTTGAACTTTCATGGCAGAGTTGAGTAGTTCCAACGGAGAGCATCGGGACCTTTGCAGAAAACGTTTGCTAAGCCTAGTCTTTGTTATGTTTTCCTTTTTTTTTTTTTTTTTTGAGATGGAGTCTTACTCTGTTGCCAGGCTGGAGTACAGTGGTGCGAACTTGGCTCACTGCAACCTCCGCCTCCCGGGTTCAAGCAATTCTCCTGCCCCAGCCTCCCAAGTAGCTGGGACTACAGGCGCGCGCCACCACGCCCAGCTAATTTTTATATTTTTAGTAGAGACAGGGTTTCACCACATTGGCCTGGATAGTCTCGATCTCTTGACCTCATGATCCGCCCGTCTCGGCCTCCCAAAGTGCTGGGATTATAGGTATGAGCCACTGCACCCAGCCTTTTTTTTTTTTTTTTCCCTCTTTTTTGAGATGAAGTTTCGCTTTTGTTTCCCAGGCTGGAATGCAATGGCACGATCTCAGCTCACTACAACCTCTGCCTCGCAGGTTCAAGCAATTCTCCTGCCTCAGCCTCCCAAGTAGCTGGGGATTACAGGCATGTGCCACCAGGCCCAGCTAATTTTGTATTTTTAGTAGAGGTGGGGTTTCACCATGTTGGCCAGGCTGGTCTCGAACTCCTGACCTAAGATGATCCACCCACCTAAGCCTCCCAAAGTGCTGGGATTACAGGCATGGGCCACCGCACCTGGCCTTTCCTATGTTTTTGAGAAACCTTTTTGGTAAACTTACCATAAACTGAGAAAGCTAATGTCTGTAATGGCTGGTAAATGGTCATGCAGTTTCTGATTTTTTTTTTTTTTTTTTTTTTTCCTGAGACAGAGTCTCCTTCTGTCCCCAGGCTGGAGTGCAGTGGTATGATCTCAGCTCACTATAACCTCTGCCTCCTGGGTTCAAGCAATTCTCCTGCCTCAGCCTCCTAAGGAGCTGGGACTACAGGCATGTGCCACCACATGCAGGTAACCTTTTTTGTAGAGATGGGGTTTTTCCATGTTGTCTAGGCTGGTCTCCACCTCCTGACCTCAATTGATACACCCTCCTTGGCCTCCCAAAGTGCTGGGATTACAGGCATGAGCCATTGCACTGGCCTGATGCTTTAATTTTAGATACGGATCTTGCCACACTGGCCAAGCTGGACTTGAAATCCTGGGCTCAAGCGATCCTCCTGACTCAGCCACCATGGCCAGCTCCTAGAGTTCTTTTCTTTTGAGGTAAAATTTACATGCAGTAAAATCCACAACTCTTGCATATCATTCCATAAGTTGGTATGGAGACACCTGTGTAATACAAATCTGTATCAAACTGCAGCTTATTATCATCACCCCAGAAAGTTCTCTCATGCCCCTTCACTTCCCCAGAGGCAACCACACTTCAGTTTAACCTATTCTGTAACTCCACGTATATTGAATCATACACTATACATTGGGTATATATATATAGTTACCCATATAACTTGGGTAAGACTCCCCAGTGTTGCATGTATCAAGTTTATTCCATTGGGTTATTGATTAATTGGTCAGCTGAGTTACTGGTCTTTTCATTACTGAGTTGTAAGAGCTCTTTCTATACTCTAGAAACAAGTTTCTTTTTTTTTTGAGATGGAGTTTCGTTCGTCCACCCAGGCTGGCGTGCAGTGGCGAGATCTTGGCTTACTGCAACATCCACCACCTTCCGGTTTCAAGCCATTGTCTTGCCTTAGCCTCCCAAGTAGCTGGGATTACAGATGCCTGCCACCACACCCGGCTAATTTTTGTATTTTTAGTAGAGATGGAGTTTCACCAGGTTGGCCAGGCTGGTCTCGAACTCCTGACCTCATGATCTGCCTGCCTTGGCCTCCCAAAGTGTTGGGATTACGGGTGTGAGCCACTGCGCCCGGCCAATATACTTTCAAAATACCTCCACAAAGGGATCAATTGAGCCTAGGAAGTGGAGGTTGCAGTGAACCATGATCACACCACTGCACTCCAGCTTGGGTGACAAAGCAAGACTTTATCTCAAAAAACCCCCGAAAAGCAAAAAAACAAAATACCTCCATAGAAAATAGTGATTAATTACAAAGGCAAAAAGAATAACTTCGCAGTAGAGAAACCTGGATGATACTCTGTCATCAATGTAACAGGAGAAATGAAATTATGCACCACCTGATAGAATGCAATGCAAAGAACACAAAGATACAAACATCAGACAAACTTAAATTGAGGGTCATTCTACAAAATAAATGCCTTGTAATCTTCATAGGTATCAATGTTGTTAAGGTTTAAGGACTAAGGAACTGTTCCATATTGAAGGAGATGAAACTTTATTAAATGCAAAGTGTGATTTTGAACTGGAAACTTTTGCTATAAAGGACTTCATGGTGCAATAGGAAAAACCTGAATGGGGTCTGGGGATGGCATCAGTGTTAATTTCCTGGTATAAATGATTGTATTGTGATTATGTAAGAGAATATATAGACTATACTTGTCTGTAGAAAATACACATTAAACTTTTTGATAGTGATGGGTATTATGTCAGCAACTTACTCTTAGATGATTCAGGAAAAGTTCTTTGTATTATATTTGCAACTTTTCTGTTAAATCTGAGAAAGTTTCAAATTAAAAACTTTTTTTTTCAGACGAGTTTGGCTCTGTCGCCTAGGCTGGAGTGCAGTGGCGTGATCTCAGCTCACTGCGATCTCCACCTCCTCCTGGGTTCAAGCAATTCTCCTGCCTCAGCCTCCCGAGTAGCTGGGATTACAGGCATGCACCACCACACCTGGCCAATTTTTGTAGTTTTAGTAGAGACGGGGTTTCACCATGTTGGCCAGGGTGGTCTGGAACTCCTGACCTCGTGATCAGTCTGCCTTGGCCTCCCAAAGTGTTGGGATTACAGGCGTGAGCTATCTCGCCTGGCCCTCTTGATCACATTCTATTAACTTTTTTATTTAATATATTTTACTGTCCGTGACACAGCCCTCAGGAGATCCTGAAAACATGTACACACCCTCATTTTTAAAAGATCTCAGAAACTTACCAGCAGTTAGTCACGTTCTCACAAGCAATTAGTTACTTGCTTCTCTGCGATCATATAGCATTATGTTCACAACTCCATTATGGCCAGTCATACTTTTTATGTTTCTGAAACAGGGTTTCGCTCTGTCGCCCAAGCTGAAGTGTAGTGAGTGGCGCGATTATAGCTCACTGCAGCCTCCATCTCCCCAGCTCAAGGGATCCTCCCACCTCAGCCCTCCAAGAGGCTAGGACCACAGGCTTGCAACACAACGCTGGCTGATTTTTGTATTTTTTGTAGAGACGGGGATGGGTGTGGTGGTCTAGAGCTCCTGGGCTCAATTGATCCTCCCGCCTCAGCCTCCCAAAGTGCTCCGCACCCGGCCAATATACCTTGTTAATAATTTAAAAATTTTCGGCTTCTATGTGGGCCATTCATTAACTCATCAAGTATTTACTGTACATCTGTTCCTTGTCTCAGGTGTTCAGGATACACCTGTGAACAAGTTAAGATTAGGTTCTCATGTAATTTATGTGGAAGGTAAATGAGAAACTAGAAACGCCGGGTCGTGGTGAGCGCTATGCAGAAAGTGTATGGGTGTGAACAGTTGTTCAAGATTGTTAAGATCTGACAACTACTTTCTGAAGTCCTTTGAAGCAGTGAATCTGAACGCGTCTCGTAAGTGCAAATCAGAAGGGAAGACCTGCTGAGGTCTCGAAAGAGCCAGTGCAAGGGCCCCTGGGGCAGGAATGAGCCGCTGTGGCTGGACCCCTGAGGGAGTGGAAGGTCTGTGAAGCCGAAAAGCCTAGGCGTGGGAGTCCCAGATGGCTGTTCACAAATGCCGCCGGGCCGCTGGGGGTGGAGGGCCTGAGGGAAAGCGGGGCCCGGCGCAGTCCCAGTCCGGGTGCAGGGCCCTCGGCCAGCACTCGATACCCTAGACAGGCTTTCCCTTGGGCATTTCTCGCACCAGGCCTTTTCCCTCCAGCGGAGGCGGGCTATGACACATAACCCACCTGCGGTTGTTGACCGCATAATGATTCGACGTCGGTAGCGAGGGAAGAGCAAGGCTCAAAAACCGGCGCTCACTAGGGCAGAATGCAGCCTACGGAGGATGGCGGAAGAGGCGGCTGAGGCCGCAGGACGTGCTATTCCAAGGCACGGCCGCACGAGTGCTACGCATGCGCGTGCGCTGGCTCGCGTCAGATACAGTGCCAGTTCCCAGATGGGGCGGGGCCGGGCGTCCGCGCCGGAAGAGGGTTGGCTGGGCGGGGCCGGGAAGCGGCAGTGGCGGCTACGCGCGCGGGGGTGCGCGCGGGAACGACCGGGAAACACCGCGAGGGCCGGGGTGGGCCAGGCTGTGGGGACGACGGGCTGCGACGATGGCCGCAGCGGCGGGCGGCGGCGGGCCGGGGACAGCGGTAGGCGCCACGGGCTCGGGGATTGCGGCGGCAGCCGCAGGCCTAGCTGTTTATCGACGGAAGGATGGGGGCCCGGCCACCAAGTTTTGGGAGAGCCCGGAGACGGTGTCCCAGCTGGATTCGGTGCGGGTCTGGCTGGGCAAGCACTACAAGAAGGTGGGTTCGCGCGCCCGTGGGGGCCGGGAGACCACGCGACCGGGGCCGGAGGCGGCAGCTGGCCTCGCGGGCCTCGGGCCGCCCCTCCCCCCCGCACGCCACGAGGGACAACAAAGGCAGGCGCCGGGCCCGCCACGCCCCCGCCGCCCGCTCTGGGCGCCCGCGATCCCGGGGCCTGACTGGGGTTCGGGGCTCTCTCCTCTGAGCCTACGCACCCATGGTGAAAGCCCCTGCTCAGTCTCGTGTGCCAGAGCAGGTCGAGCTCAGCCACTAAGCGAGTGTGACTCTCTCTCTTTTGTCAGCTGCCTTAGGTGTGTGAACAATGATCCCTAAAGACCGAGCAAGCGTGGTAAAAGCAGCTTCAAGTTTTGTTTAGAGCGTATTCAAAGTCTCGAGGGGGTTTGCTACCTGTTGTTGAATTGCTAAACGACTGGGATGATTGTATTCGTTAATTAATAACAGGCAATATGAATTCTAGGATGGATGAGAACTATTAACGACGGTTCTACCTCATCGTGCTTCTGGTTCTGTGTGGCGTGAGAGTTGATGGTCGCTTGTACGTAAAGTGTTCTAAAGGGAGGCCTTCCCCAAGAACCCAGTTTTTATTAGAGCACTTTTCTTGTGTCACCTTTATTTTCTTCGTAGTGTTTACCACATTTTGAAATTATTCATTTACTGATTTCTCCTACCTTTGGAACGGAAGTTCCGCCGAGTCAGTAGTTTTCAAAGTTTTGACTTAATCCTTTGTTTATAACAAATGTTTTTTTTTTTTCCAACTTCCCTTTTGTGTAAATATTCAGGAGGACTCCCTTAAAGGGTGTAATGAAGCAGGTAGCCGAAAAGGCTCCCCAGCCTCTGAAGTTTTCCTATCACCCTCTTTAGTTCTGTACTTTCTCCTATTGAGAATCATAGCACTGAAGCAAGGGCTTTGTTCACTGCAGTGTATCCGGGAACGTGGCTGATACTTATTGCCTTACCCTTAGTGGCTGCTTAGTAAATATTTGTTGAATGAATGAAAACATAAACTAGTTTAGGAACCTATTTTTTTGGCCTCAGCAGCTCAGTGAAGCCTGTCAGTGTTTGGCAGTTATTAGGCATGGGCAGGGATCTTGGGTTCCTTTGGCATTACACGTGGTACATTCAGAAATGACCATTTCTGGCCGGGCGCGGCTTGGAAGGCCGGGCGGGTGGATCACCTGAGGTCAGGAGTTCGAGACTAGCCTGACCAACATGGTGAAACCCCGTCTTTCCAAAAAATACAAAATTAGTCGGGTGTGGCAGCACATGCCTGTAATCCCAGCTACTCGGGAGGCTGAGGCAGGAGAATCTCTTGAACCCAGGAGGCAGAAGCTGCAGTGAGCCGAGATTGCACCATTGCACTCCAGCCTAGGTAATAAAGTAAGACTGTCTCCAAAAAAAAAAAAAAAAAAAAAACAAAAAAAAACCAAAGACCCAGAAATGATCATTTCTTTCTTTCTTGTTTTTGAAGGTCAGCTAGAAAAATTACATTTCTTATCTGAAGTTTGAGGAAGTGAGAGACAGTAATTATATTTTTAGGTGTCTGGACTTTTCCTCCTCTGAAATTACATTTAGACTGTAGATTTTTAGTAATATTGCCCTTTCTTACACAGTGATAAATTGGTCACTTTTTAAATGTAAGTAATAGAGCTTCCAGAAGTGGCTAATGGAATTGAATATGTTATGAAAATATTGGTTAATTCTTCTTTATTACATTCCTTTTAGCCAATGCTTTGGGTCTTAAATTCAGTGAAGCTTTAACAAAGAAAAATAATCTACAGGCATATTCCTTTGAATAATATCAAGGAAGAGAGTAGAAAAAGGCAAATTTCAGTAATTTCTACCTCTCCGCACTGTTCAGTGTGCATCAGTTTGGGATCAACTACAAGAAGCTTTAGACATGGATAATCCTTCGATATTTGTTTGGGTGGGTAGGGAAGTGGCTACAAAGCAGTTTGAGGAATTGCCCAGCAGTATTGAGACCACTAGGCTAATGTTGATTCACTATCCCTGAGACTTTATAGACAAAGTTACCTTTGACTTCTCAGGACTTTGTAAAGCCAGAGTGTATTTCTAGGGTCTACTGAGATTGAGAAACGTATATACCCTAGGCCTGACAGCCAGAATCTTTTCAGTCTCTGGGTGTTAGCGTTGAAGTGGTGAAAATATTATCACAAAGTTCTTTGCTTCTTTTCTACACAGTGCATTTCTATTTGGTGTACGCATTGGTTTTAACTAACCGTTTCTAGTGCATTTAATACTGCATTTTCAGAGCAGACAACAGTTTCAGTCTCAGTAAACATGATTTTGTTAGTGTCATTTTTTATTTATTTTTATTTTACTTTATTTTTTTGAGACAGGGTCTTTCTGTGTTGCCCAGGCTGGAGTACAGTGGCGTGATCATAGCTCACTGCAACCTCAAACTCTTGCATTCAGCTCATGCATTCAGTGAACAACTGAGCATTTACCATGTGCCGGGTACTTAAAGTATAACTCACTTAAAGTCCTCATAGCAGTCCTAAATGATAGATATTATTTACCTTCTTTTTCAAATGGAAGATACCTGAGACTTCATTTAGGAATTTTCTTTTTTTTTTGAGACAGGGTCTTTCTGTGTTGCCCAGGCTGGAGTGCAGTGGTGAGATCATAGCACACTGCAGCCTCAACCTCCTGGGCTCAGGTGATTCTCCCACCTCAGCCTCCTGAGTACCTGGGACTACAGGCACGAACCACCACACCTGGTTAATTTTTTGTATTATCAGTAGAGGCAGGGTTTTGCAGTGTTGCCCAGGCTGGTCTCGAACTCCTGGGCTCTCTGCCTGCCTCAGCCTCCCAAAGTGCAGGGCTTACAAGTGTGAGCCACCACACTTGGCCCACACTGACTCTTACTTGAAATATTTTGAGACTAATAAATTTTTGTTTTCTTAAATAAAATATAATAGACTTTTTTTGATCAAAAGATTAATTGGGCCAGGTGCAGTGGCTTGCGTCCGTAATCCCAGCACTTGGGAATTCCAGGTGGGAGGTTCATTTGAGCCCAGGATTTGGAGACCAGCTTGGGCAACATGATGAGACCCTGTCTCAAAACAAAACAAAACAAAAAAATACATCAGTTGTGGTGGCATGCACGTGTAGTCCCAGCTACTTGGCTGAGGCAGGGTCCTTGGAGGATCACTTGAGCCTAGGAGGTCGAGGCTGCGGTGAACTGTGTTGGCACCATTGCACTCCAGCCTGGGCAACAGAGCGAGACCTTGTCTCAAAACAAAACGAAACAAAACAAAACAAAAAACAAAAACAAAAAAAAACCAGATTAATTGTTTATGACATAGAAATTAAAATTTCTTAATTAGGAGTCAGTGTTTTTTTTGTTTTTTGTTTTTTGTTTTTTTTTTTTGAGATGGAGTCTCGCTCTTCTGCCCAAGCTGGAGTGCAGTGGTGTGACCTCGGCCTCCCAAGTTGAAGTGATTCTTCTACCCCAGCCTCTTGAGTAGCTGGGATTACAGGCACCCGCCACCACGCTCTGCTAATTTTTGTTATTTTTAGTAGAGCTGGGGTTTCACCATGTTGGCCAGGCTGGGCTTGAACTCCTGACCTCAGGTGATCCGCCAGCCTCAGCCTCCCAAAGTACTGGGATTACAGGCATGAGCCACTGTGCCTGGCCTACATGCATTTTCATGTTTGGTAATTTGGTAGGATGATTTGGAAAAAAAATCTAATCAGAATTAAATATTTTATAGTTTATTAAAAATTGGACTGAGACTGGGGGCTGTGGCTCACACCTGTAATCCCAGCACCTTGGGAGACCGAGGCCGGTGGATCACCTGAGGTCAGGAGTTCGAGACCAGCCTGGCCAATGTGGTGAAACTTCTGCTCTACTAAAAATGCAAAAATTAGCCGGGTGTGGTGGCACATGACTGTAGTCCCAGCTACTCAGGAGACTGAGGCAGGAGAATCACTCAAACCTGGGAGGTGGAGGTTGTAGTGAGCTGAGATCGGGCCATTGCACTCCAGCCTAGGCTACAGAGCGAAAGTGTCTCAAAAAATAAATACATAAATAGAGACAGGGTCTTACTGTGTTGCCCAGACTGGTCTCAAATTTCTGGACTCAAAGTAGTCCTCTAACCTCGTCCTCCCAAAGTACTGGGATTACAGTCATGAGCCACTGCACCCGGCCTATATTCACTGTAGTTATTAAAAATATAGGCCGGGCATGGTGTCTCACGCCTGTAATCCCAGCACTTTGGGAGGCCAAGGCGGGCAGATCACCTGAGGTCGGGAGTTTGAGACCAGCCTGGCCAACATGGTGCAACCCCGTCTCTACCAAAAATACAAAAATTAGCCAGGCGTGGTGGCGTGCGCCTGTAATCCCAGCTACCCAGGAGGCTGAGGCAGGAGAATCGCTGGAACCCGGTGGGCAGAGGCTGCAAGTGAGCCGAGATTACGCCACTGCACTCCAGCCTAGGTGACAGAGCAAGACTCTCTCAAAAAAAAAAAAATAAATATTTACCTGAGGCCAGGTGTAGTGGCTCACGCCTATAATCCCAGCACTTTGGGAGACCGAGGCAGGCGGATCATCTGAGGTTGGGAGTTCGAGACCAGCCTGGCCAACATGGAGAAACCCCATCTCTACTAAAAATACAAAATTAGCCAGATGTGGTGACGCATGCCTGTAATCCCAGGTACTCGGTAGGCTAAGGGAGGAGAATTGCTTGAACCCGGGAGGCGGAGGTTGTGCTGAGCTGAGATCGCGCCATTTTACTTCAGCCTGGGCAACAAGATCAAAACTCGGTTTAAAAAAAAGAAAAAATATATATATATTTACATCTATATATTTACATATATGTTTACATATATATGTATATTTACCTGAAATGTTGATTTGGTTCCATCTGAACAGCCTTTTTCAAGGACATTGTCTTTTTCAGCTATAGAGTTTGGCATTGTTTAGTTAATCTGTAAAATACAGATTGTAGTTATTATTTTTGAGACAGTCTCACTGGGTCACCCAGGCTGGAGTGCGTGGCACGCTCTTGGCTTGCTGCAACCTCTGTCTCCTGGGTTCAAGCAATTTTCCTGCCTCAGCCTCCTGAGTAGCTGGAATTACAGGTGTGTGCCACTCTGCCTGGGTAGTTTTTGTATTTTTTTAGTAGAGATGGAGTTTGGCCATGTTGGCCAGGCTCGTCTCAAACTCCTGACCTCAAGTGGTCCACCCGCCGCGGCCTCCCAAAGTTCTGAGATTATGGGTGTGATCCTCCGTGCACAGCCGGTCATTATTTTTTTATGTTGCTTTACCGTGTACAAAAAAAGTGCAGTACATTATATGACTCCTTTAGGAAACCTGTGCTTATTAAAGATTATGAAGTTACCTTGCGGATAAGTACAATGTATTTTGTCAGTTTTGTAAGATACACTTGAAGTATTTTTTTTTTTCTCGTTTGAGACGGAGTCTCGCTTTGTCACCCAGGCTTGAGTGCAGTGGCGCACTTTCGGCTCACTGCAACCTCCGCCTCCCGGATTCAAGCCATTCTCCTGCCTCAGCCTCCCAAGCAGCTGGGATTATAGGCATGCACCACCATGCCTGGCTCATTTTTGTATTTTTAGTAGAGACGGGGTTTCACTATGTTGGCCAGGCTGGTCTTGAACTCCTGACCTCAAGTGATCTGTCCACCTTGCCCTCCTAAAGTGCTGGGATTACAGGCATGAGTCACTGCATCCGGCCAGAGTTTTAATTTTTAATTTTTGTGGGTACATAGCAGGTCTATTTCAAAGTTTATTTTATTTTATATTTTTTGAGAGTGAGTCTCGCTCTGTCACCCAGGCTGGAGTGCACCCAGGCTGGAGTGCGGTGGCACGATCGCGATCTGGGTTCGCTACAGCCTGCGCCTCCTGGGTTCAAGCGATTCTCCTCCCTCAGCCGCCTGAGTAGCTGGGACTACAGGCAAGTGCCACCATGCACGGCTAGTTTTTGTATTTTTAGTAGAGACGGGGTTTCACTGCTTTAGTCAGGTTGGTCTTGATCTCCTGACCTCGTGATTCGCCCGCCTCGGCCTCCCAAAGTGCTGGGATTCCAGGTGTGAGCCACCACCGCGCCTGGCCCTTGAATACCGTTTATTAAAAATTTACGGGGCTGGGCGCGGTGGCTCACACCTGTAATCCCAGCACTTTGGGAGGCCGAGGCAGGCGAATCACGAGGTCAGGAGATCGAGACCATCCTGACTAACATGGTGAAACCCCGTCTCTACTAAAAATACAAAAAATTAGCCAGGCGTGGTGGTGGGCGCCTGTAGTCCCAGCTACTCGGGAGGCTGAGACAGGAGAATGTTGTGAACCTGGGGGGCAGAGCTTGCAGTGAGCCAAGATCGCACCACTGCACTCCAGCCTGGGCAACAGAGTGAGACTGTCTCAAAAAAAAAAAAAAAAGTACTATGTTGAGTATATTGGAGAAAAACTGACTTCAAATTTTCACTTGAAAGTATATGGGCCAGGTGCAGTACCTTATGCCTCTAATCCCAGTACTTTTTGGGAGGCCAAAGTGAGAGAATCACTTGAACCCAGGAGTTCTAGACTAGCCCAGAGAAGTTGGTGAAAACGGTTGTGTACAGAAAATTAAAAATCAGCCAGATGTGTTGGCACGCCTCTGTAGTCCTAGCTCTCTGGGAGGTGGAGGAGGAGGATCACTTGAGCCCAGGAGATTGAGGCTGCGGTGGCTGTCATTACACCACTGTATTCCATCCTGGGAGACAGCAAGAAACCACTGTCTTGAAAAAAAAAAGTATATGGTCCTTCAAAAACTAGGCTTGCTAGTTTTTGTTGCAAATTATCAATATAGTATAAGGAAGGGGAAAGTAGTATGTAGTTTTTAAAGTTTTTAAAATTGGCTGGGCACAGTACTGTAATCCCAGCACTTTGGGAGGCTGAGGCGGGTGGATCACGAGGTCAGGAGATCGAGACCATCCTGGCTAACATGGTGAAACCCCGTCTCTACTAAAAATACAAAAAATTAGCCGGGAATGGTGGTGGGTGCCTGTAGTCCCAGTTTATTGGGAGGCTGAGGCAGGAGAACGATGTGAACCCAGAAGGCAGAGCTTGCACTGAGCAGAGATTGCGCCACTGTGCTCCAGCCTGGGTGACAGAGCGAGACTCCAAAAACACACACACAAAAAAAGTTTTTAAAATTAATTATTTGAGACGGAGTCTGGCTCTGTCACCCAGGCTGGAGTGCATGGGGACAGGTGTGCGCCACCACACCCAGCTAATTTTTTGTATTTGTTTTTTAGTGGAGACGGGGTTTCGTCATTTCAGGCTAAGTGATGGAAGAAGACCCCATCTCAAAAAAAAAAAAAAAAAAGTAAATGATTGCCTTTTTATATGCTGTAAGTAAGTTTCAATGGTAGTAGCAGAAATTGTGTGCCCTTTGTCCTATGCATAATAATTGTAGACTTTGCAGTTGATGTAATTTTGACCATACACCACTCATCTAAAAAATATTTATTGTAATAGAGACATACCACATTAACCTTGAAATGTTGGATGGTAGTTCGAAAGTTAGCTCCGGCAAAAAAAAATAAAAAAATAAAAATTCTCTCGTCCAACTGAAAGGCAGGTATAGATGTTTTTCTTGCTTGGAATTGGAGGTTTAAAAATACTTTTTGAGGCTGAGTGTGGTGGCTCACGCCTGTAATCCTAGCGCTTTGGGTGGCCGAAGTGGGCGGATCATGAGGTCAGAAGTTAAAGACCAGCCTGGCCAACATAGTGAAACCCCGTCTCTACTAAAAATACAAACAAAATTAGCCGGGCATGGTGGTTGCGCGCCTGTAGTCCCAGCTGCTAGGGAGGCTGAGGGAGGAGAATCGCTTGAACTCTGGAGGCGGAGGTTGCAGTGAGCTGAGATGATGCCATTGCACTCCAACCTGGGTGAAAAACAAGACTCTGTCTCAAAAAAAAAGAAAAAAAATTTTTTGAGAGTATTGGCTACTCAAAGTGATATTGAACATGTAATTGCCAAATAAAACTTTTACATTTAACTCACTAATTTATTCTTTTCTTGTTGTGTTACCCATTATTTTTCCTTGCTGTGAAGCTTCCTAGCTGATGTGTCTACTACTGGTTTGGGCTTTTGACATTCTTTACATTAATATGGATAATATTTCACTTTTTTTTTTTTTTTTTGGTAAAAAACACAGGAGATTTATCTTTGTGAGGTCGAGGCAGGGGCAGGTCACATGAGGTCAGGAGTTTGAGGCTAGCCTATCCAATGTGGTGAAACCCCGTCTCTACTAAAAATACAAAAGTAGTTGGGGGTAGTGGCTCATACCTGTAATCCCAGCTACTCTGGAGACTGAGGCAGGAGAATGACTTGAACCCGGGAGGCAGAGGTTGCAGTGAGCCGAGATTGCACCGCTGCACTCCAGCCTGGGTGACAAGACCGAAGCTCCGTCTCAAAGAAAAGAAAAAAAAAATTAACCGTCTTAACCATTTTTAAATGCACACACATATTTGTTTTTGTAAGCTCCTTTATAGCACAGAGCGTGTCTCAGACATCTATAAATTTCCCATAACGTAAGTACTTAGTAGGTACTAGGAAGTAAGCCAACATTTTCTCCTGCAAAAATTGTACTAGTTTTTGAATGCCTGTCTTTATCTTGCAGTATGTTCATGCGGATGCTCCTACCAATAAAACACTGGCTGGGCTGGTGGTGCAGCTTCTTCAGTTCCAGGAAGATGCCTTTGGGAAGCATGTCACCAACCCGGCCTTCACCAAACTCCCTGTAAGTACATCAGCTTACTGTTATTTGGGCATCCTCAGTTGCTGTATACTTTTAGGTGTAGCATCCAGCTTTTTTCCTTTGCTGCTGCTAGCGTGTAGAATTTAAAAAAAAAAAGCAAAAAACAAATTTTAGTTATAGAATATTACTATTTTTTAAC
The DNA here is from genome assembly GCF_000001405.40 of Homo sapiens. NCBI lineage: Eukaryota > Metazoa > Chordata > Mammalia > Primates > Hominidae > Homo > Homo sapiens. The sequence continues at coordinate 47,772,659 of NC_000003.12, read as the reverse complement.
TGTAGGAAGCTGCTTTTTGAAGAGGCATTTAACATTTGCATTAAATATTGCAGCAGTCATTGTGAAGACCTAACAATATTTTACTATGTTGCAGTTCCCTATCCTCTCGCCGTACCGAGTCTTCTCCATGCTTTCTCCTGATGCAGCTCTTATGCCATAAATAGAATTTATGGAATTTTTTATATTTTGTAGGTGAGATACCTTCTGAAGTTGTGTGAGAATATAATTTTGGTGTCCTTGCAATTGTGTGTTTTATTTTTGTTTTTACAGACAGGATCTTGTTCTGTTGCCCAGGCTGGAGTGCAGTGGTTTGATCACAGCGCACTGCAGCCTTGATCTCCCGGCTCTAGCCATCTTCCCACCTCAGGTTCCCAAGAGGCTGGGACTACTAGCATGTGCTACCACGCGCATATGGGTGACTTTTAAATTTCTGTAGTGATGGGATCTTGCTGTGTTGCCCAGGCTGGTCTCAAATTTTTGGCGGGAAGGCGATCCTTCTGCATTGGCCTCTGAAAGCTCTTTGATTACTGGTGCGAGCCACCACACCAGCCCTTCTCTGCTATCTTTATTTTATTTAATTAATTTATTTATGAGACAGAGTCTCGCTCTGTCACCCAGGCTAGAGTGCAGTGGTGTGATTTCGGCTCACTGCAACCTGCAGCGATTCTTGTGCCTCAAGACTCCCGAATAGCTAGGATTACAGGTGCGCGCCACCACACCCAGCTAATTTTTGTATTTTTAGTAGACACATGGTTTCACCATGTTGGCCAGGCTGGTCTTGAACTCGCAGCCTCAAGTGATCCACCCACCTCGGCCTCCCAAAGTGCCGGGAGTACAGGTGTGAGCCACCACACCCAGCCTTTATTTTTATGTTATGATATGTTATGTTATGTTATATTATATCATGTTATTTTTTGAGATACAGTCTTGTTCTGTCGCCCAGGCTGGAGTGCAGTGGAGTGATCTTGGCTCACTGCAACCTCTGCCTCCCGGGTTCAAGCGATTCTCCTGCCTCAGCCTCCTGAGTAGCTGGGACTACAGGCATGCACCACCCACCGCACCTGGCTAATTTTTGTATTTTTAGTAGATATGGGGTTTCACTGTGTTGGCCCCGCTGGTCTTGAACTCAAGTGATTTCCCTACCTCGGCCTCCCAGAGCACTGGGATTACAAGTGGGAGCCACTGTGCCCAGCCTCTGCTATCTTATACTCCTTTATTTATATTTTCGAACTCTGATTTTACAAATACTAGCTTTTTAGGAATTGTCTGTCATATCTTTCCTCATAATTTTTGTCTTTTAATTCATTTTGGTTTTCGTTGTTTCTAGCGTGCTGTTAGCTGCCTGTATGAATCTATGATCAGTAGACCTTTTTTGTGGGGACTGTTCTTGATCACTAAATCGTTTAACAACTTACTGATCTTTCAAATATAATTGAGAATAAGAAATAATAGGCGGGGCGTCGTGGCTTATGCCTGTAATCCCAGCACTTTGGGAGGCTGAGGTGGGCGGATCACGATGTCAGGAGATTGAGAACATCCTGTCTAACAAGGTGAAACACCATCTCTACTAAAAGTACAAAAATTAGCCGGGCGTGGTGGCGGGTGCCTGTGGTCCCAGCTCCTTGGGAGGCTGAGGCAGGAGAATGGCATGAACCCGGGAGGCAGAGCTTGCAGTGAGCCGAGATTGCGCCACTGCCTCCGGCCTGGGCGACAGAGTGAGACTCCATCTCAAAAAAATAAATAAATAAATAAAATTTTAAAAAATAGTATTGTTTCGGTGATCTTGCTGTAAATGTGTTTGTCTGTGATGTTTTTATTATCCAAAAAGTTAAAGAAATTTAGTTAAATATATTGATGTGGTTACTTTTCTCATTTTGAATTATAATTGGGAAGCTTTTATCATTCCTAGGTTATAAAGGAATTCAGCAATGTGTTCTTTTAGTACTTGTATGATTTCATTTTTTACCTTTTTTTAATTTTAATTTATAAAGATAGAGACGGGGTGTTGCTGTGTTGCCTAGGCTGATCTTTTTTTTGGAGTCAAAGTCTTGCTGTGTTGCCCAGGCTGCAGTGCAGTGGTGCAATTTCAGCTCACCACGACCTCTGCTTCCCAGGTTCAAGTGAGTCTTGTACCTCAGCCTCCCGAGTAGCTGGGAATTCAGGCACCTGCCACCATGCCTGGTTAATTTTTTTGTGTTTTTAGTAGAGACGGGGTTTCACCATGTTGACCAGGCTGGTGTCGAACTCCTGATCTCAGGTGATCCACCCGCCTCAGCCTCCCAAAGTGCTGGGATTATAGGTGTGAGCCACTGTGCCTGGTCCCAGGCTGGTCTTGAACTCCTGGGCTCAAGTGATCTTCCTGCCTTGGCTTTGCAAAGTCCTGGGATTACTGGTATGAGTAACCATGCTCAGCCTTATTATTTATTTTTTTTTTGAGACAGTCTCACTCTGTCACCCAGGCTAGAGTGCAGTGGTACAATCTCAGCTCACTGCAAGTTCTGCCTACCGGGTTCATGCCATTCTCCTGCCTCAGCCTCCCGAGTAGCTGGGACTACAGGCGCCCACCACCACACTGGCTAATTTTTTTTTTGTATTTTTAGTAGAGACGGGGTTTCACTGTGTTAGCTAGGATGGCCTCAATCTCCTGACCTCGTGATCTGCCTGCCTCGGCCTCCCAAAGTGCTGGGATTATAGGCGTGAGCCACCGTGCCCGGCCCCAGCCTTATTTTTACATGTCACTCTCTTATCCATTTAGGATTTGCCCTGGTAGTTAGTGTGGGAAATGGCAGATCCATTTTTCTGTTTTTCCTTATGGTTATCTGGTTATTCCAGAAAAGTTTATTTAAAAGGGCTCCTTTTCTCCACTGATTGCAGCTCAGCAAATGTTAAGAATTTGATTAGGTGCAGGGTCCTAAGAATACAAACAAATACTTTATATTATTTGTCCTCAGGGGACTCACAGTCTAATGAGCTGTGTGAGTAGAGCCTTTGACTTACTTGGTGATGTCAGGAAATATTTCTGTGGAAAAGGACATTTGAATTGTGTCTTGAAAGTTGAGTGTGAGTTCTTCAGCTAAGTGGGGGAGGATGGGATTTTCAGGTAGTGGTGGCAACACATAAAAGTGTTATGGTTGGCGGAGTGCGGTGGCTCATGCCTGTAATCCCAGCACTTTGGGAGGCTGAGGAGGGCGGATCACGAGGTCAGGAGATCGAGACCATCCTGGCTAACAAGGTGAAACCCCGTCTCTACTAAGTAGCTGGGATTACAGGCACCTGCCACTGCGCCCGGCTAATTTTTGTATTTTCTAGTAGACACAGAGTTTCACCATCTTGGCCAGGCTGGTCTTGAACTCCTGACCTCATGATCCGGCCACCTCTGCTTCTCAAAGTGCTGGGATTACAGGCGTGAGCCACTGTGCCCGGCCCTTTTTTTTTTTTTTTTTTTTTTTGAGACGGAGTCTCGCTCTGTCATCCAGGCTGGAGTACAGTGGTGCGATCTCGGCTCACTGCAGCCTCCGCCTCCTGGGTTCAAGCAATTCTCATGCCTCAGCCTCCCCAGTAGCTGGGACTACAGGTGCCTGCCACCATGCCTGGCTTATTTTTGTATTTTTAGTAGAGACAAGGTTTCACCAGGTTGGCCACTCCTGGTCTTGAACTCCTGACCTCAGGTGATCTGCCCACCTCTCCCTCCCAAAGTGCTGGGATTACAGATGTGAGCCACCGCTCCCAGCTAGCTGCCTGATGTTTTTTATAACAAAAATTTAAACATACTTAAAAGTAAAAGCTTACAAGATTAGTATGAAGAACTTTTATTTTCTCTTCACTCAGAATCTACAGTTAACATTTTACCCATTTGCTTTATCATTATCATTTTCTGTGGGATGTGTGTGTGTTATGTATTTTATGTGTGAAAAATTTGAAAGTTCCATGTTCCTTTACAGCTAAAGTATTCATTTCCTGTTCTCTTACATTATGAACTGGGCTAGAATTATCAAATTAGCTATTGATTGAGGTTTTCAATAGTTTAATTCACTATAATATAGTACATATTGATTGCACTTTATTAATTGTAACATAATTTAGAGTAAAATTACAGATTACATTATATAAAGTATTTTACATAATACGATTGAAATTATATTGGGATTCTTAATTAGGAATGTATGAATCTTTTCAAAAATGGTGTTTTCAGAGAGTGTTATATGTAGGCTATTTGACTCCTGGGAACTAAACCATTATTTAGTTCCAGATTTTAAAATATTAGGGAAGAATATTTTTAGGCAGAAGCCGTAATTAAAAACAATTCCTGGTTTAGTGCCACTGGGAACCGATGTACTTGCCTTCCTCTCAAAATGGTGTTCAACACTTTCCCAGATGAAAGGGATTGATACAATCCATAATGGTATAAAACAAAATTCGATGAGATAGATAATTAACAAAGCAAAGAATGTTTCAGTGAGACATATAAATCACATACTTTAAAAAGTTTTTTCCCTGAGTAATCAGTATGGTATAAGAGTTTATGCTGGGCATGGCTCACACCTGTAATCTCAGCACTTTGGGAGGCCAAGGTGGTCAAAACTCTTGAGCCCAGGAGTTTGAAACTAGCCTGGGCAACATAGGCCCCGTCTCTACAAAGAAATACAAGAAAAATTATCTGGGTGTGGTGGTGCCTGCACGCTTGTAGGCCCAGCTACTTGGGAGGCTGAGGTGGGAGGATCACTTGAGCCTGGCAGACAGAGATTGCAGTGAGCTGAGACTCTGTCTTAAAAAAAAAAAAAGAGTTCACTGTTTTTTTGTTGTTGTTGTCGTTGTCCAGGCTGGAGTGCAATGGCGCAGTCTTGGCTCACTGCAACCTCTGCCTCCCGGGTTCAAACTATTCTCCTGCCTCAGCCTCCCGAGGACCTGGGATTACAGGCGCCCACCACCACGCCCAGCTAATTTTTGTATTTTTAGTATAGACGGGGTTTCTCCATGTTGGCCAAGCTGGTCTCGAACTCCTGAACTTGTGATCCACCCGCCTCGGCCTCCCAAGGTGCTGGGATTACAGGCGTGAGCCACCGCACCCGGCCGAGTTCACTATTTGGACTTTTTTTTTTTTTTTTTAAATCAGAGTGGAGGCTGGGTGCGGTGGCTCACACCTTGTAATCCCAGCACTTTGGGAGGCTGAAGTGGGTGGATCACCTCAGGTTGAGAGTTCGAGACCAGCCTGACCAACATGGAGAAACTCCATGTCTACTAAAAATAAAAAATTAGCCGAGTGTGGTGGTACATGCCTGTAATCCCAGCTACTCAGGAGGCCGAGGCAGGAGAATCACTTGAACCCGGGAGGTGGAGTTTATAGTGAGCCGAGATTGTGCCCATTGCACTCCAGCCTGGGCAACAAGAGCGAAACTCCATCTCAAAAAAAAAAAGAGAAAAAGGAAAAGAAAAAAATCAGAGTGGAACCTTTTTTTTTTTTTTTTTTTTTCTTTTTGGAGACAGAATCATGCTCTGTTGCCCAGGCTGGAGTGCAGTGGTGTGATCTCGGCTCACTGCAACTTCCGCCTCCTGGGTTCAGGCGATTCTCCTGCCTCAGCCTCCCAAGTAGCTGGGACAACAGGTGCCCGCCACCACGCCCGGCTAATTTTGTTTTGTATTTTAGTAGAGACAGGGTTTCACTGTGTTAGCCAGGATGGTCTTGATCTGACCTCGTGATCCGCATGCCTCGGCTTCCCAAAGTGCTGGGATTACAGGCGTGAGCCACCATGCCCAGCTAGAGTGGAACTTTATATAGTAACTTCCCAAGTCATGCTGGATGTCGGACAGCTGGCTCTTGTTCTATCAAATGCTGAGAGATTTAGAAAGAACCAAGCATTTCATAAGGCTAAGGCTAAAGGTATATTGCATTACCAAACACATGATTTGAAACAAAAAAAATTGCTAAGAAGATGTGGGTATAAAACAAAAAAGAAAAATATATTTTACCTTCACTACAAGTAAAGTTTCTAATTTTCCCACAAGCCCTCCAAGGCTTTAGTACGTGTGCATACATAATGTAAACATAATTGTAATAATAGGATAGAGCTGTTTTTCTTTTTTTGAGACAGGGTCTCTCTCACTCTGTCACTCAGGCTGGAGTGCAGTGGCATGATCTCAACTCACTGCATATTCGACCATGACTTTCCAGACTCAGGTAGATCCTCCCACCTCACCCTCCTGAGTAGTTGGGACAAGCATGCACCACTACACCCTGCTAATTTTTGTTTTTTTTTTTTGTAGAGACAGGGTTTTGCCCTGTTGCCCAGACTGTTCTCGAACTCCTGGGCTCAGGCAGTCTTTCCGCCTTGGCCCCCCAAAGTCCTGGGTTTACAGACATGAGCCACAGTGCCCGGCCTAGAGCTGTTTTTTTATTCTGCATTTTAAAATGGATTATAAGCATCTGTGTTTAAAAAAACAGGAAAGCTCTGAGAGTAAGAAATATAGAAGGTTAAGTGAGAGTCTCAAGTAACTGGATTTTAATTGTGTTTGGGAGATATCCAAGATTTTGTTTTCTTTTTTACGTGACACAGCTCCAGGAGATCTTGAGAACATGTACCCTTATGCCCAAAATTGTAAACCTGTCATTGCACTTAAAAAAATCATTTAGGCTGGGGGCAGTGGCTCACGCCTGTAATCCCAGCACTTTGGGAGGCTGAGGTAGGTGGATCACCTGAGGTCAGGAGTTCGAAACCAGCCTGGCCAACATGGTGAAACCCTGTCTCTACTACAAATACAAAAATTACCCGGGTGTGGTGGCAGGCGCCTGTAATCCCAGCTGCTCGGGAGGCTGAGGCAGGAGAACTGCTAGCCCCCAGGAGGCGGAGGTTGCAGTGAGCCAAGATCATGCCACTGTACTCCAGCCTGGGCGACAGAGTGAGACTCCATCTCAAAAAAAAAAAAAAATTAATTTGCAACTGGAGGAAAAATGTAGAATATTATATTCCTGAACTGATTTCACTCTGCTGTTGTATGAATTTCAGAATGGAGAGACTATCTTTGGGAACATGGGACTAGGAAGGAGACCGTAAGTGTTGTATATATATTTGAAGTGAGCATTTGAGTTTGTAGCTTAGAACTCTGTCTGATGAAAGTGGAATATGAGCACCTGTTTAAGCAAAATAGTGTAGGAAATTTACTTGTGGAATAATGGTTTAGTTTCTTTCTTTTTTTTTTTAAACAACTTCCTATTGTAAAATATATAGAAAGTGAGTAAAATAAATTTTGACTTAAATAATTATAAAGAGAACATCCATTTAACCACAGTCCAGGTCAGAAATTGCTAACAACCCTAACAAACGTATGTGTTCCTTCCCCAACCATAAACTCCTCTTTTTCCCCACAGATAATCTTTTCCTTGCCGTTTTTTTTTTTGTATGTTTTTGTTTTTGAGACAGAGTTTCTCTCTTGTTGCTCAGGCTGGCGTGCAATGGCACGATCTCGGCTTACTGCAACCTCTGCCTCCCGAGTTCAAGCGGTTCTCTTGCTTCAGCCTCCTGACTAGCTGGGATTACAGGCATGCGCCACCACGCCCGGCTAATTTTGCATTTTTGGTAGAGACAGGGTTTCTCCATGTTGTTCAGGCTGGTCTTGAACTCCCGACCTCAGGTGGTCTGCCTGCCTCAGCCTCCCAAAGTGCTGGGATTACAGGCGTGAGCCACCGCGCCTGGCCTCCTTGCTTTTCTTTATAGGTATCACTGTGTTAGTGTGCATCCCTGAATAATATAGTATTATGTTTTGCTTGTTTTTGAATTTTGTACTAATGAACTCATAGATATTCTTGTAACTTGGGGGCCATGTAGGAAATAATTTGCCAACATGGAGAAAACAAATAGTCTAACTGAACTGCTCAGCCACATACGTGTGGATAAAACAAATTACTGTAGAAGAATAGTTAAATCTGAAAAATCTAGTTAGCTAGCTTCTGGCCTTTATAATTCATGTGCAAGGGCAGTGAGCCTACATGATGTAGCATGACCAGTTAGATAGAGCTCAGTAGGCTGCAGAATATGGGCTGCTGTGCTGGAGACATGGACTAGTATTCCAGGCAGAGGGCATGCTGGACCAGGTGGTGGGCAAGGCTCTGGAAAGCTATATGATCAACTTCAGTGCAGGTTTGTACTCCGTACCATGTGGATTCGTAGGTAGAAACCTGAGTTCACTGACATTGTACTTATTTATTTGATTGATGTTTCATTTATTTATTTTTTCTATATTTTTACTTTTTTCATCTTTCTCTCTCTCCCTGTAATGTGTCCTACAGCTTTGCTGAAGTATGGCCAATGTACAGTGAACAGTACATATTTAGCTGGGCACACTGGCTCATGCCTGTAATCCAGACTACTTGGGAGACTGAAGTAGGAGGGTCACATGAGGCAAGGAGTTTGAGACCAGCTTGAGCAACATATTGAGACCCTATTTATCAGAAAAACTAAAAATTAGTCGTGCATGGTGGTGTGTGATTGTGGTCCCAACTACTTGGGAGCTGACCCAGGAGGATCACTTGATCCCAGGAGTTAGAGGCTGCCATGAGTTACAGTAGTACTACTGCTGCACTCTAGCCTGAGTGATAGAGCGAAATCCCATCAATATCTCTTTCTCTTTTTTTTTTCCTAAAGAGAAAGGCTGGGTGCAGTGGTTCATGCTTATAATCTTAGCATTTTGGGTGGCTGAGGCTAGAGGAGTCCTTGAGCCCAGGAGTTTGAGACCAGCCTGGACAACATGGTGAGAGCCGTCTACAAAAAATAAAAAAAAATTAGCTTGGTGTGGTGGTGCATGCCTGTGGTCCCAGCTACTTTGGGAGGCTGAGGTAGGAGGATCTCTTGAGCCCAGGAGGTTGAGGCTGCAGTGGGCTATAATCATGCCACTGCACTCCAGCCTAGGCGACAGTGAGTCCCTGTTTGAGAAAAAAAACCTAACTGAAGTATTTTGTGTTGTGAAAATATAGTGTAAACATAAAACAGAATACTGTATATATATATTTTTTTTCTTAAAAAAAAAATCTCAGCTGGGCACTGTGGCTCATGCCTATCTATAATCCCAACACTTTGGGAGGCCTAGGTGAGTGGGTCCTCTGAGCTCAAGAGTTTGAGACTAGCCTGAGCAACAATCTTGTGAAATTGAGCTTTTCTTAATATATCTACAAAAATGTAAAGTGTAATACTGACGTATTTTAAAGCAGTTGTCAGAACTCACTGAAAAAATTATTATGTTTTTATAATTTTTTTTTTTTTTAGAGCTGGAGTCTCGCTATTGTTGCCCAGGCTGGTCCCAAACTCCTGGGCTCAAGCTATCCTCCTGCCTTGTCCTCTGAAAGTGTTGACCCAAAAGGGCTGGGTGTGGTGGCTCATGCCTGTAATCCTAACGTTTTGGGAGGCTGAGGCAGGAGGATCACTTGAGCCCAGGAACTCGAGACTAGCCTGGGCAACAAAGTGAGACCCTGTCTCTAAAAAAGATTGAAAAATAAAAAAGAGGAAAAGAAAGATTATTACTGTTGAAGAAGGAGATGCATTGAGGAGATGGATACACCTATTTTAAGGGAACTATCATTCAACGTTTTCTCTTTTTTTTTTTTTTGAGATGGAGTCTCGCTCTGTCGCCCAGGCTAGAGTGTAGTGGCGTGATCTCGGCTCACTGCAACCTCCGCCTCCTGGGTTCAAGCAATTCTCCTGCCTCAGCCTCCCGAGTAGCTGGGACTACAGGTGCCTGCCACCACACCTGGCTAATTTTTTGTATTTTTAGTAGAGACAGGGTTTCACCGTGTTAGCCAGGATGGTCTCGATCTCCTGACCTCGTGATCTGCCCGCCTCGGCCTCCCAAAGTGCTGGGATTACAGGCGTGAGCTACTGCACCCAGCCACACCTGGCTAATTCTTATATTTTTAGTAGCGACAGGGTTTCACCATGTTGGCCAGGCTGATCTCAAACTCCTGACCTCAGGTGATTCTCCCATCTCGGCCTCCCAAAGTGCTGGGATTACAGGTGTGAGCCACTGTGCCTAGCCTCATTCAACATTTTCTAAATTTATTTTCAATTGTTACGTGATTTGGTGGAACACCTGTAAATACGTTGAGCATAAAATGTTGTCATAGCCAGTTCTAACAAATGTGGTGGTGTGATTGAACTGGATAATACTATTTTGGGATGTTTTAGATGAGTCACAGTTCATAAGCTATCTCTTTCTGACACCTTTGAATTTCTTCCCAGTAAGTATGACTGACCTCATGGCAGGAATTCTCACCAACTGGATCAGTCTGGTGTAATGGAAAGGGTGGGAGTTGGAGGACTGTCACTTTAACAGTCTGTTTTCATTTGATTGAATAAACCGTTTGGAACGTGAAGTTAATAAGAAGGGGCTTACAGTTGGAGTTGGACTTGATCACTGGTTTTATAATTATTTCCTGGGGAGTACCTGTAGCATCTGAGAAGAGGGAGGGGAGGAGTAAATGCAGAGGGCTAAGAAGAATCTGTTGTCTTCAAGTTTCACTTTGAACAATTTTTCTTAATAGTCCTCTCTCTGAGTTTCTAAAAATGTTCTGTGGCAAAGGAATAGGAGAAAGCAAGCTGGGCATGGTAGCTCACGCCTGTAATCCCAGCACTTTGGGAGGCTGAGGCGGGCGGATTACCTGAAATCAGGAGTTCTGGACCAGGCTGGTCAACCTTGTGAGATCCTGTCTCTACTAAAAATACAAAAAAAATCCCAGCTATTCAGGAGGCTGAGGCAGGAGAATAGCTTGAACCTGAGAGGCAGAGGTTGCAGTGAGCCAAGATTGTGCCACTGCACTCCAGCCTGGGCAACAGAGTGAGACTGTGTCTCAAAAAGAAAAAAATGAAATAGGAGAAAACTATTGAATTTGGCAAATGTTATGATCTCTCTTACTGAACATTTTATGATCCGTATGTGAGAATGGTATTGTTTTGCCAAAATCATGCTGATTCTAGGACTTTGTGGAATGGATGAGGGAGAAAACAGATTAGCATATAGGTCTTGGAAGCAAGAATAAAAGGATGGACTTACGTGAAAGAAATCAGCAGTCGTAGTCACTTGAGTTGTCATCATCCATCAGGTCCAATCTAGCAGGGAGGGAATAGCTTGAGAGACTTGAGACTGAGGCACAGATCTCTGTAGAACATGGGATTTATCCTGGCAAATACAGTGATCAAATTTAGGAGATTGGCTTTGATATAATACCATTATTTACCATATAATCTATCTTCACATTTCACCAGTTGTCTCAAAAATGTCCTTTATAAGATCCACACCAACACCACATATTTTATTTAGTTATATATTTTTAGTCTTATTTAATTTGAGATAATTCAGCCTGTCTTTTTTTTTTCTGAGATACTGCCTTGCTCTGTCACCCAGGCTAAAGTACAGTGGTATGGTCATAGCTCACTGCAGCCTTGACCTCCAGGGATCAACTGATCCACCTGCCTCAGCCTCCTGAGTGGCTGAGACCACAGACACATTCCACCACGCCTGGCTTTTCTTTTCTTTTCTTTTTTTTTAGACAGAGTCTTGCTCTGTTACCCAGTCTGGAGTGTGGTAGCGCGATCTCAGCTCACTGCAGCCTCCCCTTCCCGGGTTCAAGCCATTCTCCTGTCTTAGCCTCCCAAGTAGCTGGGATTACAGGTGTGCACCACTACACCCAGCTAATTTTTGTATTTTTAGTAGAGATGGGGTTTCACCATGTTGGCTAGGCTGGTCTCGAACTACTGACCTCAAGTGATCTGCCTGCCTTGGCCTCCCAAAGTGCTGGGATTACAGGTGTGAGCCACAGCACCTGGCCAAATTTTTTAATTTTTAATTTGATAGAGATAGGGTCTCACTGTGTTACCCAGGCTGGTTTTGAACTCTTGGACTGAAGAAGTCCTTCTGCCTTGGCCTTCCAAAGTACTGGGATTGCTGCTTTGAGCTACCACGCACAGCTGATTGACGTTTGTTTGTTATGACTTACATTTTTGTTGTTGTTTTTTGAGACAGAGTCTTGCTCAGTTGCCCAGGCTGGAGTGCAGTAGCACAATCTTGGCTCACTGCAGTCTCCTCCCCTACCAGGTTCAAATGATTCTCCTGCCTCAGCCTCCCCAGTAGCTGGGATTACAGGCATGCGCCACAACGCCCAGCTAATGTTTGTATTTTTAGTAGAAACTGGGTTTCACCATGTTGGCCAGGCTGGTCTCCAACTCCTGACCTCAGGTAACTGTCAGCCTTGGCCTCCCAAAGTGCTGAGATTACTGGCATGAGCCACTCCCTCTGGCCCATGACTTAACATTTTTGAAGCATGCAGACAAATGTTACATTTGTAAAAATTTCTTTTTTTTAATTTTTTTGAGACAGCCTTTCTCTGTTGCCCAGGCTGGAATGCAGTGGTACGATCCTGGCTCACTGCAGTCTGCCTCCTGGGTTCATGCGATTCTCATGCCTCAGCCTCTAAAGTAGCTGATTAACAGGTGTGCACCACCATTCCCAGCTGATATTTTGTATTTTTGGTAGAGATGGGGTTTCACCATGTTAGCCATGCTGGTCTCAAACTCCTGGCCTCAAGTGATCTGCCCGTCTCGGCCTCCCAGAGTGGTGGGATTTCAGGCGTGAGCCACCATACCTGGCCTCAAATTTTTCTGTGTTATTGCTTATAGTTGTAATTTGTTTATTGTCATTGCTGTGTACGGGCTGATACATTTTTTCTTTTTCTTTTTTTTCTGGAGATGGAGTCTCGCTTTTGTTGCCCAGGCTGGAGTGCAATGGCATGATCTCAGCTCACTGCAACCTCAGCCTCCCGAGTTCAAGCGATTCTCCTGCGTCAGCCTCCCGAGTAGCTGGGATTACAGGCACCCGCCACCACACCCAGCTAATTTTTTTGTATTTTTAGTAGAGATGAGGTTTCACCATGTTGGCCAGGCTGGTCTTGAACTCCTGACCTCAGGTGATCCACCTGCCTCAGCCTCCCAAAGTGCTGGGATTACAGGCATGAGCCACTGCGCCTGGCTAAATTTTTTCTTTTTCTTTTTTTTTTTTTTTTTTGAGACGGAGTCTAGCTCTGTCCCAGACTGGAGTGCAGTGGTGGAATCTTGGCTCACTGCAATCTCCGCCTCCCGGGTTCAAGCTATTCTCCTGCCTCAGCCTCCCGAGTAGCTGGGATTACAGGCACGCCCCACCATGCTCGGCTAATTTTTGTATTTTTAGTAGAGACGGGGTTTCACCATGTTGGCCAGGCTGGTCTTGAACTCCCGACCTTGTGATCTGCCCGCCTCAGCCTCCCAAAGTGCTGGGATTACAGGTATGAGCCACCACGCCCAGCCTAATTTTTTTTGCTAAAGGGACAGAGTGTACTGTATGCTGTGGCTCACTCCCATAATCCAAGCATTTTGGGAGGCTGAGGTGGGTGGATCACTTGAGTCCAGGAGTTCAAGACCAGCCTGGACAACATGGCAAAAGCTGGTCTCTACAAAAAAATATCAAAATTAGCCAGGCGTTTGGGAGGGCCCCTGTCGTCCCAGCTATTTGGGAGGCTGAGGTGGGAGGATTGCTTGAGCCAGGTGGCGAAGGTTGTAGTGAGCTGAGATTGCACCTCTGCACTATGGCCTGGATGAAAGTGACACCCTGTTTCTCCTCTTTTTTTTTTGGGTCAGAGTTTCGCTCTTGTTGCCCCGGCTGGAGTGCAATGGTGCGATCTCAGCTCACCGCCACCACCGCCTCCCTGGTTCAAGTGATTCTCCTGCCTCAGCCTCCTGAGTAGCTGGGATTACAGGCATGCACCATCACGCCTGGCTAATTTTGTGTTTGTGTTTATCTTGGCCAGGCTGGTCTCAAACTCCTGACCTCAGGTCATCCACCCACCTCAGCCTCCCAAAACGTAGGATTACAGGCCTGAGCCACCGCGCCCGGCCAACACCCTGTTTCTAAATAAATAAATAAATTAATTAATTAAAGGGACAGATAGTAAATATTCTAGATAGTAAATATTTTAGGCCTGTAGGCTCTGTGGGCTCTGTTACAGCCACTCAGTGTAGTATGAAAGCAGCTATATACAATACGTAAATGAGTGTATGTATATGCAGTACATAATAAGTATGGCTGTGTACTGGTAAAACTTTAATTTTGATTTTTTTGAGATGGTACCCTGTTGTGTTACCAGGTTGGAGTGGTGTCCTGAATGAACACAGCTCACTGCAGCCTTGACCTCTAGGGCTTAAGCAATCCTCTTGTCTTAGCCTAGGCATATACTACCACGTGTGGCTAGTTTTTGTTTTTTTTTTTTTGCGAGGCTGAAGTGGGAAGATTGCTTGAGCCCAGGAGTTCAAAACCAGCCTGGGTTAGATAGTGAGACCACATCTCTACAGAATATTAAAATATTAGCGTCAGCATGTTGGCAAACTCCTGTGGTTGGAGCTACTTAGGAGGTTGAGGTGTGAGGATCACTTGAGCCCAGGAGTTGAAGGCTGCAGTGAGTAGTGATCATTCCACTGCACTCCAGCCTGGGTGACACAGTGAGACCCTTGTTGTTTTTCGATAGCTGTTTCATAATTTGCCAACAGTTGCTGTATAGTATTCCGTTGTGGGAATACACCACAATTTTTTTTATTCATTTTGCATTGATAGGCTTTTGGGGTAATTTGCAGCTTAGAGCTATTATAAATAGTGCTGTTGTGAATATTTTTATATATTTCTTTTGCTCAACTTAGATGTTTCTTTTGGTTGTGTTCTTAAGAGTTTACTTGCTATGTCATAGGTTGGTCAACTTTAGTAGATGTTGCTAAACAGGTTTCCACAGCAGTTCTACCAATTTATACTCCCACAAACAGTGTATGAGCATTCTGATTTTCTTTTCTTTCTTTCTTTCTTTTTTTTTTTTTTTTGATACGGAGCCTCGCTTTGTCGCCCAGGCTGGAGTGCAGTGGCGGGATCTCGGCTCACTGCAAGCTCCGCCTCCCTGTTTCATGCCGTTTTCCTCCCTCAGCCTCCCGAGTAGCTGGGACTACAGGTGCATGCTGCCATGCCCGGCTAAGTTTTTGTATTTTTAGTAGAGATAGGGGTTCACCAGTTTCACGTGTTAGCCAGGATGGTCTCGATCTCCTGACCTCATGATCCACCTGCCTTGGCCTCCCAAAGTGCTGAGATTACAGGCATGAGCCACCACACCTGGCTGAGCGTTCTGATTTTCTACTTTCTCACCAATCCTTGGAATCTTTTTGTCTTTTACATTTTGGTTATTTAGTAGATTTGTGGTTATAATGCATTATTTTCTAGTTGCTAATAATTAATTAATGTGAGCAACTTTATTTATTGGCCACTTGGCTATCCTTTTTTGAGAAGTACCTGTTTAAATCTTTTGCCTGTTTAAAAATTTGCACATTGGTCTTTCTCTCTCTCTTTTTTTCTTTTCTTTTTTGAAACGGGGTCTGGCCTAATCACCCAGGCTGGAGTACATTGCCTTGATCATAGCTCACTGCGGCCTCAAACGCCTGGGCTCAGAGGATCTTCCCACCTCAGCCTCTCAAGCAGCTGGGACTACCAGTCCACACCACCACACCCGGATAATTTTTTCTGTTTTTTTGTAGAGACAGTCTCGCCTGATTGCCCAGGCTGATCTCAAACTCCTGGGCTCAAGTGATTCTCCCAGCTCGGCGTCCCAAAGTGCTGGGATTACAGGCGTGAGTCACCATACCTGGCTGAATTTTTCTTAGGTATTCTGGATATGGTTCATTGGTCAGAAATATTTATTCCAGATCTCTTCTCCCACTTAATAGTTTATGTTTTTACTCTCATAATGATGTCCTTTGATGAGCAGAGGTTTGTACTTGTCATATACAGCAGGAAACGGTAAACTTTTTCTGTAAAATACCAGATATTTTGGGCCTTTTGGGTCATATGGTTTGTGATGCAAGTACTTGCTTTTGCTGCTATTGTGTGAAAGTAGCCACAAGAAATACATGAATGTGAATTTGCTTCAGTAAAACTTTACAAAAACAAGAGTGGACTACATTTGACCCGTGGACCATTATTTGCCATTTCCTGATACAGAACAATTTAGTAAAATTTTTCTGTGTTGTTAATACTTTTTGTGTTCTTATAGAAATCTTTGCCTTTTTTTTTTTTTTTTTTTTTTGAGACGGAGTTTCGCTCTTGTTGCCCAGGCTGGAGCGCAATGGCGCGATCTCAGCTCACTGCAACCTCCGCCTCCCGGGTTCAAGTGATTCTCCTGCCTCAGCCTCTTGAGTAGCTGGAGTTACAGGCATGCGCCACCATGCCTGGCTGGTTTTGTATTTTTAGTAGAGACGGGGTTTCTCCATGTTGGTCAGGCTGGTCTCGAACTCCTGACCTCAGGTGATCTGCTCGCCTAGGCCTCCCAAAGTGGTAGGATTACAGGCATGAGCCACCACGCCTGGCCAGAAATCTTTGCCTTTTCTGAAGTCATGTATATATTCTTCTGTATTTTCTTCAAGAAGCTTTATTATTTATTTATTTTGAGATGCAGTATTGCCCTGTAGCCCAGGCTGGAGTGCAATGGCGCGATCTTGGCTCCCTGCAACCTCTGCCTCCTGGGTTCAAATGGTTCTGCTGCCTCAGCTTCCTGAGTGGCTGTAGCTGGGATTATAGGCGCCCGCCACCACGCCCAGCCTTTTTTTTTTTTTTTTTTTTTTTTTTTTTTTAAGATGAAGCCTGGCTCTGTCACCCGGGCTGAAATGCAGTGGCACCATCTCAGCTCACCGTAACCTCCGCCTCCCGGATTCAAGCGATTCCCTTGCCTCAGCCTTCAGAGTAGCTGGGATTACAGGTGCCTGCCACCACGCCTGGCTACTTTTTGTATTTTTAGTAGAGACGTGTTTCACCATGTTGGTCAGGCTGGTCTCGAACTCCTGACCTTGTGATCGGCCCGCCTCGGCCTCCCAAAGTGCTGGGATTACAGACATGAGCCACCGCGCCTGGCCTATTTTTTGTATTTTTAGTAGAGACGGAGTTTAACCATGTTGGCTAGGGTGGTCTCGAACTCCTGACCTCATGATCCGCCCGCCTTGACCACCCAAAGTGCTGGGATTACAGGCATGAGCCACCGTGCCTGGCCTGTTTTACATTTTAAACTTATAATTCTTTTTTTTTTTAAATTCGCTTTTTATTTAATTAGTTTTTCTTTTTTTTTTTTTTGAGACAGAGTCTTGCTCTGTTGCCCAGGCTGGAGTGCAGTGGCGCGATCTCAGCTCACTGCAAGCTCTGCCTCCCGGGTTCACGCCATTCTCCTGCCTCAGCCTCCCAAGTAGTTCGGACTACAGGCTGCCACCGTGCCTGTCTAATTTTTGTATTTTTTTTTAGACAGGGTTTCACCTTGTTAGCCAGGATGGTCTCGATCTCCTAACCTCATGATCAGCCCGCCTCAGCCTCCAAAAATGCTGCGGTTACAGTCATGAGCCACCGTGCCCGCCCTTAATTAATTTAGTTTTTGAGACAGACTCTCACTCAGACTGAAGTGCAGTGGTGCGATCTTGGCTCACTGCAGCCTCCACCTTCTGGTTTCAACCAGTTTTCCTGCCTCGGCCTCGCGAGTAGCTGGGATTACAGACGTGCATAACTGTGCCCGGATAATTTTTATTTATTTATTTTTGAGACAGAGTCTTGCTCTGTCATCCAGGCTGGAGTGCAGTGGCACGATCTCAGCTCACTGCAGCCTGTGCCTCCTGGGTTCAAGCGATTCTCCTGTCTCAGTTTTCCAAGTAGCTGGGATTACAAGTGCCCGCCACCATGCCTGACTAATTTTTCTATTTTTAGTAGAGACAGGGTTTCACCATGTTGGCTAGGCTGGTCTCGAACTCCTGACTTACAGTGGTTTGCTTGTTTTGGCCTCCCAAAGTTCTGGCATTACAGGCGTGGGGCACTGTGCCTAGCCTAGGGTTGTATTTTTTACCTCGCATGATTACCACTTTGACTTTTAGTTGTTTCTTTTTTTTCCTCCCTTTGATTTTTGCACCTGGGGATTTGCTTTCTTTCTAGGAATTCAGCTGCTCATTTAAAATAATGCGTGTTACTTTTACCCAACATTTCTACATGTTTATAGTGGTAGAGTGTAATAGTTCTTTAGTATACAATATTGCTGGAGCCAGCAACACTTTTCTCATCTGTAAAATGGGTGTAAAAGAGTAAAGTTCAGGCCAGGAGCCGTGGCTCACACCTGTAATCCCAACACTTTGGGAGGCCGAGGCTGGTGGATCACGAGGTCAAGAGATCGAGACCATCCTGGCCAACATGGTGAAACCCTGTCTCTACTAAAAATACAAAAATTAGCTGGGCGTGGTGGTGCGCGCCTGCAGTCCCAGCTACTGAGGAGGCTCAGGCAGGAGAATTGCTTGAACCTGGGAGGCGGAGGTTGCAGTGAGCTGAAATTGCACCACTGCACTCCAGCCTGGCGACAGAGCGAGACTCAGTCTCAAAAAAAAAAAAAAGAGTAAAGTTCATATGCTTGTTGTGACAAGTAAATGAGGAAATAAGTCAAAAGTGCTTCATGATAAATTCTCAGTGATTGGTGTCAATGCTAATACTTTTTGTTGTCTCCAAGACTATTACGGTAGCAGTGACCTATCATTAGAGGTGCTGATAATAATACAAATTCCAAATAAGTTTAATAGATAAGTAAATGTATGGAATTTTTGACGTGTGTCATTTTATTTTGTGAGGTATAAGAATTCTGGAATTTAAATGATGTATTTTTTTCTCTTTCAACCATTTTCAAGGTGTGAGGATGACTTTGTGATTTCTTGTGAACTTTCTTGGACACATTCTCTGCTTATTTACTACTTCACATCCCTTTTCTGGCACAGTCATTTATTGACTGATAGACCTAAACATAGTGTTAGAAATGTGAATACTCCTTTCATAGAAACACGTTTCTTTTTACCAATTGTTAGCACTACTTTGTCTTTTTTTTTTTTTTTTTTTTTGAGATGGAGTTTTGCTCTTGTTGCCCAGACTGGAGTGCAGTGGCGCAATCTCAGCTCACTGCAACCTCCGCCTCCCGAATTCAAGCGATTCCTGCCTCAGCCTCTCGAGTAGCTGGGATTACAGGCATGCACCACCACGCCCGGCTGATTTTTTTTGTATTTTTAGTAGAGACGGGGTTTCACCTTGGCCAGGCAGGTCTTGAACTCCTGACCTCAGGTGATCCGCCCGCCTCGGCCTCCCAAAGTGCTCAGATTACAGGCATGAGCCATCGCACCCGGCCTACTTTGTCTTTTATGAATAAATAAAGGAATAAAGAAATAAGGAATCCATGGCACAAATTATTGTAGTAGATTTATCTTCTCTTTTCTTCTTTTTTTTTTTTTTTTGGAGATGGAGTCTCGCTCTGTTGCCCAGGCTGGAGTGCAGTGGTGCGTTCTCAGCTCACTGCTACCTCCACCTCCTGGGTTCAAGTGATTCTCCTGTCTCATCCTCCTGAGTAGCTGGGACTACAGACGTGTCCCACCACGTCCGACTAAGATGGGGTTTTACCATGTTGGCCAGGATTGTCTCAGACTCCTCACCTCGTGATCCGCCCCCCTTGGACTCCCAAAGTGCTGAGATTACAGGCGTGAGCCGTAGTGCCCGGCCTAGATTTATTCTAAGTTTCATTCAGCTCAGCAAGATTTTAGGTGGGCTATAAATAAGTAGGGTGAAACCACTTATATATACCCAGGATAAGATCAGATTAAATTTCCAATAGAGTCAGCCAGGGATAGAATTGTTTATTAAAAGCAATTGGGTCACACAGTTGAGAGTAGAGGCAGCCTGTTAGAGTTGACTTTGACCCCCAGAGTCTCTAATTGGAGTGTTCAGCTGTTGAGATACTCATATAAGGCATCATTTTGCTGGCTCTAGAAATTTCAGTTTTTGCTACTTTTTTTTGTTTGTTTTTTTCAGACAGGACTGTGATCATGGGTCACTGCAGCTTCAGCCTCCTAGGCTCAACTAGCCCTCCTGACTCAGCCTACTGGGTAGCTGGGAGGTACATCCTACCATGCCGGGCTAATTTTATTTTAATTATTTTCTAGAGACAGGGTTTCGCTCTGTTATGTTGCTCAGGGTGTTCTTGTACTCCTGGCCTGAAGTGATCCTCCTGTCCCGGCCTCTCAACGTGTTAGAATTACAGGTGCGAGCCACTGCATCCGGCTGCCTTTTTATTCTTTAGGTTTTCCAATACGAATTAACAAGTATTTGCTCTAACATCCTGTGCTTTTCATTTAGGGAGTGTTTAAGAACTATACTCATTTTGAATTAGGGCAGGGCCTCTTCAGCATGGGGGTTTATAGGATGGGGCTGGAATGGGAGATACAGTCAAGGTTCAGTGAATGTCTCTAAGAAGTTTCTTGTTCCTATCTCCAGCTTTCCATTACCTGACTTTGATTTCTCACGTTTTCATTTGGGTGATTGTGCTACTGAGCTTTTTTGAGCCAATCCCAAGTCCGTTTCTATCCCAAATCCATTTGTGTGCAAGCCGTAAGAATCCTTGATGTATGGATAGGCCTTGCCCCTGCCAGTACCATTTTATTCTGCCACATCTGTAGAGGTTTGTTGTTGTTGTTGTTGTTTTTGAGATGAAGTCTCGCTCTGTCACTCAGGCTGGAGTACAGTGGCGCAATCTCGGTTCATCGCAACCTCTGCCTCCCGGGTTCAAGTGATTCTCCTGCCTCAGCCTCCTGAGTAGCTGGGATCACAGATGTGTGCCACCATGTCCTGCTAATTTTTTTGTATTTTTAGTAGTAATGGAGTTTCACCATGTTGGTCAGGCTGATCTTGAACTCCTGACCTCGTGATCCACCCTCCTCTGCCTCCCAAAGTGCTAGGATTACAGGCGTGAGCTACTGCGCCTGGCCAAGGTTTTTATCTCGTTGAACTTCATTATTGGAACTAGTACCTTTGATAGGTTCATGAGTTCCGTCTATTCCTTTTTATTTATTTTTATTTTTAAATAATATAGACAAGGTCTCCCTGTGTTACCCAGGCGGGTCTCGAACTCCTGGGCTCAAGAGGTCTTCCTACTGTGGCCTCCCAAAGTGCTGGGATTACACTACTTTTATGTATATTTTACCATTGGAAAATTGAATGTCAGTTTTGTTTTCTTTTTTTTTTTTTTTGAGACAGAGTCTTGCTCTGTTGCCCAGGCTGGAGTGCAGTGGCGTGATCTCAGCTCACTGCAACTTCCGCCTCCTGGGTTCAAGCGATTCTTCTGCCTCAGCCTCCCAAGTAGCTGGGACTACAGGTGCCTGCCACCATGCCCAGCTAATTTTTGTATTTTTGGTAGAGACAGGGTTTCCCCATATTGGCCAGGCTGGTCTTGAACTCCTTACCTCGTGATCAGCCTGCCTTGGCCTTCCAAAGTGTTGGGATTATAGGCATGAACCACCACGCCTGGCCATCTGTTTTCTACTTCATTCTCATCATCTGTCCCTGTAGTGGCTGAATAAAAGTTACTTTGTCGGCCAGGCGCGGTGGCTCACGCTAGTAATCCCAGCACTTTGGGAGGCTGAGGCGGGCGGATCACCTAAGGTCAGGAATTAAAGACCAGCCTGGCCAACCTGGTGAAACCCTGTCTCTACTAAAAATACAAAAATAAGCCTGGCGTGGTGGCACGTGTCTGTAATCCCAGCTACTCAGGAGGCTGAGGCAGGACAGTCCCTTGAACCCGGGAGGCAGAGGTTGCAGTCAGCTGAGATTGCGCCACTGCACTCCAGCCTGGGTGACAAGAGTGAGACTCTGGCTCAAAAAAAAAAAAAAATTACTTTGTCTTAAGCCTATATTTGGTAATGATTTCATTTTTCAAATTTAATATCTGTTGAGAAATTGACCTTATTTATATAGATGTTTTATTGTTATGGCCAGCTCAGTATATATTTCTGAGTAGCGTGGATCTCTAATTTTAAGTGGTGTCAATATAGTTGAACTGTTGAGAAAATTCAGATTACCTATGTTGTCAGGTGGCACATTGCTGAATATTGGTGATAGATTTGAATAAGCACTGTTCCTGTCCACAAGGAATTCATATTCCACATTAAATATATGAATCAGTCATGTCACTATTATGCTGAAGTGCAATAGTGATTACATGCATGGTTTGAGGAGAACATTTTAGACCAATCTGGGGATTTAGGGAAGGCTTTCTGTAGGAGAAGTAAGTCTCATTCTACTGTAGTAGATACCCACCTATTACATTAGTCTATTTATTTATTTATTTATTTATTTTTGAGATGGAGTTTCGTTCTGTCGCCAAGCTGGAGTGCCCTGGCGCGATCCCGGCTCACTGCATCCTCTGCCTCTCGGGTTCAAGTGATTCTCCTGCCTGAGCCTCCCAAGTAGCTGGGACTACAGGCGTGCACCACCACACCCAGCTAATTTTTGTATTTTTAGTAGAGACATGGTTTCACCATGTTGGCCAGGATGGTCTTGGATCTCTTGACCTTGTGATCCGTCCACCTTGGCCTCCCAAAGTGTTAGGATTATTGGCGTGAGCCACCGCGCCCAGCCTACATTAGTCTATTTTAAGATGTCAGCACTACAGAATTATAATGACTCGTGCATTTTCTTTTTTTTTTTTTTGAGATGGACTCTTGCTCTGTCACCCAGGCTGGAGTGCAGTGGCACCATCTTGGCTCACTGCAAGCTCCATGTCCCGGGTTCATGCTATTCTTCTGCCTCAGCCTCCTGAGTAGTTGGGACTACAGGCGCCTGCCACCACGCCCGGCTAAGTTTTTGTATTTTTAGTAGAGACGGGGTTTCACCATGTTAGCCAGGATGGTCTCGATCTCCTGACCTCGTGATCCACCCGCCTCGGCCTCCCAAAGTGCTCGGATTGTAGGCGTGAGCCACCTTTTTTATTTGCCTGCCCCCTCCCTCTATCCCTCTCCCCGCCACCTCTCTCTCTCTCTCTCTCTCTCTCTCTCTGTCTCTTTCTCTGTGTGTGTGTGTTTAATTTAGAGGGTCTCACTTTGTGTGTGTGTGTGTGTGTGTTTAATTTAGAGGGTCTCACTTTGTCATCCAGGCTGGAGTGCGGTGGTGTGGTCACAGCTCACTGTAGCCTCAACT
Organism: Homo sapiens; assembly: GCF_000001405.40. Classification (NCBI taxonomy): domain Eukaryota; kingdom Metazoa; phylum Chordata; class Mammalia; order Primates; family Hominidae; genus Homo; species Homo sapiens. The sequence continues at coordinate 47,749,595 of NC_000003.12, read as the reverse complement.
TCCCAAGCTCAAGCAATCCATTTACCTCAGCCTCCTGAGTTGCTGGGACCACAGGCATGTGCCACTATACACGGCTCATTTTTGTTTTATAATTTATTTTATAGATGAGGTTTCGCTATGTTGCCCAGGATGGTCTTGAACTCCTGGTCTCATATGATCCTGCCTCGTTGGCCTCCCAAAGTGCTGGTTTTATAGGCGTGAGCCACTGTGCCTGGCCTATTTATTTTTTAAAATTTTATATATATTTAATTATGTTAGAATATCTGTAACAAAATATGCCATTTAAATGATTTTTATTTGTTGTTTGAGATAGGGTCTCCCTCTGTTACAGTGGCATGACATCAGCTCACTTCAACCTCTGCCTCCCAGGTTCAAGTGATCCTCCCACCTCAGCCTCCCAAGTAGCTGGGACTGCAGGTGCGTGCCACCACGCCCGGCTAATTTTTGTATTTTTTGGTAGAGATGGGATTTCACCATGTTGGCCAGGCTTGTCCCAAACTTCTGACCTCAAGTGATCAACCCAACTCGGCCTCCCAAAGTGCTGGGATTACAGGATACTCTTTATTTTTATTTATTACTATTTTTTTTTAAACAGATGAGGTCTCACTATGTTGACCAGGTTGGTCTTCTACTCTTGGGCCCAAGTGATCCTCCTGCCTCAGCCTCCCAAAGGTTTGGGATTATGGGATGGAGAAACTATGCTCACTTCTGTATCTATTAAACAATAACTTTCATTCCTTGTCCCTCTTTCCTTGGCAACCACCATTCTGCTTTTTGTCTTTTTAATGTTTGCCACCTATGTGGTTCTTTCCAGTATATTATTTTGTAGTAATAGTTTTTAGAGAAAAAAATGCATGGGTGTTTCTAATAACACTTCATCTTATTTAGCCTATTCGATGCTCAGTTTATATTGTTTTTACCTTCATAATGTGGAAATTATTCACCATTTCGTTTAATTTGAGCTATATTTTTAATCTGTAAAGCACAGATCTCTTGAATTGTGGCATAGATTTTAGCTATTATAGTTTTATATAGTTACACCACATTTTTATGGTCATTAAATATTATAATAGGCCGGGTGCGGTGGCTCATGCCTGTAATCCCAGCACTTTGGGAGGCCAAGGTGGGCGGATCACTTGAGATCAAGAGTTTCATATCAGCTTGGCCAATATGGCAAAAGTTTGTCTTTTAAATATGCAAAAAACAGAAAAAAAATTAGCCAGGCGTATTGGCACTTGCTTGTAATCCCAACTACTTGGGAGGCTGAGATACGAGAATTCCTTGAACCCAGAAGGCAGAGGCTACAGTGAGCCATGATCACCCAGCTGTACTCCAGCCTGAGCAACACAGTGAGACCCTGTTTCAAAAAGATAAAAAAGTATAATAAAAGTGTTCACTTACAATTTTTGCATAATTTATGTTTTTATTTTTATTTTTTATTTTTTGTTGAGACAGTCTCACTGTGTCGCCCAGGCTGGAGTGCAGTGGTGTGATCTTGGCAACCTCTGCCCCTGGGTTCAAGCGATTCTCCTGCCTCAGCCTCCCGAGTAGCTGGGATTACATGCGCCCGCCACCATGCCTGGCTAATTTTTGTATTTTTAGTAGAGATGGGGCTTCACCATGTTGGCCGTGCTGGTGGCAAACTCCTCACCTCACATGATCCACCCGCTTTGGCCTTCCAAAGTGCTGGGATTACAGGCGTGAGCCACCATGCCTGGCCTAATTTTTGTATATTTATAGTCAAGAATTTATAAGGCGAAGAAGTCCACTATCCTTATATTTCTTTTTTTCTTTTGTTTCTTTGTGACAAAGTTTCACTTCCTTGCCCAAGCTGGCCTCAAACTCCTGGCTTCAAGCAGTCCTCCCTTCCTCCCTGCCTTCTTTCTCAACCAGAGTACTGGGGTTACAGGCATTTTCTTTGGAACCATTTTGATTTATCTTTTTTATAAAAAAATTTGTTTTTTGAGATAAGGTCACACTCTGTCACCCAGGCTGGATTTGTCACCATCACAGTTCACTACAGCTTGACTTCCCATGCTCATGCAATCCTCCTACCTCAGCCTCCTGAGTAGGTGGGACTACAGGCGTGTGCCACCATGCCTGGCTAATTTTTATATTTATATTTATATTTATATTTATATTTATATTTATATTTTTTTGAGACAAATTCTGGTTTTATTGCCCAGGCTAGAGTATAGTGGCATGGTCTCAGCTCACTGCAACCTTTGCCTCCTAGGTTCAAGCCATCCTCCTACCTCAGCCTCCCAGTAGCTGGGGCTACAGGCACACTCCCCCCATGCCTGGCTAATTTCTTTTGCATTTTTTGTTGAGACGGGGTTTCACCATGTTGCCCAGGCTGGTCTTGAACTCCTGTGCTCAAGCCATCTGCCCGCTTCGGCCTGCCAAATGCTGGGATTACAGGTGTGAGCCACTCCTGCACCTGGCCTAATTTTTAAATTTTTTGTAGAGGTAGGATCTCACTGTGTTGCCCAAGCTGGTCTCAGACTCCTGGCCTCAAGTGATTCTTTCACCTTGGTGTCTCAAAATGTTAGAATTACTGGTGTGTAGCCAGGCACGATGGCTCATGCCTGTAATCACAGCACTTTGGGAGGTTGAGGCGGGCAGATCACCTGAGGTTGGGAGTTCGAGACCAGCCTGGCCAACATAGAGAAACCCTGTCTCTACTAAAAATGCAAAATTAGCCGGGCGTGGTCATGCATGCCTATAATCCCAGCTACTTAGGAGGCTGAGGCAGGAGAATCACTTGAACCTGGGAGGCGTAGGTTGCAGTGAGCCGAGATAGCACCATTGCACTCCAGCCTGGGCAACAAAAGCAAAATTCTATCTCAAAAAAAAAAAAAAAAAAAAATTACTGATGTGAGCCACTGCTCCTGGCCTATATTTAGCTTTTTAAAATCTTTCTTTTGACAGACTAATTACTCAAATTATAATATGTTTATGGAATTTAAAAGGAATTCTTTTGGGGAGGGGTATGGGGTCTTGCTATATTGTCCAGGCTGGTTTTGAATTTCTGTGCTCAAGTGATTCTTTCATCTCAGCCTCCCAAGTAGCTGCGACTATAGGTGTGAGCCACTGTACTGGCTACAAGAAAGTAGTTTCACTTCAGTTTATTTCATTTGATTTTTCTTGAGACAGCATCTCACTCTGTCATCCAGGGCTGGAGTGCAGTAGGGCGATCAGGGCTCACCGCAGGCTCAACCTCTCAGGCTGAAGTGATCCTCCCACCCCAGCCTCCTGGATAGGATTGCAGGTGTGTGCCACAATGCACAGCTAATTTTTAAATTTTTTTCTAGAGACTGGATCTCCCTGTGTTGCCCAGACTGGTCTTGAACTCCTGGGCTTAAGTGATCCTCCTGTTTCACGCTCCCAGAGTGTTGGGATTACAGGCATGAGCCACCATGCCCAGCCTAATCTACTTTTAGAAAAATGTATTGATTCCTCAGTTTATTCAAGAAGATGTTTAAGGAGGTTGTTTAATTAGTATTTGTTTATATATTTGAATTTATAAAACTTAGAATTAAGACATGAGTAATTTTGTCAGAAGCTTTATTTTTCTCATGTGTAATTTGTATCATTTTTAGGCAAAGTGTTTCATGGATTTCAAAGCTGGAGGCGCCTTATGTCACATTCTTGGGGCTGCTTACAAGTATAAAAATGAACAGGGATGGTAAGTTTTTGTATTTGTTTGCATGTTTTGATCTTAAGTTATTTACTTTTAAGTCCTGTTTCCTTGTGTTAGAAAATCCTGTAAGCACATGATGATTAATGTGTTTTACCAAGAGCCCTAATTTACCTTGTTTCTACATCCAAGAAAAATATCAAGCAACCACGTATTTATTTATTTTTGAGACAGGGTCTTAAAAATAGGACCAACCAAGGCTGTTGGCAAGGCTAGAAGTGCAGTGGTGGAATCTCAGGTCACTGCATCCCGCGCATCAGATTCAAGCAATTCTCATGCCCCAGCCTCCTGAGTAGCTGGGACTGTAGGCGTGCACCACCATGCCTGGCTAATTTTTCTATTTTTAGTAGAAATAGGGTTTTGTCATGTTGGTCAGGCTGCTCTCAAACTCCTGGCCTCAAGCACTCCACCCATCTCAGCCTCCCAAAGTGCTGGGATTACAGGCGTGAGCCACCGCACCCGGCCACAACCAAGTATTTATTAGGGAAGTGATTTCTTATATTTGATTTTTATAGTAACAGGTGTACATTGTTAGCAAATTAGAAGGTAGGCTTGCCATGAAATGTGTGTGTATAATGAACTCATACATTATATTTGAAGTGGATAGATAGTATTTTTGTTTGTTTGTTTTGTTTTTTTGAGACTTAGTTGCGCTTTTTCGCCCAGGCTGGAGTGAAGTGGCACCATCTCAGCTCACTGCAACCTTCCAGTGATTCTCCTGCCTCAGCCTCCTGAGTAACTGGGATTACAGGCACCTGCCACCACATGCCCAGCTAATTTTTGCATTTTTAGTAGAGATGGGGTTTCACCATGTTGGCCAGGCTGGTCTCGAACTCCTGACCTCAGGCGATCTACCTGCCTTGACCTTCCAAGGTGCTAGGATTACAGGTGTGAGCCACCGTGCCTGGCCAGATAGCAGTTTTAAGAGATAAAGTTATCTAGGCCTGCAAGAGTATTCCATTTTGCTATCCTCAGGACAGGGATAAAAGAAATAGAGATCTTTGCCTAGGTCAGTGTTGTAGATAGATTGAGAATCCCTGCAGATATTCCTGCCATTTTGCTCCCTTCAGTCTTTTCCCCTTTTCTAGCTGTCTCTCTTGGTACTATTTCTTTTTTTTCTCTTGAACTCTGGAGTTTCCATCAGTTACTGGGACTAGTGATGTCCTGAGCTGTGGGGTTGTCAGGGACATAGTTCACAGGGTAGGGTTGGGGGAGTGGAGTATATTGTCCTGAAATTGTTTGGTATTTTCAGTTGAGTTAGTGGTGCACAGTTTATAACCTTAGCATCTTTCCAGGAGAATACACATGTAATTTATATATTTTACTTTAAAAGTTAAGCTAACCCAATACTTTATGGTTGGGAAGTGCAAATAAATATTTAGATCAACAATAAGGACAAGTGTGTAATTAAATAAATTATTTATATAGTAAATAGTAGGAGATACAAACTTACATGTGTATTTACTGAAACTTTTTATATATGGATGGTGTTTAATAGATATTGATTTGGATCACCTGAGGTCAGGAGTTCGAGTCCAGACTGGCCATCATGGCGAAACCCTGTCTCTACTAAAAATACAAAAAAAATTAGCCAGACTTGGTGGCAGGCACTTGTAATCCCAGGTACTCAGGAGGCTGAGACAGGAGAATTGCTTGAACCCGGGAGACGGAGGTTGCAGTGAGCTGAGATTGCGCCACTGCACTCCTGCCTGGGCTGTCTCCAAAAAAAAAGATATTGACTAAAGTAGCATGAGACTTGTTTCTTTTTGTTATCAGAGGTAGCTCTCTGTTTTCCAGTTCTGTGTCTAGCTCTGATGTTGGACCTCTCACGATGGTATTCCCTATCTAGGAGCAACGGCATGTCTCTGTACTTGTAGAGATGGTTTGTACCCTACTGTTAACTCTGGGTTCCCAGTTGGAACTCTTTTCTGTCCTTGGTTCTTGTTTAGCTTTTATCACAAGTCCTAACCTGGACACTTGAGGATAGAATACCAAAGTGATATGATTTTTCCTAGGTCACATATTGTGGAACTTGCTTTGTGTCTGTAGTTTCTGCACAATGAAATTTTTTTTTTTTTTTTTTGAGACATAGTCTCGCTCTGTCACCCAGGCCGGAGTGCAGTGGTGTAATCTCGGCTCACTGCAACCTCTACCTCCCAGGTTCAAGCAGTTCTCCTGCCTCACCCTCCTGAGTAGCTGGGATTACAGGTGCCTGCCACCACACATGGCTAATTTTTGTATTTTTAGTAGAGACCAGGTTTCTCCATGTTGGCCAGGCTGGTCTTGAACTCCTGACTCAGGTGACCCGCCAGACTCGGCCTCCCAAAATGCTGGGATTACAGGCATGAGTCACCATGCCCGGCCACAGTGAAATATTTTTATCTGAAATCACTTGCAGTAGTTTAGAAAGATACGTGTAATACAGGCCGGGTGCAGTGGCTTGTCTCAAAAAAAAAGGAAGATATATGTAATACAGTTTCCTTAAAATTAAAAGTGGGACTAAAAAAGACGTAAAGGATAGGGTTAGCATTGTCAGGAATAAGAATTTTTCCAAGTCTTTTATGCAGATTGTGCCAGAATTATTTCCTTTCAGGTATAGTTATGTGTCCAGTTTCAGTGTGCACCTTCTCTCATCTCTTGTGCCTCGCACACTTGAAGTGAGTGCATATTTTAGTAACTCCCCACTCTGTTTGGATATCTGAATACTGACCTGTCATTCTTGCCCCATGCCTAACATGCCTCTCAGAACTTTGTCTGTGTTCTTTAATTGAACCTCACAGTCTAGGTTGCATTTCTGGCTTTAGGTCCAAAGTTTGCTGGTTTTGTTATTACGGCAAGCACTATTTTCTTCTTATTTCATTGTGGTTCTGCTTTCTTACTGACTTCTCAGTAGTCTTTGTTTTAGTCTCTAGTGACACGAAGCTCTAATGTCATGCATATGAGGTTGAATGGGAATACCTGGTAATTACTAGCATATTTGTGAAGAGACTGTACAGATTAATATTACAGAATTGGCCAGCTGTGGTGGCTCATGCCTGTAATCCCAGCACTTTGGGAGGCTGAGGTCAGCGGATTGCTTGAGCCCAGGAGTTTGAACCCAGCCCAGGCAATGTGGGAAAACTCAGCCTCTACAAAAAATAGGAAAATTAGCTGGGTGTGGTGGTGCATGCCTATAGTCCCAGCTACTCCGGATGCTGAGGTGGGAGGATCACTTGAGTTCAGGATGTAGAGGCTGCAGTGAACCAAGATTGCACCACTGCACTCCAGCCTGGGTGACAGAGACCCTGTGTCAAAAACAGAAAGAGAGATTACAGAATTGAAATGTTAAGTTTGATCTTTCTGGATGTTTCTAAATAGGTAAAATCAATGAGTGTCTTATTTATGGTTTTTCTCCTGAAGGATAAAACTTTGTATAGAGTTGAAGTATAGTTATATGTAACTGAAGGATAACAAGTTTGACCTATTCATGGAAATCCAAACGGATCTCCCAAAGGAGAGATTAAATACCAAGTTCAATTAAGTAATAGAGAGTTGACTGTTAGTGCCCACATGCCCAGAGATTAGGACGTTGTTTATTTTTTCCTACAGTTCTAAAGAGATTGTTACATGTTTTTTTTTTTTTCTTTTTTGAGACGGAGTCTTGCTCTGTCACCCAGCAGGCTGGAACCCTATCTTGAGAATGTTTATATTAAGTTTTGCTTTCTAATAATACAGATAGATGTTCAAGCTTCAACCCGAAAGAGGAATGCAAATTAGAACTATAATCATTAGGCTGGTGTGGTGGCTCATGCCTGTAAAAGGGCATCAGAAGCAAACTTCTAAAAGGAAAAACAAAAATGCACTGAGCCAAAGGCAAGACAACAATAGAACCAAACAGTTTTGTGGGGAAGTGACAAAAGCTGGCCTCAAATAAGGAGCTTTGTATGATGACAGCAAGCTATAATACCCTGGAGGCCATCCCCACAGGATGGTCTAGTATGCCATACCCCAAAAGGGTGGCAAACATCATAGTGGTGCCAGGTGTGGTAACTCACACCTATAATCTGAGCACTTTGGGAGGCTGAGGCAGAAGAATCACTTAAGTCCAGGAGTTCAAGACTAACCTGGGCAACATAGCAAGACCCCATCTCTATTTTTTAAAATAATAGTAAAATAAATAGATATCCTGGAGGCAATTAGAGCTCTGAAAACAGGTATACAAGTATGAAGAATGAGGGGTGAAGAATTGAAGAATAAGGAAAGGAAAATATATTTGTTATTCATTAAATGGAAGTGTATCGTAAAGATACTCATCCTTGTCTTCACGTTGAGTAGTTGGAGGAGTAAGGGAAAAGAGAAAGGCTGTTCTTGCTTTCTTGGATGGTAGAGGTAGAAGAAAATCCACATATGAATAGACCTCATTTCCAGCCTATGTTGTTTAAGGGTCAAGTTTAGATATTTTGCCATGTATTTATTTCTCAAATAGGATTTTAGAAAGTGTAATAACACTACCATTATTACAGATATGAAAATTAGCAATAATTTTTAATATTAAATCGTTGAGTGTTCAAATTTCCCTTATCTCATAAATGATTTTTATATCTTATTTGAATTAATATTCAAACAAGGTGCAGTGCAGACATTGCCTTTGGTTGATATGACTAACTCTCTTCGAAAAAGTTAAAGTTTTCTATCTCTTCCGTCTCTTTTCCTCACAAGTACCTCCCGCTCTACTGAAACAGTTGTCTCGTAGGATTGTCCATGTTTTATTAGATTTTGCTTATATGCCTCCAGTTTATCATTTAACATGGTCTTCTAAATTTCTTGTAAACTGGTGGTAGAAGCTTAGTCTGATTTGGTTCCTTATCTTTTTTTGGCAACAATAATAATCATAGATAATGTTTTATTCTTCTATCTGGAGGTATACAATATCTGGTTGTTTATGTGTGTAGTGGGCAGACATTGATGTTCACTGCCTAGAGTCATTTCATTACAACTTTACAAAGTCACAATATTCTAATTTTGAAAATTAGATTGTAGGTTTTTGTTTTTTTTTTTTTTTTTTTGAGTCAGAGTCTCCCTCTGTCGCCCAGGCTGGAGTGCAGTTTATAGTTTGCTCTGTAAAGCTGCACATTCTTCTAGCCAGTAGGGCTGTAAAGGAAAAGTTTTAAAAACCTGGCCATTGTCCTCAAGGTATCTAATGAGATGTCTCACTAACAAGATAGTTCTTTGATGGGGCTGTATCAGCATTGTGCACAGGATGTATTAAGAACATGAAAGGCCGGCGCACTGGCTCATGCCTATAATCCCAGCACTTTGGGAGGCTGAGGTGGGTGGATCACGAGGTCAGGAGTTCAAGACCTGCCTGGCCCACATGGTGAAACTCCATTTCTACTAAAAATACAAAAATTAGCCGGGTGTGGGCCAGGCATAGTGGCTCACACCTGTAATCACAGTGCTTTGGGAGGCCGAGGTGGGTGGATCTCGAGGTCAGGAGTTTGAGATCAGCCCTGCCAATATGATGAAACCCCGTCTCTACTAAAGATACAAAAGATTAGCAGGGTGTGGTGGTGCATGCCTGTAATCCCAGCTACTCGGGAGGCTGAGGCAGGAGAATCGCTTGAACCCAGAAGGCGGAGGTTGCAGTAAGCTGAGATCGCCCCATTGCACTCCAGTCTGGACGACAGGGCGAGAGTCTGTCTTTTAAAAAAAAAAAAAAAAAAAAAAAAAAAAAAAAAGATGGCCGGGCGTGGTGGCTCACATCTGTAATCTGTAATCCCAGCTCTTTGAGAGACTGAGGTGTGCGATCACCTGAGGTCAGGAGTTCGAGTCCAGCCTGGCCAACATGGTGAAACCCTGTCTCTACTTATTAAATACCTGGGTGTCGTGGAGCACACCTGTAATCCCAGCTAATCAGGAGGCTGAGGCAGGAGAATCGCTTGAATCCAGGAAGCGGAGGTTGTGGTGAATCGAGATCACACCACTGCACTCCAGCCTGGGCAATAGAGTGGGACTCCATTTAAAACAACAACAACATGAAAGAAGATAGGCTTAGCTTTATAGAGCAAGTGACTTGGGGACTGATTCTGGAAGTGATAGTGTCAGGCCCATTGAGTGGTAGTGGGTAGCCTGGAAAGGCTATAGAGTTTAAAAAGAAAGATTGGAAGTGTGGGGAACATCTCCAGAATAAAATAGCATGACATGTGAGTTAAAAGTATGAGCTCTGGACTCAGACTGCCTAATGCTAGGTAGTACCTGGTAATGATTAAGAAAATTATAACTGGGCCAGGCGTGTTGGCTCACCCCTGTAATGTCAGCACTTTGGGAGGCTGAGGTGGGAGGATTGTTTGAGCTCAGGAATTTGAGACCAGTCTGGACCAACATAGTGAGACCTTTGGCTTTACAAAAATAAAAATAAAGAACAGTTACCTGAGTGTGATGGCTGGTGCCTATGGACCCAGCTACTCAAGGCTGAGGTTGAGGTGGGAGTATCCCCTGAGCCCAGGAGTTCAAGGTTACAGGGAGCTCTTACTGCACCAGAGCATTCCAGCCTAGGTGACACAGTGAGACTCTGCCTCAAAAAACAAAAATTATAACTATAGCTAACATTTATTGATCAGTTACTTTATATTAAACTTAAGCACTGTTCTAATATATACCTCATTTAACCTTCACAAAAGCCCACAGTAAGCTGTTATATTTATGAAGCAGTGGATCCTTGGGTTAACAAATTGCTCAAGACTAATGTAGTTTTCCACAATCCTTACTTTCAGTCACTAAGCTCTACTCCTGTCCTGGATGTTAGTGTTAAAAGAATTAAAACAGAGCAAAAACAAAGTAGGTATTGAATAAAAAGTAAGGAGAAACAGGCATTAGACTTTGTAAAGATTTTACCAAATGGAGGTGACATGCTTGGGAACTTAATGTAAAGAGACATTGGAGAAGAGTTTCAAGTAAAGGTAAATAGATCAGTGTTACCACATTTAGGAAAACAGTACTTGTTATTCATACTTGTGGGTTTGGGATACCCCCAGCTATCAAGTGATTTCAGATTAAGGGATAGTCTCTGCTCTTGACTGCTACTGTGGCCAGTTAAAAATTTTATTTGGAGAAAACTTGTCTGTTTAAATCACAAGTCTTACAGCTGTATTAGAATTAAATACCCAAGATGCTTTCCTTTATCTAAGAGAACACAGATACTGCTGAATTTGAACAAATGATTTTTTTTTTTTTTGAGACGGAGTCTTGCTCTGTCACCAGGCTAGAGTGCAGTGGCGTGATCCCGGCTCACTGCAACCTCCGCCTCTCGGGTTCAAGTGATTCTCCTGCCTCAGCCTCCTGAGTAGCTGGGATTACAGGTGTGCACCACCATGCCCAGTTGATTTTTGTATTTTTAGTAGAGATGGGGTTTCACCACGTTGGCCAGGCTGGTCTTGAACTCTTGATCTCTTGATCCACCCGCCTCAGCCTCCCAAAGTGCTGGGATTACAGGCGTCAGCCACTGCGCCCAGCCTGGATATGTGGACTACTTTTCTATAAGATGTAAGATGTCTTAGATTTAAGGAAAATTAGATAGATATGTCATGGAATTGATACTTCATTTTCACTGAGGTGGATCTTAATATCTCTTTTATAAGGGTGTTGATACTATGTATTCTTATGTTACTGAGAGAATGTCTCACACATTTTGTAGAGTTATTTTAATTTTCAAATCTTTCTAACTCATTTGCATCGAATTCTAAAACCAAGTTTTCATTTGTGTTTAAGCTGGGAGACAAATTAACTAGGGTTTTTCTTTTTTTTTAGGCGGAGGTTTGACCTACAGAACCCATCTCGAATGGATCGTAATGTGGAAATGTTTATGAACATTGAAAAAACATTGGTGCAGGTAACTTGGAAACTTAGGTTATTTAAAAAGTTTACCTTTAATATATTTTCAGTTTTAAGATTGGCTGGCCAGGCGCGGTGGCTCATGCCTGTAATCCCAGCACTTTGGGAGGCCGAGGCAAGGCGGATCACGAGGTCAGGAGATCGAGACCATCCTGGCTAACACGGTGAAACCCCGTCTCTACTTAAAAAAAAAAAAAAAAAAAATTAGCCGCACGTGGTTCCGGGTACCTGTAGTCCCAGCTACTCTGGTGGCTGAGGCAAGAGAATGGTGTGAACCTGGGAGGCGGAGCTTGCAGTGAGCCGAGATTGCGCCCCTGCACTCCAGCCTGGGCAACAGAGCGAGACTCCGTCTCAAACAACAAAAACAAAAAAAAGATTGGCTCTCAAAAAAACAAAAAAAACCACAGATTGGCTTTATTGGATTGCCAAAAGAACAAAGGAAGAAAATGTTCTGAAAGGTATTGTTTTATTATTTTTATGGGTGTTTGGGGATTAGAGCTATGATTAATCTTGTCTTTAAGAGTATTAAAATTTATGGTGAGATAATTTATGGTAATTTTCTTCATTAATTTTACCTAATGTATTGTTTGAGTTGTCTTTATTTTATTATTTTATTTTTATTTTCTTTGAGACAGGGTCTCACTCTGTCACCCAGGCTGGAGTGCAGTGGTGCAGTCAGAGCTAGGCTCACTGCAGCTTTGAACTCTCGGGCTCAAGTGATTCTCCCACCTCAGCTTTCCCTGTAGCTGGGACTACAGGCACACGCCATCACACCTGGCTAATTTTTTTATATCTTTTGTAGAAATGGGGTTTTGCCATGTTAGCCAGGCTGGTCTCAAATTCATGAATTCAAGCGATTTGCTTGCTTGGCCTCCCAAAGTTCTGGGATTACAGGCATGAACCACAGAGTCCGGCCTGCCTTCATTTTATTTAGTATAAGCACTCTTCCATCCTACTGTTCACTTGATTGAATATTTTCTTTGGATTTGTTCCATGGTTGTACCATAAATATACATATTATTTCTCTAAATGTATTATAACTTGGAAAAGAGAATGCTTAATGTCCTTATTTGTGTTTCCTAATATGTTTATTGTTTGATAATTTATGGTGATCACTAAATTAACCTTCCTGGGGAGAGGTAGCTGGCAAAAATTCAGTTAGATATTATTGTTAACTTAATATGTGAAAGTTGTTTGTCCCACAGATTCTTAGCTAGGGAAACAATTGGATATGTTTTGTTTGTTGGGTGAGGGTTTTCTTCATGATTTGGGGAGTTAACATACATGTTTTGCCATTGCTATTTTTTATTTTTTTTATTTATTTTATTTGATTTTATATATTTATTTTTTGAGATGGAATCTCACTCTGTCACCCAGGCTGGAGTTCAGTGGTGTGATCTCGGCTCACTGCAAGCTCCAACCTCCCGGGTTCACGCCATTCTCCTGCCTCAGCCTCCCGAGTAGCTGGGACTACAGGCGCCCACCACCACGCCTGGCTAATTTTTTTGTATTTTTAGTAGAGACAGGGTTTCACCGTGTTAGCCAGGATGGTCTTGATCTCCTGACCTCATGATCCGCCCATCTCGGCCTCCCAAAGTGCTGGGATTACAGGCGTGAGCCACTTGCCATTGCTATTTTTAAGATTAACTGTAATCCCTTCCGTAGCTAAAAACACTACATTAGACCATTAAAGTAAATTTGGGTAAAATTGGGGAGGAAGATTAATCTGGCAATCTGGTATGGTATCTTAATGAAAAAGTTGCTGAATTTCTTTAGGTCATGCTTCTCAATATTTTTTGTGGCAGAAAAGGTTATCTGGGGGTGGTTTGTATATTGCATAAATAATATGATATTATTTCAAAACTAAGAGAATTTGAAAGTCTGTTCTTTTCATCCTCAGAACAATTGTTTGACCAGACCCAACATCTACCTCATTCCAGACATTGATCTGAAGTTGGCTAACAAATTGAAAGATATCATCAAACGACATCAGGTAATAGACACAATCACTTCAGATAATAATAGACACGATCACTTCATTTTGTAGTTGTAAGCCTCTAATAAATGACAACCATAGTAATGTTTTGGATTTTTTGATATATTTGCATCAAAAGAAATTTTTTTCTTGAGTTTTTTTTTTTTTTTTCTTTTTAGAGATGAGGTGTCACTTTGTTGCCCAGGCTGGAATGCAATGGCACTATCCTAGCATCCTTGCTCACTGTAGCTTTGGACTTCTGGGCTCAAGAGATCTTCCAGTTTTTTTGTTGTTGTGGTTGAGAGAGTCTCGCGCTGTCGCCCAGGCTAGAGTGTAGGGGTGCAATCCCGGTTCATTGCATCCTCTGCCTCCGAGGTTCAAGTGATTCTCGTGCCTCAGCCTCCGAAATTGCTGGGACTACAGGTGTGTGCTAATTGTATTTTTCGTAGAGGTGGGGTTTTGCCATGTTGGTGAGCCTGGTCTCGAACTCCTGACCTCGAGTGATCTCCCCACCTCAGCCTCCCAAAGTGCTGGGATTACAGGCATGAGCCACTGTGCCCGGCCACAATGGTTTCTCACTATGTTCCCAGGCTGGTCTTGAATTCCTGGCTTCAAGTCATCCTCCAGCCTCGCCCTCCCAAAGTATTAGGATTGATTATAGGTGTGAGCCACCATACCTGGCCTCTTTTTGAGTTCTTAAAGTACCAGTGTTTTTTTTCTCTCCCCTCATCTTTAGCTTTTAGCCTAGAGTAGCATTTAATAAAGTCATTGCTATGGAGTCGTTAGTCTTATTGTAAAGTGTGCTTACATAGACCTAAGGAAACTAGTGTATTATGTATCACAGAACCCTATATCACAGAGATTATAAAGTCAAATAGAGTTGGTAACATAATTGTTGGTAAGAAGAAATGAAGTATTACTTTCAAGTAATCCTGTCTTCCCTAACCCCCCATTTTATGTATTCTGTTACATATATGATTTAAAAAAAAAAATTGAAGGCCGGGCGTGGTGGCTCACGCCTGTAATCCCAGCACTTTGAGAGGCCAAGGCGGGCGGATCACGAGGTCAAGAGATTGAGACCATCCTGGCCAACATGGTGAAACTCTGTCTCTACTAAAAATATAAAATTAGCTGGGCATGGTGGCATGCCACTGTAGTCCCAGCTACTGGGGAGGCTGAGTCAGGAGAATCACTTGAACCCAGGAAGTGGAGGTTGCAGTGAGCTGAGATGGCGCCACTGTGCTCCTGGTGACAGAGCGAGACTCCGTCTCAGAAAAATTCTGCCCCCTCAAGCTTGCTTTGTCTTGATACACATGTACTAGTACTGTGTTCTGACATCTTAGCCTTCTTCTTCTGACTTCATTTTAGGCTGAGACTTTGGGTATTTACTACATGTAAGTTTGTGATTACATGTGACTAAACTGTAATTAAGCCCATCACATAGTAAGCTAGCTGAGGAGACTTACGTAGAAGATAATTTTCCTGAAACATTCTTTATGTGACTGAGTTTTATGGATCCTTAGAATTGGTTGAGAAGCCTCATGAAATGTCTTTTTTTCCTGCTGCAAAAGAGATTACCAATTGTATTATGTTTTAGCATTTAGTAAAATATCTTGCATGTTCTGAAAGTTAATGTTTCTAATACTGCGTACAATTATAGATTGAGTACATTCTTCCTCTTATATATGACATCTCTCTCAAAGTGTAAGGTAATATAATTATTTTATCATATTGGGCAATCTGAAGTCCAGTTCCTTTTTTCACTAGTATCATGGCTTTGAACAGATTCCTTAAACATCTCTCTTTTGGAATATCTTTTTATTGGATTGACTGTCAAATGCAGTTTAAAGTATATGTGGAATGTTACCAGGGCAGAAGTAGAACAAATTAACCTGCTGTTTCTTGCCTTGAAGCTGAAATTACCTACTCTTTTTGTCACCGGGTCATACTGGAAACATTTTATATATTGCCTACAGTTTATGCTGAATATTTAGCTGTTACATACGTGTGTGTATGTCTGTATATACATATGTGTATACATATATGTAGATATACATACATATGTATATATATACACACACGTACATATATGTGTATACATGTATATATGTGCTTGTATATATGTATATACAAGCACATATGTGTGTATATATATACGTGTATATATACCTTTTTTTTTTTTTTTTTTGAGACAGAGTCTCGCTGTGTCGCCCAGGCTGGAGTGCCATGGCGTGATCTTGGCTCACTGCAAGCTCTGCCTCCTGGGTTCACACCATTCTCTTGCCTCAGCCTCCCGAGTAGCTGGGACTACAGGCGCCCACCACCACGCCTTGCTAATTTTTTTGTATTTTTAGTAGAGACGGGGTTTCGATCTCTTGACCTTGTGATCCGCCCGCCTCGGCCTCCCAAAGTGCTGGGATTACGGGCATGAGCCACCGCACCTGGCCCTTGCGCTGCTAATTTTTTATTTTTTAGTAGAGACGGGGTTTCACCATATTGGAAAGGCTGGTCTCGAATTCCTGACTTCATGATCTGCCCAAAGTGCTGAGATTACAGTCATGAGCCACCTTGCCCGGCCTTCTTGTTCTTTTTTTAACAACAGGTGTGCTCCACTGCCCCTGGCTATTTTATTTTTATTTTTGAAGAGACAGGGTCTTCCCTAGGCTCGCCTCAAGCTCCTGGCCTCAAGAGATTCCCCCTGCTACCTCGGCCTCCCAAAGTGCTGGGATTGCAGGCGTGAGCCGCAGAACCCGCCCTGCAGCACCACCCCGCAGCCGCCCTGCTCCTTTTTTTAAATGGAAGGTTTGTGGAAACTGTGTCAAGCAAGTCTGTTGGTGCCATTTTCCCAACAGCATGTGCTTACATTATGTCTGTGTATCACATTTTGGTAATTCTCACAGTATTTCAAACTTTTTTAGTTTTTTGCTTGTTTATTTGTTTTTTTTTGAGATGAAGTCTTTCTCTGTCGCCCAGCTGGAGCGCAGTGGTGTGATCTCGGCTCACTGCATCCTCCACCTCCCGGGTTCAAGCAGTTCTCTGACTCAGCCTCCTGAGTAGCTGGGATTACAGGCACCCGCCACCACATCTGGCTAATTTTTGTATTTTTAGTAGAGACGGGGTTTCACTGTGTTGGCCAGGCTGGTCTTGAACTCCTGACCTCGTGATCCACCCCCCTCGGCCTCCCAAAGTGCTGGGATTACAGGTGTGAGCCACCGCGCCTGGCTTACTTTTTTAGTATTATTATACATGTTATAGTGATCTGTGATAGGTGCTATTTGATACTATTTTAATTGCTTTGGTTTAGCACAACACCCATAGAAGATGGTGAAGTTAATTGATAAATGTATGTGTTCTGACTTCTTCACTGACTGGCCACTTCTCTATCTCTCTACCTCTTGTCTAGCCTGCCTATTCCCTGAGACCCACAAGTATTAAAATTAAGCCAATTAATAACCCTACAATGGCCTCTAGCTGGTCAAGTCAAAGGAAGAGTTGCTTATCTCTCACTTTAAATAAAAAGCTAGTAGTGATTTAGTTTAGTGAGGAAGGCATGACAAAAGCCAAGATAAGCTGAGAACTTGGCTTCTTAAGTCAAACAGCTAGGTTTTTAGTGCAAAGGAAAAGTTTTTGAGGGAAATTAAAAGTGGGACTGTAGTGAACATGCAAATGATAGGATGCAAAACATGCTTATTGCTGATACTGAGAAAGTTTCAGTGGTCTGGTTAGGAGATCAGAGCAGCCCAACATTTCCTTAAGCTAAATTCTAATCCAGAACAAAGGCCTAACTCTCTTCAATTCTGTGAAGGCTGAGAGAGAGAGGTGAGGAAGCTGCAGAAGGAACGTTTGAAGCCAGCAGAGGTTGCCTAATGAGGTTTAAGGAAAGAAGCCGTTTTCAGAACATAAAAATGCCAAGTTGAAGCAGCAAGTGCTAATGTAGAAGCTGCAGCAAGTTATCCAGGAGATTTAGTAAAGATAATTGGTGAAGCTGGTTACACCAAACAACAGATGTTCAATGTAAATGAAATAGTCTTCTATTAAAATAAGATGCTATTTAGGACTGTCATAGTTAGAGAAGTCAATGCCTGGCTTAAAAGCTTCAGCCAGGCTATTTTGGGGCTTAATGCAGTTGGTGACTGTAAGTTGAAGCCAATGGTCGTTTGCCATTCTGACAGTCATAAGGCCCTACAGATTATTGTACATCTATTTTGCCTGTGCTCCATAACAAAACAGCAAAGCCTAGATGACAGCACATCTATTTACAGTATGGTTTACTGAATACTTTAAGCCCACTGTAGAGACCTACTGCTCAGGAAAAACAATTTCTTTTGAAATATTACTGCTCATTGACAGTCACCTAGTCACTCTGTTGCAGATGTACAAGGAAATTAATGTTATTTCCATGCATAGTAACACAACTTCCATTCTGCAGCCATGTTTTAAGGAGTATTTTGACTTTCAAGTCTTGTTATTTAAGAAATACATTTTGTAAAGATAGAGCTGCTATAGTTAGTGGTTCTTATGATGGATCTGGGCAAAGTAAATTGAAAATCTTCTGGAACAGATTCATCATTCTAGATGCCACTAAGAACACATGCGATTCATCAGAGGTCAAAATATCAACAGTAACAAGTTTGGAAGACGTGGATTGTGACCCTCATGGTTGACTTTGAGGGGTTAAAGACTTTAGTAGAGGAAGTAACTACAGACGTGGTTCAAATAAGAGAACTAGAATTTGAAGTGAAGCTGGAACATGTGACTGAATTGCCGCGATCTCATGACAAAACTTGAACAGATGGAAGAGTTGTTTCTTATGGATGAACAAAGTGCTTTCTTGACATGGAATCTACTCCTGGCACAGTCGCTGTTAACGTTGAAATGAGAACAAAGGATTTTAAATATTACATACATTTAGTTGATACAGCAAGCAGCAGGGTTTTGAAAGAAATTCTGCTGTGTGTAAAATGCTGTCAGCATCGCATGCTACAGAGAAATCATTTGTGAAAGGAGTCAATCAATGTGACAAACTTTTACTGTTGACTTAAGAAATTGCCACAGCCACCTTAACCTTCAGCAACCACCACCTTGATCAGTCAGCTGCCAGCATCATTGAGGCAGTGTCCTCCAGCAGCAAGAAGACTGATTTGCTTAAGTCTCAGATGATTGTTGGCATTTTTTTTTTTTTTTTGAGATGGCATTTTGCTCTTGTTGTCCAGGCTGGAGTGCAATGGCGCAATCTCGGCTCACTGCAGCCTCTGCCTCCGGGGTTCAAGGGATTCTCCTGCCTCAGCCTCCTGAGTAGCTGGGATTATAGGCGTCTGCCACCACACTTGGCTAATTTTTTGTATTTTTAATAGACACGCGTTTCACCACGTTGGCTAGGCTGGTCTCGAACTTCTGACCTCAGGTGATCCACCCACCTTGACCTCCCAAACTGCTGGGATTACAGGCGTGAGCCACTGGACCCAGCCGCTATTGTTAGCGTTTTCTAGCAATAAAATATTTTTAAATTAAGGTATGTACACTGTTTTCTAAAACTGTGTAAACTTAACTTTTGATTTTTGTTTTGAGAGACAGGGTCTCTCTCACTGTATTGCCCAGGCTAACGTACACTGGCATAATCATAGTTCACTGCAACCTTGAACTCTTGGGCTCAAATGATCCTCCCACCTCACCTCCTGAGTAGCTGGGACTACAGGCACAAAAGTGCCGGGCTAATTTCTTTTTTAATTTGAGACAAGGTCTCACTGTGTTGCCCAGACTAGTCTTGAACTCCTAGGCTCAAGTGATCCTTTCACTTCAGCCTTCCAAAGTGCTGGGATTACAGGTGTGAGCAGCTGCACCTGGCCTAAATGTAACTTTTTTTTTATTTTTTATTTTTTTGAGACGGAGTCTCACTCTGTCCCCCAAGCTAGTGGTGCCATCTCGGCTCACTGCAAACTCTGCCTCCTGGGCTCAAGTGATTCTTCTGCCTCAGCCTCTTGAATAGCTGAGATTACAGACGTGTGCCACCACGCCCAGCTAATTTTTATATTTTTAGTAGAGATGGGGTTTCACCGTGTTGGCCACGCTGGTCTCGAACTCCTGACCTCAAATGATCCACCTGGCTCCCAAATTGCTAGGATTACAGACATGAGCCACCACACCTGGCCATAAATGTAACTTTTATATGCATCAGGAAACTAAATTTGTGCAACTAATTTTGTAATGCTTTATTACGGTGGTCTGAAACTGAACTTGACGATGTATCTGTGTTACGCTTGCACATAGTCCTAGTTTATGGCTCAAGGCCAGGAATGGCATTGATTCACTTGAAGTAATGATAATTTGTGATGACTTTGGAAGTAATTTTAAGAAGTAATAGTACCTGACTGAACACAGTGGCTCACATCTTTAATCCCAGAACTTTGGAAGGCCAAGGCAGGCAGCTCACCTAAGGTCAGGAGTTCAAGACCAGCCTGACCAACATGGTGAAACCCCATCTCTACTAAAAATAGAAAAATTAGCCAGGCGTGCTGGCGGGTGCCTGTAATCCCAGCTACTCAGGAGGCTGAGGCAGGAGAATCGTTTGAACCCAGGAGACGGAGGAGGTTGCAGTGAGCCAAGATTGTGCTGCCACACTATAGCCTGGGTGACAGAGCAAGACTCCATTTCAGGAAAAAAAAGAATTAGTAGTACCCATATTACTGATATGGATACCCAGAGAGAGAGATCTGTAGAGAACTAGCTAATAGGTGCTCGAATTACTTTTCTATACAGCAGTCTAAACTGTGTAGACAATTTTTTGGTTTATTGTTGTTAATCACTTTTTTTTATTTGACTAAAAAGAAGCAAGTCTTTTTTATATAAAGTCTATAAGTAAAACCATGCTTTTAGAATTTGTATGGAATTTGTATCTGGAATCTCATAGTTCATTGCCATGTGCTTTATTTTTGTGGTTTTTGTTCATTTGCTTTCCAGGGAACATTTACGGATGAGAAGTCAAAAGCTTCCCACCACATTTACCCATATTCTTCCTCACAAGACGATGGTAAGTTAGTTTTGCGTTGTGAACAGATGAGCTCATACATCATACCAAATGGATTTTATGTCATACCCCCAAAGACTTAAACAGAATAACCAGCTTTTTATTTGTTTTTGTTTTGTTTTGAAGATGGAGTCTGTCGCCCAGGCTGGAGTGCAGTGGCGCGATCTCAGCTCACTGCCACCTCCACCTCCCGGGTTCAAGAGATTCTCCTGACTCAGCCTCCTGAGTAGCTGGGAATATAGGCGCCCACCACCATGCCCAGCTGTAATATTTGTATTTTTAGTAGAGACAAGAATTTCACCATGTTGGCCAGGATGGTGGTTTCAATCTCTTCACCTCGTGATCTGCCCACCTTGGCCTCCCAAAGTGCTGGGTTTACAGGTGTGAGCCACTGCGCCCAGCCAACATTAACTTTTAAAAGATGTAGTAGAAGCTGTGCCTAGAGGAACATTTATTTCTTTATATTAGGAAAGGAGAAAGGTTAGAAATCAGTGGTCCAAACATCTTTCTCAAGAAATTAGAAAAACAACACCAAATTAAACCTAACGAAAAAGGAAATAATAAAAGCAAAAATTAATGATGTAGAAAGTACACATTAGTGAGATATTCAGCAATGTCAGGTGGTTCTTAGACTAATGAGGGCTGGACCTGGTGTCTCACGCCTGTAATCCCAGCAGTTTGGGAGTCCGAGGTGGGTGGATCACTTGAGGTCAGGAGTTTGAGATCAGCCTGACCAAAATGGTGAAACCCCATCTCTACTAAAAATACCAAAAATTAGCCGGCTGTGCTGGCACCCATTTGTAACCCCAGCTACTTGGGAGGCTGAGGCAGGAGAATCGCTTGAACCTGGGATATGGAGGTTGCAGTGAGTCAAGATCTTGCCACTGCACTCCAGCCTGGGTGACAGAAGGAGACTCCATCTCAAAAAAAAAAAAAAAAAAAAAAAAAAGGGACTAATAAGGTGGTTAAATCCGGGTGTGGTGATACGTGCCTGTATTCCAGCTCCTCTGGAGGCTGAGGTGGGAGGATCACTTGAGGTCAGGAGTTTGAGACTGTGGCATGTGATAATTGTGCCTTTGCGTAGCCATTGCACTCCAACCTGGGCAACATAGTGAAATCTCATGTCTTAAAAAACAAGGCCTGGCGCTGTGGCTCAGGCCTGTAATCCCAGCACTCTGGGAGGCCAAGGCGGGTGGATCACCTGAGGTCAGGAGTTTGAGACCAGCCTCACCAATATGGCGAAATTTAACCAAGAGTGGTGGCAGGTGTCTGTAATCCTAGCTACTCGGGAGGCTGAGGCAGGAGAATCGCTTGAACCTGGGAGGTGGAGGTTGCAGTGAGCTGAGATTGCACCACTGCGCTCTAGCCCGGGCAAGAAGAGCAAAACTCTGTCTTACCTAAAAAAAAAAACAAAAAACAACCTATTGGTAAAAGAGGAAAATGGCCAAAACCCAGGTTAAAATAATTAGGTGAATGGATAAACAAATTGTGGTATGTACACACAGTACAATTTTTTTTTTGAGATGTAGTCTTTGTTCTGTCACCCAGGCTAGAGTGTAGTCATGTGATCTCGGCTCACTGCAACCTCCGCCTCCTGGGTTCAAGTGATTCTCCTGCCTCAGCCTCCTAAGTAGCTGGGATTACAGGTGCCCACCATCATGCCCAGCTAATTTTTGTATTTTTAGTAGAGATGGGGTTTCACCGTCTTGGCCAGGTTGGTCTCGAACTCCTGACCTCATGATCCACCTGCCTCGGCCTCCCAAAGTGCTGGGATTATAGGCGTTAGCCACCGTGCCCGGCCAGTTTTTTTGTTTTAAGGTGGAGTCTTGCTGTGTCACCCAGAATGGAGTGTAGTGGCGTCATCTTGGCGCACTGCAGCCTCCGCCTCCTGGGTTCAAGCGATTCTCCTGCCTCAGCCTCCCGAGTAGCTGGGACTACAGGAGTGCACCACCACACCCAGCTAATTTTTTTTGTATTTTTAGCAGAGACAGGGTTTCACCATGTTGGACAGGCTTGTCTCAAACTCCTGACCTCAAGTGATCCAAACGCCTCAGCCTCCCAAAGTGCTGGTATTAGAGGCGTGAGTCACCACTCCTGGTCCCACACAGTGGAATATTATTCAGCCTTGAAAAAAAAAGGAAATTTTAACACATGCTAATAACATGGAGAAATACCATATGATTCCAATTTTATGAAGTACCCAAAGTAGTGAAATTCATTGATACTGAATATAACATGGTTGTTATCAGAGACTAAGAATTTGACCACCTTAGATGAAATCATACAGAATTTGTGTTTTTATGATTAATTTGTTTTGCTTAGTGTAATGTCTTCAAAGTTTATTCATGTTACAGCATGTGCTAGAATTTCCTTTTTAAGCCTGGCTAATGCTCCATCAGGGAGTTGCTGTTCATTGGGTGTAGGGTTTTAGTTTCATAATGTACAGAGAGATCTGGAGATTGGACATGCAACACTGGGTGTACCTAACAGTACTAAACTGCTTACTTATAAAATGGTTAAAATGGTAAATTTTATGTTTACCGTCTTAACAGAAAGCAAGCAAAACACTGATTAATAGAATAAAGCATTGGCAATAACAATAATAATGATGAAGCAATCCAAATAGAGTTAAACTCTTTAAAAGCGTTCCACCATGTAGAGCTAAATTGTTGTTTCCACTGTTTTCCTGTTTGTTTTCTATATCCATACATATTGGTTGCCTTTCAGCTTCCTGACTGGGCCATGTTCTCTCTTTATTTTTATTTTTTAAATTATTTTACATTATTATTAAATATATTAGAGATGGGTGTCTCACTATATTTCCTAGGCTGGTGTTGAACTCCTGGTATCAAGCAGTCCTCCCACCTCAGCCTCCCAAGTAATATTGTTTATTATTTTTTAATAACAGGCTAATTGAGATATAATCCACATACCATGAAATTCACCTTTTTTTTTTTTTTTTTTTTGAGACAGAGTCTCACTCTTCTACCCAGGCTGGAGTGCAGTGGCGTGATCTTGGCTCACTGCAGCTTCCGCCTCCCAGGTTCAAGCGATTCTCCTGCCTCAGCCTCCTGAGTAGCTGGGATTACAGGCATCCACCACGACACCCAGCTAATGTTTGTATTTTTAGTAGAGACGGGGTTTCACCATGTTGGCCAGGCTCGTCTTGAACTCCTGACCTCAGGTGATTCACCCGACCCAGCCTCCCAAAGTGTTGGGATTACAGGCATGAGTCACTGCGCCTAGCAAAATTCACCATTTTAAAATGCACAGTTGGGCTGGGCCCGATGGCTCATGCCTATAATCCCAGCACTTTGGGATGCTGAGGCAGGCGGATCACCTGAGGCCAGGATTTTGAGACCAGCCTTGCCAACATGGTGAAACCCCGTCTCTACTAAAAACACAAAAAAATAGCTGGGCATGGTGGCGGGCCCCTGTCATTCCAGCTATTTGGGAGGCTGAGGTGGGAGAATTGCTCAAACCCAGGAGGCGGAGGTTGCGGTGAGCCAAGATGGCATCACTGTGCTCCAGCCTGTACAACAGAGTGAGACTCCATCTCCAAAAAAATATATATATATAATAATAATAAAGTGCACAATTGAAAATTTTTTAGTATATTTACAGTTGTGCAGCCATCACTGTTAATTTCAAAATGTTTTCATCACTTTAAAAATAAACCCATACCTGTTAGCAGTCACTTTCCCTTCTCCCACGTTAGTCCTTGACAACCAGCAGTCTACTCTCTTGCTGTATAGATATATTTGTTCAGGTCATTTCGTAGAAATGAAAGCATGATGACATACGATCTCTTATGTCTCACTCTTTTCATTTAGCATAATATTTTCAAGGTGAATCTGTTTGATATTGTATTCCTTTTTTATTGTGGTAAAAAACACATAACATTTATCTTAATCATTTTTACATATACAGTATAGTAGTGTTAAGTATAAACATCTTGTCGTGCAATAGATTTTTTTTTTTTTTTTTTTTTTTTTGTGGAGACAGTCTTTTTCTGTTACCTAGGCTGGAGTGCAGTGGTGCGATCGTGGCTCCATGTAGCCTTGTCCTCCCACCCCAGCCTCCCAAGTAGCTGGGACTGGTGGTGCACAACACCACACATGGCTAATTTAAAAACAATTTTTGTAGAGATATGTTGCCAAGGCTGGTTTCAAACTCCTGGGCTCAAGTGATCCTCCTGCCTCACTTAGCCTCCCAGTGTTTTGGGATTACAGGCGTGAGCCACTGTGCACAGTCACGTGCAAGAGATCTTTAGAACTTTTTCATCTGGCAGAACTGATACTCTGTACCCATTAAACATCTCTTTTTCTCTTTCCCCTAGCACAGGGATGTCCAGTCTTGGCTTCCCTGGGCCACATTGGAAGAATAATAATTGTTTTGGGCCACACATAAAATACAGTAATGCTAGCAATAGTGGATGAACTTAAAACACACCCAGAAAAACCATAATGTTCTAAGAAAACTTATGAATTTGTGTTGGGCTACATTCAAAGCCATCCTTGGCTGCACGTAGCTCATGGGTCTTGGGTTGGACAAGTTTGTGCTACTGCTTTTGACTACCATTCTGCTTTCTAAGAGTTCGACTACTCTAGATAACCTAATATAAGTGGAATCATTTAGTATTTGTATTATTGTGACTGGCCTATTTTACTTGGTACAGTGTCCTTATTGTTCATTCATGTCATAGCATGTGCCTGTATTCCATTATATTTGTATACCATTTTTTATGTATTCATACTTAGATGGATATTTAGGTTGCTTTTGCATTTTGACTATTGTGAATACTGCTGTAATGAACATGGGTGTGCAAGTATCTCTTCAGCATCCTACTTTCATCCTACTTTATTTTGGGCATATACCCAGCAGTGGAATTGCTAGATCGTATGGTAATACTGTTTTTAATTGTTTTGAGGACCCTTTCATAGCTGCTACATCATTTTACATACTCACCAACGGTGCGCAATGGTTCCAGTTTCTCTGTATTTTTGTTAACACTTTTTATTTTCTGTTTTGTTATAATGGTCATCCTAACAGATAAAAAGCTGATATATCATTGTTTTGATTTTCATTGTCTTGATGATTAGTGACATTGAGTATCTTTTCATATGCTTATTGGTCATTTGTATATCATCTTTGGAGAAATACCTACTCAAGTACTTTTTTCGTTTTTCTTTTTTCTTTTTATTTTTTAATTTTTTGAGACGGAGTTTCACTCTTGTTGCCCAGGCCTAAAGTGCAGTGGTGTGGTCTCCGCTCGCTGCAACCTCCACCTCCCAGGTTCAAGCATTTCTGCCTCAGCCACTCAAGTAGCTGGGATTACAGGCCCCCGCCACCATGCCCAGCTAATTTTTGTAGTTTTAGTAGAGACAAGGTTTCATCATGTTGGCCAGGCTGGTCTCAAACTACTGACCTCAGGTGATCTGCCGCCTTGACCTCCCAAAGTGCTGGGGTTACAGGTGTGAGCCACTGTGCCTGGCCTCCTTTTTAAATTGTTTGTTGTTGTTCAGTTGTAGGCCTTTTAAATTTTTTTTTTTTTAAGACAGAATTTCATTCCGTCACCCTGGCTGGTTGCAGTGAGCTGAGATCGTGCCACTGCACTCCAGCCTGGGCAACAGAGTGAGACTCTGTCTCAAAAAAAAAAAAAAAAAAAAAAACCCAACAAAAAAACCCAATTCTGTTCTTCTATCTAAGCTAATTTCAATTATTATATTAACTGTATGATATGCTAATTATTAACTGTATTTTACATTATACTAATTATTATATTAACTGTGTATTTTTATTTTCTGTGTTCTTGTTGCTCTGGCATTTGATGACCTGGGGAGAGATTGCCCTTTTGAGGGCTAGCTAATTTCTGAAGATAATAACTTGCCTAGGAGCACATCTTTCATATGTAAACCAACCAATCTGAGTATATAGCTGTAACCGTCTCCTTATCTAACTCTCACACACCAAACCAGTATTTCCCCTTTTCTAAATCATTCCAGGGCGAGGTACCAGGCAATTAGAGACAACCTCTGTACCCCAGTGTTTCTTGCAATTATTCAGTCATCCCCACCTTAAACTGTTACTCTGCCCTGTGTTACCTTTTCTGTGGAAACCCCAATGCAGGCTTTGGCTTAGGCTTCCCCTTGTTCCTGTCTTCTACCTCTTGACTATTGTGATGCCTCTGCAGTGGCTCTGCATGGTATGTTATTTTCCTTCTTTTGGGATATATAAGTAATTCATCTTTCAATGGCATTGGCCTTACTCTTTTGTCATTCAGCCATACTTCTATAAATTCATTTTTGGGTATAAATTTATAATACCTGGGAAGAGAGCGAGCTTACATCTCACACCTTTTGTTGTTTCTGCTATTGGAAAATATTTCAAATAATTAAAAAAATTGTCTTGATAAAAATCAAAAATTTTTTTGGCCAGGCACAGCGGCTCATGCCTGTAATCCCAGCACTTTGGGAGGCCGAGGTGGTAGATCACCTGAGGTCAGGAGTTTGAGATGAGCCTGATCAAAATGGAGAAACCCCGTCTCTACTAAAAATACAAAAAATTAGGCATGGTGTGGCGCATGCCTGTAATCCCAGCTACTTGGGAGGCTGAGGCAGGAAAATCACTTGAACCCGGGAGGCAGAGGTTGTGGTGAGCCGAGATCGCACCATTGCATTCTAACCTGGGCAACAAGAGTGAAACTCTGTCTCAAAAAAAAAAAAAAAAAAAAATCAAAATTTGTATCAAAAGTCAGCTGTGGTTAGGAAAGATACCTTTTCTTCTTTTTCATAAAGGTGCATAGTCTTTGATAATGGACTCAGTATTCTGAAAGGCAGCTTTTACTAGTTAGAACACCACCAAGACACACTTAACAGGACAGGACAGGTTAGTTTAGGTAGTCGGGATTTAGAAAGATCCTCTGGCCCCTTTTCTTTTTTCCTCTGCCATGTTGAGTTACCATGTTAGGGAACAGGGCCTGATTCTGTCATTTTCACCTTTTGTTTTGAGATGGAGACTCATTTTTGCCCAGCCTGAAGTGCAAGAGTGTACTTATTAATAGCCCATTGCAGCCTCAAACTATAA
Organism: Homo sapiens; assembly: GCF_000001405.40. Classification (NCBI taxonomy): domain Eukaryota; kingdom Metazoa; phylum Chordata; class Mammalia; order Primates; family Hominidae; genus Homo; species Homo sapiens. Next base: position 47,721,941 of record NC_000003.12, on the reverse strand, counting down.
TGCTCGTGATCTTCCTGCCCTAGCCTCCTGAGTAGCTGGGAGTATAGATGCACACCACCATGCCTAGCTATTTACTTTTATTTTTAAAATTTTTTAAGAGACTGAATCTCACTTTGTTGCCCAGGGTGGTCTTGAACTCCTGGGCTCAAGTGATCTTCCTGCCCCTGCCTCCAAAAGTGCTGGGATTACAGGCATGAACCACCACACCTGGCCCCCTTTCACTTTCTTTTAAGATAGTTAGGTGAGTCATTGTATACTTCAAAAACAGCACAGGTATGAGGGCTTCATGGCTTTATTCAGTGAAAATGAGGCTATATCTTGTTAAAATCTGCACTGGAAAGTAATTTTTACTTGGCTAATTTACTTAGATCTGTTTGTTTGTTTGTTTGTTTGTTTGCTGTGGGCTTTAAGGGGGCTTACTTCAGAACTTCTCTCTTACTATTAGGCGTCCATTTTCTAAGCTAAATTCAGACTACCAAAGAAGCACATGATTACCAGTGCTGAAATGTGGAGGTAATTTAACTGTGATTAGAATACTAAGAATCACTTTATTATATAATTTGCACTTATCTTTGGAAAAAATTTTTGAAAAAAAGTCTACAATATGTAATCACATTGCTTACACTCTTGTTGGGAGGGCTAACAGGTATGAGGCAGTGAAAGAATAGTAAAAATAGTATTTTTGGTAAAAGCTTTGATGTAGCACTTTACAGCTTATAGGACATCAGAAAAAGGGAATCTAGAGGAAGCAGAGTAGTTAGTAAAACTTTCATCAATGAGATGAAGTACGGTTTACATCTTGAAAGATGTGTAATAATTGCTAAGCCTCACAGAAAGAGGGATGAGAGGTTCACCATGGGAAGTGAAACATTAAATAATATGGTGATTATTATTTTGATAGAAGAGAGAGGGGAGGCTGGTGGGTGAATGGGATGGGAGTATTTTACCGCAGTGGATAATTGGTTTTGTCAAGAGTGATGGATAGTAGACCTACAGTTTGGAAAGTCAGAAAGACTGAGAAATTTCCCTTTAATCTGGTAGATAGTACTCAATTTGAAAACTTTTTCTTTCCAAACCAGCAACAGCATGTTCGAAAAATGTTGTTCGTTAGCAAACTAAAACATCTTAGTAAAAATTAAGGCTAAAAATCATAGTTTCTTTATTATTTTGTCAGTTTGAGTAAAGTTGTTTCTTTTTCTCTTCCAGAAGAATGGTTGAGACCGGTGATGAGAAAAGAGAAGCAAGTGTTAGTGCATTGGGGCTTTTACCCAGACAGGTAATGTTCATATGCTGTGAGACCTGGTATAAAGATTTCTGTGAAAGGAAGGCACATTTATTTATAGTTTTATTTTCTGAATAGTGACAATTTGTTGCTTTGTGTTTAGTCATTTTTCTCACTTATGGAGTCTTTTATTGACTGTTTTCTTATTTAAGGTACAAAATTTAATGAGGTCACCATTAAATGGTGAATGAATAAGCCATAAATGGCTTTATTTAGCTTTAAAAAAAACTGATATCAAGGCTGGGCACAGTGGCTCATGCTTGTAATCCCAGCACTTTGGGAGGCTGAGGCAGTGGATCATGAGGTCAGGAGCTCAAGACCAGCCTGGTCAACATAGTGAAACCCCATCTCTACTAAAAATAAAAAAAATTAGCCAGACGTGGTGGCAGGTGCCTGTAATCCCAGCTACTCAGGAAGCTAAGGCAGGAGAATCCCTTGAACCCGGGAGGTGGAGGTTTCAGTGAGCCGAGATTGCGCCGTTTCCCTCCAGCCTGGGCAACGGAGTGAGACTCCGTCTCAAAAAAAACCAAAAACAAAACCTCATATCTTTTATGTAGTTGCCAAAAAAGTCTGTGTGGTATTAGGTTGCTAATTTATATTTGTTTCTTTTAAGAAATGAATTTTGCCGGGCACAGTGGCCCATGCCTGTAATCGCAGCACTTGGAGAGGCCAAGGTGGGTGGATCACATGAGGTCAGGAGTTCAAGACCAGCCTGGCCAACATGGTGAAACTCCATCTCTACTAAAACTATAAAAAGTTAACCAGACATGGTAGCGCACGCCTGTAATCCCAGCTACTCAGGTGTCTGAGGCATGAGAATCACTTGAACCTGGGAAGCGGAGGTTGCAGTGAGCCGAGATCATGGCACTACACTCCATCCTTGGTGACAGAGTCTCACTCTGTCTTCAAAAAATAAATAATTTTTTTTCTAGTGTTTATTACTGATCAGATTTTTTTGAGACAGAGTCCCGCTTTGTCGCCCAGGCTGGATTACAGTGGCACAGTCCCGACTCACTGCAACCTCCACCTCCTGGGTTCAAGTGATTCTCCTGCCTCCATCCTTCCTAGTAGCTGGGATTACAGATGCCCCCCAACCATGCCTGGCTAATTTTTGTATTTTTAGTAGAGACGGGGTTTCACCATGCTGGTCAGGCTGGTCTTGCACTCCTGACCTCAGGTGATCCACCCACCTTGGCTTCTCAAAGTGCTGGGATTACAGGTGTGAGCCACCGCGTCCAGCCTGATCAGTTTGCTTTTTTCAAAAACTACTTATGCGAAACCACTAAGGATGAAATTAATTTATGTTGAAAATTGAGTTTTCTCATCAGAAATTTATTTGCCTAGTACTGTTGTGGCTTTACATGTTATAACCCATACTAGTTTCAGTATCTACAGTATGAATAACGAGTATTATAAACAAGAGCTAGATATTAGTGAAAATAGTGGGGCCGGGCGTGGTGGCTCACACCTGTAATCCCAGTACTTTGGGAGGCCAAGGCGGGCGGATCACGAGGTCAGGAGACTGAGACCATCCTGGCTAACACGGTGAAACCCCCGTCTCTACTAAAAATACAAAAAAATTGGCCGGGCATGGTGGTGGGTGCCTGTAGTCCCAGCTACTTGGGAGGCTGAGGCAGGAGAATGGCATGAACCCCGGGGGCGGAGCTTGCCGTGAGCCGAGATTGCGCCACTGCAGTCCAGCCTGGGTGACAGAGACTCCATCTCAAAAAAAAATTTTTTTTAATTTATTAAATAATTATTTAATATTAATGCCTGCATAGTGCACATGGAAATAGGGATAACATTGTTTGTACTATATTTTTCTAAACCTATAGTAGAGCAGTTTTAGTATTTATTTCATTCTTGTCATGTAAAGTGGAGATTTTCATTGTGTTTTCTACAGGTCTAGTCAGTCTTCTTTCACCTACTTTTTTTATTTTTATTTTTTTATTTTATTTTTTCATAAGTTATTGGGGTACAGTTGATATGTGGTTACATGAGTAAATTCTTTAATGGTGATTTGGTGCACCCATCATCCGAGCAGTATACACTGCACCTTATTTGTAGTCTTTTATCCCTTGCCCCTACCCCCCACTTTTTTTTAACCTCTTCTTCTATCTACTTCTCGTCTTCTCATATTATTTATAGCAAATCCCAAACACCATTTGAATCATAAGTGTTTTAGTATGTATTTAAAAAGAAATACATTCTCTCTTTAATTTTTTTCAGATGGAGTCTTACTCTTTCTCCCAGGCTGGAGTGCAGTGGCGCAACCTCAGCTCCGCCTCCCTGGTTCTAGCGATTCTCATGCCTTAGCCTCCTGAGTAGCTGGGATTATAGGCGCATGCCACCACACCTGGCTAATTTCTGTATTTTTAGTAGAGATGAGATTTTGCCATGTTGGCCAGGCTGGTTTCAAACTCCTGACCTCAGGTGATCCACCCACCTTGGCCTCCCAAAGTGCTGGGATTATAGGTGTGAGCCACCGTGCCTGGCCTTTTTTTTTTTTTTTTTTTTTTTTGAGACAAGGTCTTGCTCTGTTACCCAGGCTGCAGTGCAGTGGCATGAAGACAGCTCAAGTGATCCTCCAACCTCAGCCTCCCTGGGGGCTGGCACTACGGGCACGTGCCACCCATAGGTGCCTTATTTTTTAATTTTTTGTTGGCGGGGGCAGGGGGGGTGCTCTGTATGTTGTTCAGGCTGGTCTCAACCTCCTGGCCTCAAACTGTTCAAAGTAATAATACCATTGTCATCTTAAAAAAACCCAAACAGTTCCTTAATATAAAATATCATGGCTGGGCATGATGGCTCATGCCTGTAATCCCAGCACTTTGGGAGGCTGAGGTGGGTGGATCACTTGAGGCCAGGAGTTCTAGACCACCTTGGGCAACGTGGTGAAACCTTGTCTCTACAAAAAATACAAAAATTAGCCAGTCATGATGACACGTGCCTGTAGTCCCAGATACTTGGGATGGGGCTGAGGCAGGAGGATTACTTGAGCCCCAGAGGTTGAGGCTGCAGTGAGCTGAGACCGTGCCACTGCACTCCAGCCTGGGCAACAGAGTGAGACCCTGTCTCAAAAAAATAAAAATAAAAATCCAGTCAATGTTGTCAATTAAATGACACGATTGATTGATTGATAGTTGTTTGAATTAGAATTTAGATAAAATCTACCTGTTGGGATTAGTTGGTATATTTAAGTACTTTTCTGATTTATAGTTTTATAGGTTCTTCCTCTGTCTTCATGACCTCCCCTTTCTTAAAACCTTACTGGTTTTAAGAAACCAGTTGGTTTGTCATGTTTCGTTTACCACAGTATGGAGTTTTTCAATGGCAGCACTATGGTTTATTTGAACGGATTACTGTGTTCTCTGTATTTCCCTTAAATTGGTAGCCGGATCTAAGGTTAGTCAGATTCCATTTTAATTGGGGAGGAACAAGACTATTGCATATATGTGTATTCTTTATCAGTAAACATAAAACATCAGGTTTTGCATTGTTTTTATTAGTCTATTTAAGTTTATTTTGCTTGTAATTATATTTTTAAAAGAAGGAAGTTTGTCTTTAGATTCATTCAACATTTTAAAAGTATATACAATCTTTTTATGTAGTTCGAGTTAATTACAACTAAATCAAGTCAGCTTTGTAATCAGTCTCATGTGAACCATAATTGACAAATTTAAGTGAATAACTTCCCCTCCCCTAAGGATTAGTTTTTTACTTTTTAAAAATATGTTGCCCAGACTGGCCTCAAATTCCTGGGCTCATGTGATTCTTCTGCCTCCTTACTAACTGGGACTACAAGTACATGTGACTAGGCCCAGCTTATTTTTAAAACATCATTTGAATAAGTTCTTTCTGTAAAGCACTCCCAGTCTAAAGGCTTCAAGTCAGTAGTCCTTGCATCCAAAAACACCTTTTAATATTTCAGCAACTATATAGGAAAAGGTTTGCCCTTTGAAACCCTTCAATGGAAACTTAAATTTATGATGACAAGCTACATAAGTATAGAGTTGGTATAAGTTCCAAAATAACACATTTTAAGACCATAGCCTGTTTGCTCACTTTTTCCTTATGTATCGAATAAGATGTGGCAGCTGGCTCAGGTTTTGTCTTAAGGAGTCTTGTTAATTCACTTTTTAAAAATTAACTATGGCCTGTGCCCTCACTTCTCCCCACATTTCAATTTCTAATCAAGACTGGAAGAGTATAAGGTTGGGTTTTTTTTTTTTTTTTTTTTTTTTGAGATGGAGTCTCACTCTCACCCAGGCTGGAGTGCAGTGGTGCGATCTAAGCTCACTGCAAACTCCACCTCCCAGGTTCATGCGATTCTCCTGCCTCAGCCTCCCAAGTAGCTGAGATTACAGGTGCACACTACAACGCCCCGCTAATTTTTGTATTTTTTAATAGAAACGGGATTTCACCATGTTGGCCAGGCTGGTCTTGAACTCCTTATACTTCAGGTGGTCCACTGCCTTGGCCTCCCAAAGTGCTGGAATTACAGGCGTGAGTCACTGTGCCTGGCCAGGTTCCATATTCTTTTGAACTGACCTCTGAATGGTGACTAAAAGGAAGCTAATACTTGTCATCATACTAGATGTCATTTGGTTTCATAGTTTACTGGTCAGTATAGTGATATTCACAGTGTTTTATTTTGGTTAAAATTTTGTGCCTATTTTATGATTTTGTTGGAGTAGGTGGTCTGATTTATGTCAGTGAGTTCTTGTTGATAAAGAGGCTCCTTGAGCAAAGAGATGTGAAGAAATAAGAGAGTAAGCTATATGGATATCTGGACAGTGAGGGAGCAATCTGTGTAGAGTGTATGCAGGCTTAGTAGGGAATGTTGGAATAATGTTATCAAAGCCTGTGTGGCTCAAATATAACATGAATAAGGACAGAAGAGCAGGAAATGGGGTCAGAGTCTCTGTCAGATAATTAGATCTTGAAGCCATGGCAAGCCATCGTTAGGTTTTTTACTTTCACTCTGATAGGGTGAGAGCAGTTGGAAGTGTTGGATCAGTAGAGTGATGTGGACTGACTTAGTTTTCAAAAAGATCACAATGGCTATGTGAAAAATTAACTCTTTGAGAGACCAAGAGACCAATGGCAGAAGCAGGAAAACCAGTGAGCAGAGTGGAGGGGTAAGAATTAGATAGATTCTAGACATACTTTTGAAGTTAGAGCTGGTCACATTTGCAGTTGGTTTGATTACAGGATGTGCTTGAGAATGGAATCAAGGCTGTTTCCAAGGATTTTGGCGAACAGCAGGAAGGATAAAGTTGTCATTACTGAAATGGAAATGATTGGCTAGAGTACATCGCTGGGGCCAGGGTAGCATTGCAAGTTGAGCTTTGAGTGTTAGGTTTGGAATGCTTGTTAGATGTTCTACACAAGGAGATGTGGAGTTGGCTGTTGGATTTATGAGTTCAGAATACATGGGAGAGTGCTGATATAAAATTTGAAGTCATCAGCGTATATTTGGAGTTATAGGAATGAATGAAATTAGCAAGGGAGAAGGATTTTTCCAAAAACTGAACCCAGGAACTTTTGGAGGTTGAAGACATTTGGGACTAAGACCAGAAACTGACATGGAAACTGAAGAGAGGCTGGTGAATATAAGGACTATCAGGTGATAGTACTTTCTTGGTGGCCAAGTGAGGGAAATGCTTTGAGGAAAGACCAAGCAGCTGTTTAAAATTTTTTGATCTTAGTCTTGAACTTCGGGTTTAGCAATATATACGTTACTGGTGACCTCTACAGAGGAGCTTTCTTGGCAGAATAGTAAGGACAAAAGTGTCTGATAAGTTTCTATTAATAGATTTTAGTAGTATTTCTTTTAGTTTTTTGTTTTGTTTTGTTTTGTTTCGAGATAGGGTATCACTCTGTTGCCTAGACTGAAGTGCAGTGGTGTGATCTCAGTTCACTGCAACCTCTGCCTCCTGGGTTCAAACGATTCTTCCACCTCAGCTTCCTGGGTAGTGGGGACTACAATCACATCCCACCATGCCCGGCTAATTTTTGTATTTTTTGGTAGAGACGCAGTTTCACCATGTTGACCAGGCTGGGATTTTAGTAGTATTTCTAAAACATGTTCTTATTATTTGTAAAAGTCTTTCTAATGAATTACCTTTGACTCTAATTTGTTTTTCTCATTTTGATTCCTTTATAGCTATGATACTTGGGTCCATAGTAATGATGTTGATGCTGAAATTGAAGATCCACCAATTCCAGAAAAACCATGGAAGGTAAATGATTTAACAAAAAAAATCTTACAATAATCTTTTTAAAATTTTTTTTGAGATGGCGTCTCACTCTGTCGCCCAGGCTAGAGTGGAGTGGTGCGATCTTGGCTTACTGCAACCTCCGCCTCCGGGTTCAAGTGATTCTCGTGCGTTAGCCTCCCAAGTAGCTGGGACTATAGGCACACGCCACCACGTTAGGCTAATTTTTGTATTTTTAGTAGAGACGGAGTTTTACTGGATTGGTCAGGCTGGCCTCAGCCTCCCGACCTCGGGTGATCGGCCTGCCTCAGCCTCCCAAAGTGCTGGGATTACAGGTGTAAGCCATCGTGCCTGGCCAAAAAAATTCTTACAATAATCTAATAGCTCTTCTCAGCTGTTTTCTACAGCAGTCTCTCTAAGGAGATACAGAATGTTGGTTTCCCTTTCCTGTCATCCATTTACAAGATACGTACGGCCATGAAGACTTTATTATCTAGGTCTTAGATGAAATGTCTGCAGTGCTTGATGTTTGAGGAGAATCCAAAGGCAGGTCAGATTGTGGTTTGTGAGAGAGGAGTGTGAGGAGTAGAGTTGAACATCACTGATGATGTCATTTGGGTAGCTTGGAAGCAATGCCTGTGTGACTTTTAGAATGATACAGACTTACTTTATTAATCATTTCTACCATAATGTAATAAGAGTCCATACATTGACTTTTAATCAACTTTTGATGTGGAAATAAAGTTTATGGGGCATGGTGGCTCACACCTGTAATAACAACACTTTGGGAGGCTAAGGCAGGAGGATTGCTTGACCAGCCTGAGCTACCAAAAAAAAAAAATTATCTGAGCATAATGTCAAGTGCCCTATAGTCCTAGCTACATACTTGGAAGGCTGAGGCAGGAGGATTGCTTGAGCTGAGGAGGTTGAGGCTGCAGTGAGCCGTGATTGCAACCACTTCACTCCAGCCTTTATAACAAGTTAAGACCCTGTCTCAAAACAAAAAAATTAATTTTACAAGTTGCAAGAGTAGTACAAAACAAAGCACTACTTGGTACCCTTCTTCCAGATTTATCTTTTATTTATTTATTTATTTATTTATTTATTTATTTATTTATTTTGAGACGGAGTCTGGCTCTGTCGCCCAGGCTGGAGTGCAGTGGCGCGATCTCGGCTTACGGCAAGCTCCACCTCCCGGGTTCACACCATTCTACCTCAGCCTTCTGAGTAGCTGGGATTACAGGCGCCCGCCACCAAGCCCGGCTAATTTTTCTTTTTTTAGTAGAGATGGGGTTTCACTGTGTTAGCCAGGATGGTCTCGATCTCCTGACCTTGTGATCTGCCCGCCTGGACCTCCCAAAGTGTTGGGATTACAGGTGTGAGCCATTGCGCCTGGCCCAGATTTTTCTGTTTTTAACTATTTTTGGAAATTAAATGTTGAAATTATACTATCATCTAATAGTAAAGGAGTAAGCCATGTGACTCATGAGCCATGTAATGTTGTGAAGTACTACTGAAGGATTTTTAGACATCTATTTCCCTGTAGATTATAGTATCAGAACTGGGAATGATTACTTAACTATGGTATCACATTATTAGGAAGGAAACTAGGCTCCACAAGTTAAGTAGTTTTACCCAAGGACACATGGACTTTTGTATTATTTTGACATGAAGGTATTTTTTATGAGAGAGATAACAAAGCATAGGACTTGAGAGCTCAGGGAGAACTTAGTGCAAATCCAAGCTTTGCCTCTAATTAGGAGTGTAAATAGTCAGCTTACTAAAACTGTTTGCCCAAGTTTTCTGATTTGGAAAGCCAGAGAGTATAATACCCGCATTATTTCACTGTGCTTAGGAGAGTTAAATGAGATTATACGTGTAAGATGTTCAGCATAGTGCCTGACACAAACAGTTGTTAGCTGTCACATACTCCTCTAACATTCTTTCTCAGGAGATTTCTTTCAAGGATTTCTCAGTAGTTAAAGGATTATCAGTGTGAAAATTCAGCTCTTTTAAAAAAAAAAGGAAGCAATGTATACACATGTTTCTCACACTTTGGAAAACACTATTTTGACATTTATTTTCTAAACTATCAGTTAATTAACCCTTTTATTTAGCACAGTCCTATTTTTTTTTTCTAACTAGCTTAAGCCTCTATTTATATACTCTATTTATTTATTTAGTTAGTTAGTTAGTTATTTATTTTGAGACGGAACTTCATTCTTGTTGCCCAGGCTGGAGTGCAATGGCGTGATCTTGGCTCACTGCAACCTCCGCCTCCTGGGTTCAAGTGATTCTCCTGCCTCAGCCTCCCGAGTAGCTGGGATTACAGGCATGTGCCACCACCTTAACTAATTTTTGTATTTTTAGTAGAAACGGGGTTTCTCCTTGTTGGTCAGGCTGGTCTTGAACTCCCGACCTCAGGTGATCTGCCCGCCTCAGCCTCCCAAAGTGCTGGGATTACAGGCATGAACCACCACGCCCGGCCTATACACTCTATTTATTCTGCTCTATTTATACTGCTCTGTTTATACACTCTTCCCATAATTTGTCCATTTAGGAGTCTTTTCAGGTTACATTATTGGAGGCTTTATTTGTCTTGGACAGGCTGTTAATTTGGTGTTTCTGTATATTACTGTGTAACTATAGTTTTCAAGGGAGAGGAGGCGTGTAGTCAGATGGGTATCATTCTTAACTCAAGGTACTTGAAAGGCATATCCCAAATAACCAGTTTAGTAGCTCTTTGAAAACAGGGAGTTTAGATTGACAAATTACTAGGAAGTTCATATTGTTTTCTAGTCATTGCCACAGTGTATCTTGTTTTTACAGTGTTCTAGAAAGGCTTCATAATTGTAATCTGTTCTTGACTGAACATGTTCATTTCAACCAACACTACTCCAACTTAAACCTCCACCATGACTTGAGTTTTTCTGTACAAGGAAGAATTTTCTAGTGTCAAATTCCAGTTGTGCCCCCATTGAGAAATACTGTTGGATAATATGGAATGTTATATGGGTTAGGCCTGTGGTTTAAGTATCTATCTATATGTATATATACATCTACATTTGTACGTCCACACAACCTTTCATTTTATTCTTACTCAGAAGCATGAAATTAAACAAGGGAGGTGGCCATATAAAGGACTAGGAAGAACCCACCATCTGACTGTCACTTTTCCATTCCTACCTAGAGCACCATGTGTACATGATGGGGCAGGTGATCGGCCTCTGCGAATGTGCTCTGTCATCAACACTTAGAGTGTTGTTGATAAACCCAAAGACATCCTTCGTGCCTAAAGCAATGACTGATTTTGGCTCTGTGCTGTTGAATGTTTTTATCAGTGATTTTCATGAACATAAGGATGAAATGATTAAGCAAAACAAATTTGAGGGACTTTGCTATCAAAATCTGGGTCTAGTATAAATTATTGATGCTTTCTTGTTCTCTTTAATATGGAATAAAAATAGAGATGATTAAATTACAACTCACATATCATTAGTAGTATCACATTATTAATGTTTTATGCATTTGAGGCTTTGAAAATAAATCAGCTTGTTTCCTTCTCAATACTGTAAAACCTTGAGTGATTTTGTTATTTATGTAGATATTGATGCTTTGATATGGTTTTAGGTTCATGTGAAATGGATTTTGGACACTGATATTTTCAATGAATGGATGAATGAGGAGGATTATGAGGTGGATGAAAATAGGAAGCCTGTGAGTTTTCGTCAGCGGATTTCAACCAAGAATGAAGAGGTATTTTCTTTGGCACAGTTTCTCATCATTAAGTCTGTCTTCTTGGCCTAAATGTTATTAAATCTTCATCAGTAAGCTGTCATATACAAACCACTTAGGAACTTTCACATCTGCCTGATGGCTGATGTGCCATCAGGTGAAAATTCCAAAGTGGCTGTAATAGCCATCTCAGAAACAATAACCTCCCAAAAAGTGGTATGAAAATCTTAAAAGGTTATTAAGATTTAAAGTGGCCCATGCAGAAGGGTAGTGGTATAGCTGATTTTGCCCACTAGATCTGAAGTGTAATATCACAGCAGAATTTAATGTAGCTGTTGGTTTTCCTATGCAAAACTCATTTTGTTTAGTATGTATATATATTTTTTGAGACAGAGTCTTGCTCTGTAGCCCAGGCTGGAGTACAGTGGCACTATCTCGGCTCACTGCAACCTCTGCCTCTTGGGTTGAAGCGATTCTCCTGCCTCAAGCCTCCCAAGTAGCTGGGATTATAGGCGCTTGCCACCATACCTGGCTAATTTTTGCATTTTTAGTAGAGACAGGGTTTCTCCATGTTGGCCAGGTTGGTCTCGAACTCCTGACCTCAGGTGATCAGCCTGCCTTGGCCTCTCAAAGTGCTGGGATTACAGGCATGAGCCACCACACCCGACCTGTTTAATATTCTTAAATAACTGTTAATCCACAGATGGTAGTTAGTGTAAAGTATAGGCCTTAAACATGTTAACAGTTATAGTTCAATCCACTTTTCTGAGGGTGGAGGACTTGACATTTTATATCATTTAATCTTTTAAGACGTTCAGTTGCTTAGATATTTACCCATGATTCCTTGTAAGGCACAAGTTGTGGAAGGACAACTTGTGTGGTAGGTGTCACTAGAAGACGACTTGACACTGAGAAGAAGGTGTGTTAGTATTGGGTTTGTGATAGCTTTTAGAGACTTCTGGTTCCTTTTCCTGGGGTGTTGTTTTACTTTTATTTTTTATTTATTTATTTATTTTTTGAGACAGATTCTCACTCTGTTGCCCAGGCTGGAATGCAGTGGCGCGATCTCGGCTCACTGCAACCTCCACCTGCTGGGTTCAAGCTATCCTCCTGCCTCAGCCTCCCAAGTAGTTGGGACTACAGGCACGTGCCACCACATCTGGCTAATTTTTGTATTTTTAGTAGAAACGGGATTTCACCATGTTGGCCAGGCTGGTCTTGAACTCTTAACCTCAGGTGATCTGACTGCCTCGGCCTCTCAAAGTGCTGGGATTACAGGCATGAGCCACCGCGCCTGACCTGTTTTACTTTATTGAAAAATCTTAGAGATGGATATTCTTTGAACCACTGACATGCAGAGTACAGTACTTTCATACCTATTTCAGTGCTGTGACTTTACTATGAAAACCTTACTGTTTTTCACATTAATTTTTTTTTTCCCTTGACAAGGGGTCTCGTTCTATTGCCCAGGCTGGAGTGCAGTGGAATGATCTTGGCTGAATGCAATGTCTGCCTCCTGGGTTCAAGTAATTCTCCTGCCTCAGCTTCCCAAGTACCTGGGATTACAGGCACGTGCCACCACACCTGGCTAATTTTTTTATTTTCAGTAGAGATGGAGTTTCACTATGTTGGCCAGGCTGATCTTGAACTTCTGACCTCAGTTGATCCACCGGCCTTGGCTTCCCAAAATGCTGGGATTACAGGTATGAGCCACTATGCCTTGCCAATTTTTAGGAAAAATATTAGGAAACAAAAATATTAAATGACTGGGCCCAGTGGCTCACACCTGTAATCCCAGCACTTTCGGAGGCCGAGGTAGGAGGATAGTTTGAGCCCAGAAGTTTGAGACCAGCCTGGGCAATGTAGCAAGACCTCGTCTCTTCAACTGATAAAAAATTTAGAGAAAAAAAAGAAAAGAAAAATGTTTTACAGTTGAGTCTTTGTCATACCTTTTTACTTGCAGTTGGTTGTCGTTTGTTTTGGAATTGGACTATTCAAAATTTTTTTTTTCCACCACTGTCTTATGGTGCTGAGGACTCTTCATATTCTCTTATTTTAACCTTTCCAGAAGATATACTTACATATTTGCTTTCCCTGAATATATTTTAATCCAAGGCTTTTTTGTCATTAGGAATATTCCAATTTCTATATTACATTATTTAACTGGCCAGTTCATACCCATTTCTGTTCAGATTTAGTTTGTTTGTTTATTCATTTATTTTTAGGAGGTTATATAGAAATGGATATTTGTTAAAAAATTAAGGGTTGGGCATGGTGGCTAAAGCCTGTAATTCCAGTACTTTGGGAGGCCAGGGTAGGTGGAGTGCTTGAGCCCAGGAGTCCAAGACTAGCCTGGGCAACATGGCAATACGCTGTCTCTGCAAAAAATACAAAAATTAGCTGGGCATGGTGGTGCGCAACTGTAGTCCCAGCTACATGGGAGGCTGAGGTGAGGGGGATCAATTGAGCCCAGGAGGTTAAGGCTTCAGTGATCCGTAATCACTTGAATTTGGGTAGTGGAGGTTGCAGTGAGCTGAGATCGCGCCACTGCACTCCAGCCTGGGTGTCAGAGTGAGACCCTGTCTCAAAAAAAAAAAAAAAAAAAAAAAAAAAAAAAAAAGAAAAAAAATTCAACTTCAGATTTACTGTATCATTCAAAGGTGTATATCCTTTAGATTTTTTTCAAACTGCTATTACATACTCATAAGGTGTTTAAGCTTCTCAGTTTGATGCTATGGAGCTTCTGAATGGAAATACAGTTGTAAGGAATAGGATGGCAACAGAGAAAATTAATGTTTAATTCATGGATTTTTTCATTTTAGCATGAGACAGAATCTCATTCTATCGCCTAGGCTGAAGTGCAGTGTTGCGATCATAGCACACTGTCACCTTGACCTTCGGAGCACAAGCTATCCTCCCGGCTCAGTATTCTGAGTAATTCGGGCCACAGACGCACACCCCTACATCCAGCTAACTTTTTTTTGTTTGTTTTTGTAGAGACAAGGTCTTACTATGTTTCCCAGGCTGGTCTTGAACTTCTGGGCTCAAGCATTCCCCCCGCCTCGGCCTCCCAAAGTGCTGGGATTACAGGTGTGAGCCACCGTGACCAGCCTAATTGATGTTTTAATTTTAGATTATTTACTTATGCCTCTGATGCTTTTACCTAATCTAGTACTGATAATTTAGGTGTTTTTTTCTTTATGATAGTCTATTTTATTAAATTGGTAGTTGCTGTATGCAGGCTTACTTTTGTTTGTTGATCTTAATGTCTTGCAACTTTCCTGAACTTGTTCATTAGGTCTGGAAGCTTTTTTTATGTATAAAATTGTATCATCTGCAAGCCGGGATAGTTTTTACTTATAAAGGTTGACTTTTTTTTTTTTTCCTTCTTTGAGACGGAGTCTTACTCTGTCACCTAGGGTGGAGTGCAGTGACATGATCATGATTCAGTGCAACCTTTGCCTACCGGGTTCAAGCAGTTCTCATGTCTCAGCCTCCTGAGTAGCTGGGAGTACAGGCATGCTCCACCATACCCAGCTAAATTTTTGTATTTTTAGTAGAGATGGGCTTTCCCTGTGTTGGAGAGGTTGGTCTTGAACTCCTTGCCTCAAGTGATCTTCCCGCCTCGGCTTCCCAAAGTGCTGAGATTACAGGCATGAGCCATGGCACCCAGCCTAGACATTGACTTTAAATCATGTTGCCATCTTGCTTAACATTTCTTATGACATGAAGTTATCTTCTGTTTATTTTAGAGATTAAGAATAATTCCTATAATGCTACATTTTCACAGGATCGTTTGGCCTGTCTTTGTATTTTGTCAGTTTAGTAGAGTGTATTTCACATTTTTCCAGTAGTTATTGAAATACAATTCTCACCTCAAAACAGAATGTGAACAGTAGCAGTTTTTAGTTGTGCAGGGTTTCAGCATGTCTGTTATAGCATAGTTTGAATAACTGATAGCCGATATTTCCATTGATGATATATATCACCTGAAAGGTCAGGGAAAGTTTCTTGATTACTGGTGTTCCTGGATGATTAATGATATTCTTTTTATTTGCTCTGAACTAAGGATATGCTGTTGTCTTTGTGTGTGGAGATTCACCTTTTGCCAAGGATTTGTAGAAACTGAGGAGCAAAGATAGCTGATACTTATTTCCATTTACTTCTTCCTAGCCAGTCAGAAGTCCAGAAAGAAGAGATAGAAAAGCATCAGCTAATGCTCGAAAGAGGAAACATTCGCCTTCGCCTCCCCCTCCGACACCAACAGAATCACGGAAGAAGAGTGGGAAGAAAGGGTAAGAACTATTACATGATTCAAAGGGCATTAAAACAGGCCGGACGTGGTGGCTTACACTTATAATCCCAGCACTTTTGGAGGCTGAGGTGGGCAGATCAACTGAGGTCAGTAGTTCAAATCCAGCCTGGCCAACATGGTGAAACCTCGTCTCTACTAAAAATATAAAAATTAGCTGGGCACGGTGGTGCACGCCTGTCATCCCAGCTACTTGGGAGGCTGAGGCTGGAGAATCACTTGGAATTTTTTTTTTTTTTTGTATCTAAGTATGTATTGAGAAGCATGACTGGTAAGAAGTTTAAGACATTATATTCACCATGTTTAGTGTCTCCTTTTCTGATTTTACCACTTGTCCCATTTGTGATCAAATAAGCTCATAGAAGAGATGAATATGTGGCTGCTTGATGTTCTGCAAAGCATGGCAGTACAACGCCTGGTTCAGGGCTACACTTTTGTACTTAGTGAGCTTTGGTTGAATGAGGATTACGATTTCTACTGAATAGATTGTTTTGAGGGTTAAATGAGACTTTAAAGCCTTTGCACATTGCCTGGCTTTAAATACACACTTAATAAATGGTAAATAGTACTTAATAATTAATTGGTATATATTAAGTTACATAATTTCTGGTTTGCCTAGCTTAAAATATTTTCATTATAATTTTTATAGTTTAGACTTGGCAAGACAATTATGGTTTGTAAATTGATTATTTTCATGTGACAGTCAACTTTTTGGATGTTGATTGAAGTGTAAAGATACAATTGACATCTCTCCTGCAGCTTCCTTATATAGACTTTCCTCTCTACCCTAGTTGGCATTTCTGTTCCCAGAACATGCCTTGAATCGTATTATTTCCTGAAGGGTAGTTATGACAACACTCTTACTAATAGAAGTCTTTAGGGACATTTAAAAACCTCTTAGTTTCATATATTATTAAGCAAGTTACACTCATCAAAAAACCTTTAAAAACTTAGTTTTTGAGCCCACACATATTATGACATGAAAATTGAAATTATAAAAATAGATTTTTCGTTAGCTGTTTATGGGGTAACTATTTTTTATAGTTCGTTTTTTTTTTTTTTTTTTTTGAGACGGAGTCTCGCTCTGTTACCAGGCTGGAGTGCAGTGGCACAATCTCAGCTCACTGCAACCTCTGCCTCCCATGTTCAAGCGATTGTCCTGCCTCAGCCTCCCTAGTGGCTGGGACTACAGGCTCGTGCCACCACGCCCAGCTAATTTTTTTTGTATTTTTAGTAGAGACGGGGTTTCACCACGTTGGTCAGGGTGGTCTCAATCTCCTGACCTCGTGATCCACCTGCCTCGGCCTCCCAAAGTGCTGGGATTACAGGCGTGAGCCACTGTGCCTGGCATACATTCCTTTTATATATGTTTAACATTTCATCTTTTTTTTTTTTTTTTTTTGAGACAGGGTCATGAGCCACCGTGCCTGGCCTACATTCTTTTTATATATATTTAACATTTCATCTTTTTTTTTGAGACAGGGTCTTGCTCTGTTGCCCAGACTGGAGCACAGTGGTGCGATCTTGGCCCATTGCAGCCTCCATCTCCTGGGCTCAGGCGATTCTCCTACCTCAGCCTCTGGAGTAGCTGAGACTACAGGTGCGCAATACCCCACCCAGCTAATTTTTGTATTTTTTGTAGAGATAGTGTCTTGTCTTGTTACCCACACTGGTCTCCAACTCCTGGTCTCAAGCAATTCTTCCACCTCGGCCTCCCAACGTGTTGGGATTATTTGCGTGAGCCACCACACCTGGCCTGTTTCTTACATTTCTAATCTGAATATTGTTGTTGCTGTTCAGAGATTTTGGAACTACATGAGATCTTTGCAGGGAGCGCACTGTCAACTATAATGAGATAAAATGGGGTGCCAGGACACCAGTGGTTATTGAACCAAGATGTGATCTCTAGGAGGCATGAGGCTCACAGTGGTGACATATACCCTCTACTCTGAATATAACGCATACCAGATTGAGTTCTCTAAAATATATGTATGCATGTACTTTAATGGAATACATTTGCCTTGTAATGACCACGCCTTTTCTCATTTTACATTTCTCCTTAGAGTTATGTTAAAAATATACTTAGAAAATATTTTGAAATCTGTTTTCCCAACTTTTGTTTCATTCATCTGCACTGTATGTTTTCTTCCCCTTTAAGTATTTTATCTCTCTGCTGCCTTTAGGTTTATAGGCTTTTAAAAAAATCATCATGCAGCACTTGTCTTTCAAGTTGCCTGCTTGGCCCTCTTCCAAGTGTACTCTCCTTCCTTTTGTTTAAAAAATAAATAAATAAAGGCCGGGTGCAGTGGCTCATGCCTGTAATCCCAGCACTTTGGGAGGCCGAGACGGGCGGATCACGAGGTCAGGAGATTGAGACCATGCTGGCTAACACGGTGAAACGCTGTCTCTACTAAAAATACAAAAAAAATTAGCCGGGTGTGGTGGCAGGCGCCTGTAGTCCCAGCTACTCAAGAGGCTGAGGCAGGAGAATGGCATGAACCCAGGAGGCGGAGCTTGCAGTGAGCTGAGATCGCGCCACTGCACTCTAGCCTGGGTGACAGAGGAAGACTCTATCTCAAAAACAAAAACAAAACTCATCATGCGATTTTTATTTGGAAAAAAATTTTCCTTTATGTATCCTATTCAACCTAAGCCAATATGTCATCCCTCAAAGGGAACTTTGAGCATTCGCTCTGCACTGTAGAACTCAGGCTGGCCCAGCATGCTGTTTCAGACAGCTTTTTCTCCATTTCCACTCTCACTTCACAGTGCAGTTTAGATTGCTACCCAGTACTTCCCAAAGCAAGTGTGTTTTTCTTTTCTTATACCTTTTGGCCATTATTCTACATCCTGAAGCATTGTCTTTCTTTATTATTTTATTTATTTATTTTTGCCAGACAAGATCTTGCTCTTTGGCAGAAAAAAAAAATGATAACAAATAAATTAGGGGTTTAAATTAGTATAATAACATCTGCTGAGGAATAAATGAATAAAAATAATAATTAAAACAAGACAGTGCTTCAGGATGCAGAATAAAGGCTGGAGGGCAGTGGTGCAGTCATGTAACCTTAAAACCCTGAGGTCAAGCAGTCCTCCTCAGTGGCTAGGACTACAGGTGCATGCCACCATGCCCGGCTTAGCATTAAAAACTTTTTGGAGGCCGGGCGTGATGGCCCATGCCTGTAATCCTAGCACTTTGGGAGGCTGAGGTGGGCAGATTGCCTGAGCTCAGGAGTTAGAGACCAGCCTGGGCAGCATGGTGAAACCCCGTCTCTACTAAAAATACAAAAAAAAAATTAGCCGGTGCGTGATTGAGCGCCCTTGTAATCCCAGCTACTGGGGAGGCTGAGGCATGAGAATTGCTTGAACCTGGGAAGGAAAAGATTGCAGTGAGCTGAGATAGTGCCACTTCTCTCCAGCCTGGGCAACAGAGCAAGACTGTCTCCTACCCCCGCCCCCACCAAAACAAAAGAAAAGAAAACAAAACTTTTTGGGCCAGGAGCCAGTGGCTCTTGCCTGCAATCCCAGCACTTTGGGAGGCCAAGGTAGGAGGATGGCTTAAGTTTGAGATCACCTGAGGCAACATAGTGAAACCCTGTATCTAGAATAAATTAGAGAAAGAAAAATAGTCTGGGCATGATGGTGTGCACCTATAGTCTCAGCTACTCAGGAGCCTGAGGCAGGAGGATCACTTGAGCTGAGGAGTTCAAGGATGCAGTGACCTGTGATTGCACCACTGCATTCCAGCTTGGACAACAGAGTGAGACCCTGTCTTAAAATTTAAATTTTTTGTTTTTTGGTAGAGATGGGGTCTCGCCCTGTTTCCGAGGCTGGTCTCGAACTCCTGGCCTCGAGCAATTCTTCTGCCTTGCCCTTCCAATGTTCTGGGATTACAGGCATGAGCCACCACACCCAGCCCTTACCTCTTAGTGAATTGTTAAACAATTCTCAAGGTTCAGCTTAACTCTGACCTTCAGTCCTTACAATCTCTCTATGATGTATTTTCTTGGTACTTTTATTCATTTCTCTGCACTGAAATATAATACTTCTATCGTATTTCTCTCTGTATGAATCATGTTATGTGAGGTAAAGATTTCTGTCCTATATCCCTTGTAATCCCTAAAGGTAAAGAATCATCACTGGGGTTTTTTTTTTTTTTTTGAGCCCCCTGACATTTATTAGTTTTAAAATTAATAATGATTTGATTGAATTTTTGGTGCAAGAGCAGTGGAAGATTTTATACAAAAGAATTAGTACTATATTTAGGGATTCTACTTGTAGTTCCTGATATTTGGATGATAAAAGGGCCATTAAAACACAATGGTACGTATCTTTGATCACATATGTGATTGCTTATAATCTTAGAATATATCATATTTCCTTAGCAGTTGTTATTTTATTACACTAATTTAGGTCCCTTTTGTGATACTGCCCGCAATTGTCTAGTAGGATTTTTTGCCCATTTTTTATGCCTGTTAACTTTTATTTTTCTTTTATTGGCTGGTTAGATGTAATTTGGGGGAAGTTATCTAATTTTTTCTTTTTAATGTTTGCCTTTTTTATTTTTAAAAATTCTTTTAGATGGAGTCTCTCTCTGTCACCCAGGCAGGAGTGCACTGGCGCCATCTCAGCTCACTCCAACCTCCACCTTCCGGGTTCAAGCGATTCTCCTACCTCAGTCTGCTGAGCAGATGGGATTACAGGCGCCTGCCACCATGCCCGGCTTATTTTTGTATTTTCAGTAGAGACGGGGATTCGCTATGTTGGTCAGGCTGGTCTCAAACTCCTGACCTTAGTGATCCACCTGCCTCGGCCTCCCAAAGTGCTCTGATTACAGGCATGAACCACCGCGACCGACCTACTGTTTGTCTTTTAAAGTGATCTTGAGCATATGTTCTACAAATAATGAAGGTGTACAACCTCAGAAACTGTTTGCTATCAGTAGCTATAATCAGTCTTGTTTATATTTCATATACTTGTATGTTTTAGCCAAGCTAGCCTTTATGGGAAGCGCAGAAGTCAGAAAGAGGAAGATGAGCAAGAAGATCTAACCAAGGATATGGAAGACCCAACACCTGTACCCAATATAGAAGAAGTAGTACTTCCCAAAAATGGTTTGTATTCTTCTGCATGAGAGTGTTAGATTTAATTTAGTCATTCTCAGCAATACCATGGGATGATTCATTGCTTGCTGTGGGTCCACAGTTCTCGACTTTCAAGTATGAATAGATTGTCCCTTTTATGGATATCTTTTTTTAATTTTCTTTAATCATTTGAGTAGTTTTACTCTTTGTTTATAGAGAAAACTTACAGCGACCAAAAACATCTTTAATTTAGTAATGTTTTAAAATTAATGGTTTTTAAATTGCAACAGAATCACATTCATATGAAAAAGTGGAATACGTACCTATATATAGTTTAACTTATTGAAATCTCTAGGGAATGCTTTATGTGGATGCAAATTTGAAGTTCTCTGGTAATGAATTTCTTCTAAGTGTGATGAACCTTAGTTACCAGTTATGTAAATTCTGGCCTAACTTCTATTCAATGTAATTAAATTCAAAGTGGGCTGGGCATGGTGGCTTATACCTGTAACCCCAGCACTTGGGGAGACCAAAGCAGACAGATCACTTGAGGTTAGGAGTTCAAGACCAGCCTGGCCAATGTGGTGAAACCCCATCTCTACTAAAAATATAGAAATTAGCCAGGCATGGTGGTGCGTGCCTGTAATTCCCGCTACTCCAGAGGCTGAGGCAGAAGAATCACTTGAAGGAGGTTGCAGGAGGCGGAGGTTGCAGTGAGCTGAGATCATACCACTGCACTCCAGCCTGGGCGACAGAGTGAGACTCAGTCTCAAAAACAAAAACAAAAAACAAAAAACAACCCAAAATGTTCTTTATTGATAAGGTATTTTTTATTGACCATTAAATGTTTGTGTCCTCAGTGAGCCAGTGATCACATTTTCAAAAAATAAGCTCTAGCATACTTCGAAAAGTAAAGACCTATGATAGGCATTTTATGATTTATTAGCCTTCTTCACCCATCTTTGTGGGAGCAGCTTGTAAATAAGAGACTATATATATCAGTTGGTGAATTACAGGTCTCATACTAATCATCCAAGTTTATAGAATTTCACTGAAATCTAGAAAGTGGAGATTTAAAATTTGGGGACTAGAAACTAAGTCATTAAAGTTATTGGTAGGTTTTTTTTTTTAATATACTTTATTGAAATGAAATAACAGGAGGAATTAGAACCTTTTCTGGTTATTAGGAGATGAATTACAGTTCTTCAAAACAGCCTAAGATGAAGGATTGTAGTAAATTATATCTCTTTTTTATTTTACTATTCTGTGAGCATGAAAAATAATGAAAAAGTAGAAGAAAAAAATCTAGGATTTAGATTAAGATGTATATGAAGCATATAACCATCTCTCCTGCCCTAAACTTGTACAGTGACAGACAGAAAAGAGTATTAAAAAAAAGCCTAGGAAAACCAGAACATTATTTTTCATTATTGAGAAATTTGTAAAATATAGGAAGCTATCTGGATCTAAAAGTAAGATGAGTTACTAAAACTCAGGAAGTATACGGTTAAAAATAGGAGAAGACTATATGGTTTATATGGCACTAAACAGAGCAATTGATAAGTCTGTATGATTTATCTGGCACTAAACACAGAGCAATTGATAATTAAGATGGGCACTGGGTGTATATATGTATATACATAGATATATACATGTAGGGCAATATACATATGTATATACCTATGTATAGACATATAGAGCAATATACATATGTATAGACATATAGGGCAATATACATATGTATAAGATGGGCACTGGATGTATATATGTATATACATATGTATATACATACAGGGCAGTTAAGAATACTAGGAGAAGCTAGACTCATCAGCGTTGGTCTGTATGTATTTTGCACTCAGCTGATGGTGTGTTGTCTGGTCGAAGGCTAAAGCACTAACGCTGAAGGTGACAAAGATGCAAGGAAAATGTCCCAAGCAGTTCTTGAACTCCAGATGGAGGGATTAAAGGATAAAAAAATAATAAGCAGGAGAATTAGTACTTGTCCTTTTTATTGGTTTTCTGTTTTCTAGTGAATTTATAAATTTAGCATTTGATTTTTCTGAATTTAAGTATAACCAGTTCAAGCCCCTATTCACAGTTGCTTGGATTTTCATTTTCTTAACACTTTTTTTTTGGAGGACAGGTGCTCTTAACTTTTCTTGTGTCCTAAGAAATTTTTTGCCTATATTAGTGTTGCAAATGTGTTTTTCTGTGTTTTCTTGTAGAAAGCTTATGCCTTCTGCTTTTATAGTTAGGTCTGTGACCCAATTTAAAGTTGTTTTTGAGGATGTTATGAATTAAGGGTTGAAGTTAATTTTATTCCCCACATAGGTATTTAGTTGTTTGTATACCATTTGCTGAAAAGACACTACTTCTCACATTGAACTATTTTGCTGCCTTTGTTGAAAATCATCACACATGTCTACATTTAGATTCAGTATTCTATTCTAACCATCTCATTGTACTTAATACCACAGGGCCTGAGTTATTATAGTTTTTTTTTTTAGTAAGTATTGAAATTGAGTAAACTCCTTCAACTTTTGTTCACATTTTTCAATATTGTTTTTGCTATTATAGCTCTTAGGTTTTCCATGTAAGTTTTAGCACCAGCATTTAATGTAATTTTTCCTCTTCTGTGGTTTGTATGTTTTATTAGAGGTCTTTCACATTTTGTTAAATTTATATCTCATTTTTTTTGTTACTGACAGTGTAAATTTTTCCACTTATTTTTTCCTAGTATGTGGAAAGAGAATTAATATTCCTTAATTTTTGGCCGTGTATTCTATTGCTTTTTAAAAAATCATGTATTCTGGCACTTTTTTGTAGATTTCTTAGGATTTTCTATTACACAAACCTCCAATTATATTATACCTCCACTGTAATTTTCAATAGCGGTTTAGAAAGCAGACATTTTTGCTTTTTTCTCTGTCTTCGAAAGAACACATTTATATTTTACCATGGTGTGTGATATCACACAATAGATGTTTCATCAATTTCAGGAAGCTTTCTTCCTGGATTTTTCTGAGTTTTTATGAATGAATGCCAAATTTTGATACCGTTCTTCAGTATCCACTGATGTAATGATATTTCTCCTTTTAATCAGTTAATATTATTTAATTGTAAGATTTTTGTAGTGGTTGAATCAACTTTGCATTCCTGGAATTTACCTCATTTGATGACATTGTATTTTTTTTTTTAATGTGTTGGCTATATTTGATTGTTTAATATACTTTAAAAGGATTATTTTAGTCTGTATTTGTGGAGGATATTTATCTTTTTTTTTTTTTTTTTTTTTTTTTTTTGAGGCGGAGGCTCGCTCTCGCCCAGGCTGGAGTGCAGTGGCGCGATCTCGACTCACTGCACGCTTTACCTCCCAGGTTCACACCGTTCTCCTGCCTCAGCCTCCTGAGTAGCTGGGAATACAGGTGCCCACTACCATGCCTGGCTAATTTTTTTGTATTTTTAGTAGAGACGGGGTTTCACCATGTTAGCCAGGATGGTCTCGATCTCCTGACCTCATGATCCGCCCGCCTTGGCCTCCCAAAGTGCTGGGATTACAGGCGTGAGCCACTGTGCCCGTCCAGATATTGATCTTTAACTTTCTGTTCTTAGCATTTTCTCATCAGGTTTTGCTGTCATGGTTATGCTGGCCTCATAAAATGAGTTTGGAATTTTTTTTTTTTTTTCCCTTAAGAGTCAGGGTCAAGGCCAGGTGCAGTGGCTCACACCTGTAATCCCAGCATTTGGGTAGGCTGAGGCGGGAGGATCACTTGAGGCCAGGAGTTCAAGACTAGCCTGGCCAACAAGTTGAAACCAGAGCTCTACTAAAAATACAAAAATTAGCCTGGCGTGGTGGCGCATACCTGTAGTCCCAGGCTACTCGGGAGGCTGAGGCAAGAGAATCGCTTGAACCCGGGAGGCGGAGGTTGCAGTGAGCCACGATCACGCCAGGGCACTCCAGCCTGGGCGACAGAGCCAGACTCCATCTAAAAAAAAAAAAAAAAAGTCAGGATCTCTCGCTCTTTCGCCCAGGCTGGAGTGCATTGGCAGTCACGTCTTGCTGCTCACTCAAGTGATACTCCCACCTCAGCCTCTCGTTTCAGCTGGGATACAGGTGCTCACCACCACATTTGCTTAATTTTTATTCATTGTAGAGACACGGTCTTGCCATACCGCCCAAGCTGGTCTCAAACTCCTGAGCTCAAGCAATCTACCCTCCTCAGCCTCCCAAATTGCAAGCTACCATGTCTGGCTTATTTTGTAGTTAATTCCTAATTAAAATCTATGGCAGAGCTGGACATGGTGGCCTTTCCCTGTAGTCCTAGCTATTCAGTGAGAGGATTGCTGGAAACCAAGGACATTGAGGCTTCAGTGAGCCATGATTGCATCACTGCACTGCAGCCTGGGCTAAGGAGTGAGACCCCGATTCAAAAAAACCCAAAATCATTCACTGAAAATCTAGTCTTTCGAAATTTATTCACACTTGGCTGGGCGCGGTGGCTCATGCCTGTAATCCCACCACTTTGGGAGGTCAAGGCGGGTGGATCACCTGAGGTCAAGAGTTCAAGACCAGCCTGGACAACATGGAGAAACCCTGTCTCTACTAAAAATACAAAAAAAAATTAGCCGGGTGTGGTGGTGGGTGCCTGTAATCCCAGCTACTCAGGAGGCTGAGGCAGGAGAATCACTTGAACTCGGGAGGCAGAGGTTGCAGTGAGCCGAGATTGCACCGTTGCATTCCAGCCTGGGCGATGAGTGAAGCTCTGTTTCAAAAAAAAAAAAAAATTATTCACACTTGTTTTATTTCACAGCATATAGTCTACTTTGGTGAACCTTTGCTTATACTACTTGAAAAGGACATATGTTGTGCCGTTTTTGAGTCTAGTGTTGTATAAATTTGTTTGTGTTTTGTTTTTTTGTTTTGTTTTGTTTCTGAGACAGAGTCTCGCTCTGTTGCCGAGGTTGGAGTGCAGTGGTGCAATCTCAGCTCACTGCAACCTCAGCCCCCAGGATTCTAGTGATTGTCCTGCCTCAGCCTCCTGAGTAGCTGAGATTATAGGCGCCCGCCACCACGCCTGGCTAATTTTTTTTGTATTTTTAGTAGAGATGGGGTTTTGCCATATTGGCCAGGCTGGTCCCGAACTTCTGATCTCAGGTGATCCACCCGCCTTGGCCTCCCAAAGTGCTAGGATTACAGGCATGAGCCACCTCGCCTGGCCCCCCCCCCCCCTTTTTTTTTTTGAGACAGCGTCTTGCTCAGTCACCCAGGCTGGAGTGCCGTGGCATAATCTCGGCTCACTGCAACCTCCGCCTCTTGAGTTCAAGTGATTCTCATGCCTCAGCCTCCCGAGTAGCTGGGATTACAGGCATGCACCACCACGCCCGGCTGATTTTTTTTGTATTTTTAGTAGAGACGGGGTTTCACCTTGGCCAGGCAGGTCTTGAACTCCTGACCTCAGGTGATCTGCCCACCTCAGCTGCCTAAAGTGCTGGGATTACAGGCGTGAGCCACACTGCGTCCAACTTTTTTTTTTTTTTTTTTTTTGAGACAGAATCTTGCTCTGTTGCCCAGGCTGGAGTGCATTGGCATGATCTCTGCTCACTGCAACCTCCGCCGGGTTCGTGTGATTCTTCTGCTTCAGCCTCCCTAGTAGCTGGGATTACAGGTGCCTTCCACCATGCCCTACTAATTTTTGTATTTTTAGTAGAGACAGGGTTTCACCACGTTGGCCAGGCTGGTCTTGAACTCCTGACCTTAGGTGATCTGCCTGCCTTGTCCTTCCAAAGTTCTGCGATTACAAGCATGAGCCACCGCGCCCGGATGACAAAGTAACTTTTATTCAACCACTACAGGGACAGATGCTGAGGGTGAAGTAGAAAACAGGCATTCAGTTTTCCAGTGTATGATTTTATGCATAATATAGCATTGTTTTAATTGAGATATACTTCACATAACATTAAATTAATTATTGTAAAGTACATACTTGCATTGTCACCCAGACTGGAATAACAGCTATGCGATCATAACTCACTGCAGACTTCACCTCCTAGGCTCAAGCGTTTCTTGTGCCTCAGCATCCCTGGTAGCTAGGACTTACAGGCATGAGCCACTACACCCAGTTATAAGGGCATTAATCCTGTTCTTGAGGGGCCTATCCTCCTGACTTAATTATTTTCCAAAGGCCTTACTTCTAAATACCAGGACACTACAGTTGGGTTTCAACATACGAATTTTGTGAGCACACATTTTTTCCCGTTACTATGTGTTTAGCTCATCAAATATGTTTAGAATCACTGTTACATAATTGAGGTTAAAATGTAAGAAATTTAGCACTTTAAACAGGTTTTTTTTGTAGGGGGAGAAAGTATTTACCATTTAACAAAGGACTAGAATCCTAAAAATGTATAAAGAATCTGAACCCCTTAGACTAAATTACATAGTATTTACCGTTGATTATGTCAGATTGGTAATTTGTTAGAAATAAATACATGGCCAAGAAGTGTGTGAACAGATGGTCAGCCTCACTTAAGAATATGCAAGTTCTTCAAATCACTATTTTCATCTATAAGATTTTCAAAACCTAAAAGGTAGATGGAAAAGTGTGAAAGTTTTGAGGAATGAGTACTATCAAATGCTGTTGATGAAAGTGTAAATTAATGAAGACATTCAATGCAATTTGGCTGTGGTTTTTTGTTGTTGTTGTTTTTGAGACTGAGTCTCGCTCTGTTGTCCAGGCTGGAATGCAGTGGTGCGATCTCAGCTCATTGCAACTTCCACCTCCCGGGTTCAAGTGATTCTCTTGCCTTAGCCTCCCGAGCAGCTGGGATTACACATGCGCACCACCATGCCCAGCTAGTTTTTGTATTTTAGTACAGACAGAATTTCACCATGTTGGCCAAGCTGGTCTAAGACTCCTGACCTCAAGTGATACACCTGCCTCAACCTCCCAAAGTGCTGGGATTACAGGCATGAGCCACCTCACCTGGCCTTGGCTGTGTTTTTAAAATTTTAAAATGTGTACCTCTAGTTGCAGTGTTTTATTTTTAGAGTTTATCTTAAATAATTGCATGCACCCACAAAGATAATTACAAAAGAATGTTTTTGAACAGTGAAATATTCAAAATAAACATGGTTTCCATCAGTGTAGGGCTGGTTAACTTACAGTCCACCTATGGACACAGTGGACTTGTAAAAATGAAAGAAATGTAATGTAATTTAAAGTTCTTACATGGAAAGAAGGTCCGTGCTAAGAACTAAGCACAGTATTGATAACATTTACATAGAGTTAAAAAACTCTCAGGATATATTTTGACATCCATGTGGATGTATAAAAGATATTCGTTTGGCCGGACGCAGTGGCTCATGTCTGTGATCCCGGCATTTTGGGAGGCTGATGCGAATGGATTGCATGAGCTCAGGAGTTCGAGACCAGCCTGGGCAACATGGCAAAACCATGTTTCTATAAAAAATACAAAAATTAACTAGGTGTGGTGGCATGCGCCCATAGTCCCAATTACTTGGGAGCCTGAGATCAAAGGATCGCTTGAGCCTGGGAGGTCAAGGCTGCAGTGAGCCATGATCGCACCACTGCACTCAAGTCTGGGCGACAGACTGAGTCCCTGTCTGAAAACAAACTAAAAAGGTATTAGTTCTTCCTTAATTTTTTTTAAAAGAATGAATGGATTAGAAGTGAGAATCAAAACAAATGCATCATAAACTTTAATAAAAAAAACTTTTGTGGAAGGGATTGAAAGATTGTTTTCATGTTTTGTTGAGTATTTTGTATTGTTTGCTTTTATGATGAAACTATATGGTGCTTGGGTAATGAGAATATAGTCTGTTAAATATTTCATAGCTGGGCTTATGATTTTTACCTGAAAGTGTATTGAATGGTGTTGCAGTTGTAGTGAGATGCATGTCGTTTAATCATGTCCTATTCTGTTTTCTTTCTAAAAAGAAGTACAACTTTTCCCACATAAACATAACTCTTTTTTTTCTTTTTCTAGTGAACCTAAAGAAAGATAGTGAAAATACACCTGTTAAAGGAGGAACTGTAGCGGATCTAGGTAAGCACCTAAAATCTATACACTGGTCTGTGCTTTCTGTCTTGAATATGTCATCTCCTTTGATAGTCTATTCTTCCAAGGTCTTGTTCTGTTGGTCAGGCTGGAGTGCAGTGGTGTAATATAGCTCACCACAGCTTTAAACTTCTGGGCTCCAGCGATTTTCCTACCTTAGTCTTCCAAGTAGTTCGGATTATAGGCACACACCACCATGCCCAGCTTGATACACTCCTTCTTTTCTTTTTTTTTTAAGACGGAATCTCACTCTGTCACCCAGGGCTCACTGCAACCTCTGCCTCCTGGGTTTAAGTGATTCTCCTGTCTCAGCCTCCTGAGTAGCTAGGATTACAGGCTTGCGCCACCACGCCCAGCTAATTTTTGTATTTTTAGTAGAGACGGGGTTTCACCATGTTCAGGCCTGTCTCGAACTCCTGACCTCATGATCCGCCTGTCTCGGCCTCCCAAAGTGCTGGGATTACAGGCGTGAGCCACCGTGACTGGCCGATACTCCTTTCTTAAGTGAGACTTGTGCTTAGCCACTACAGGATATTAGCTGTGGCTTATTCTTAGTGCCATTATGATTTGGTTTGCTACTGTTGTAAGAGAGTTAATTTCCTGTGATCCATTGTTGCCATTCTTAGTGATCTCCCCCTCTTGGAGCATAATATTTTTGTACAAACTAGGGAAGGTGGTAATAATATAATTGAATAAGAATATGAGTTTTAAGGAAATAGTTCTAATTAAAGTACTTTTTCAAATGTCACTGAAAGAATTGTTTTTGTAACAGTATGCAAAATGATACTGTATTGTTAGAACAAAAATCTGTGGAGTGTTAATACTTTGTAAGCCAAATTAAAGTTTCTAAGCAGTATAAAATGAGAATGACATCATCCTTTCCTAGTATTTCCAAGTCTTAGAGTACATTTTCACAAGTAAGGTATAATTCTTGAGTGATTTTGCAGGAGAATAGAAAAGAGTATAATCACTTGTTCTCCTTAAACATTAAATAGGGGTAGTTTTAAACATCTTTGTTCTGGAGAGTTGTAGATGAGACATTAGGCTTGATTTCTTTTCTTCACTTGTAAAGGAGAACCTATTGTTTTCAGTATTTACTAAAATTTTGACTTTACGGAACTTTAAACCTGAAAGGGATTTTCAAGATCTTTTTTAGAAAATGAGATGTCAGTTCTATCTTCTAATTAAGGAATTCTGTATTTGAATAAATTGCAGTCATTATTATTTTTTGAGACGGAGCCTCGGTCTGTTACCCAGGCTGGAGTACAGTGGCACGATCTTGGTTACTGCAACCTCCTCCTCCCGGGTTCAAGCAATTCTCCTGCCTCAGCCCCCTGAGTAGCTGGGACTACAGGCACGTGCCACCACGCCCAGCTAATTTTTGTATTATTAGTAGACATGGGGTTTTACCGGGTTGGCCAGGCTGATCTCAAACTCCTGACCTCAGTTGATCCACCCACCTCAGCCTCCCAAAGTGCTGGGATTACAGGCATGAGCTTTCGGGCCTGGCAATTACAGTTATTATTGATGGCAGATACGAGTGGGTATTTTGGAGAGTGATCCATCAACTGTAAATTTTTGTTCTCAGAGCTGTTGTATTTTGTTTTTTGTTTTGAGACAAAGTCTCGCTCTTGTCACCCAGCCTGGAGTGCAATAGTGTGATCTTGGCTCACTGCAACCTCCACTTCCCAGGTTCAAGCAATTCTCTTACCTCAGCCTCCCAAGTAGCTGGGATTACAGGCGCCTGCCACCACTCCCGGCTAATTTTTGTATTTTTAGTAGAGACACGGTTTCACCATGTTGGCCAGGTTGGTCTTGAAATGCTGACCTCAGGCGACCCACCCACCTCGGCCTCCCAGAGTGCTGGGATTACAGGCGTGAGCCACCATGCCTGACCAGAGCTGTTGTTTTAACTGCTCTATATTCTGCCTTATATGCTACCTCATCAAATATAGGTCTTTCTTTCATTCTTCAGGTCTCTGAAGGAGATTCAGGTGTTTGGTGTGGAGCATATTTTCTCACATCTGAAAGGAGGAAGAGAACATTTATTGAATATTACCATTCAATAATATTAGGGATATTATTAATATTAGGGATCATATATAATTTAATATTATCAGAAGTATCTTCCCATTGAGTACCAAGACTACTTTGGGGAATGAAATTCGTCAGACTAAAAATGTGTAATTTGAGTAATGGGAGAGATTATTAAGTCAAACTAACAGTTTCTAGTAAGAGGTTGGTTATGCTATGGTTTACCATTGTCCAACGGACCAAGTGTTTGTTTTTGGCAGCCTTACCTAGATTTCTTTCTGTTAGTTACTTCCTACATAAAAATAGTCACTATGCAGAGCTGCAGAACTCCTACTGGTAATTAATACCATATTATTTCACATCCAGAATCACCTATTCCTTGTTAGCAAGTATTTGTGACTAACTCACACATTAAGCCACCGTGTCCATCTCTGGGTGGCATGAGTAGTTGTCAGGTCTTGTTCTACATGTGTTTGCACTTCACTATTAAACTGTTTTGTTTTATTGATGAGGAAATGGAGATTTAAAGAGGTTCAGTAACCTCTTTCCAAATATTTTGCAGAACCCCGATTTGGGTCCTGGTCTTACTTTCCTGCCAATGCTTTGTATCACTGCACTTGGCTGTTGTGGTTTGTCTATTTTGCTCAGCCTTTATTCATGTTCATAGTGGCTTTCTGTTTTGTGAAGTTACCAAGCCAATCCAACTGGAGGCCCTTTGATTTGGTTTCTTACTTTTTGTGGAATAATTACCTTGTCTTTCTCATCTCTTAACATTTCAGCTTAAAGGCCACCTTTTCAGAGACACCAGTTTACTTGCTCTGAAGTGTCCACCTACCCACTTCCTCTCTAATATGTTTATGTTTATTCTTTGTATAGCATTTTTCAAAATCTGATAAATTTCTGTTTATTTTTGCTATGTCCCGTACCAGCCACCAAAAGTGTTGGTATTATAGGTGTGAGCGACTGCACCCAACCCTTTTTCTTTTCTTTTCTTTTTTTTAATAAGAGACAAGATCTTGCTCTGTTGCCCAGGCTGGACTTCTACTCCTTGCCTTGAGTGAGTCTCCCACTTCAGTCTCCAGAGTATCTGGGACTGTAGATGTGCACTGCTGCACCCAGCATCCCATGTTCTTTTTGAACTTCATCATGCCTTACCTAGTGCCAGCGGTCACAGTAGTGATAAAAAGCTTAAATATTACAGGCATATAATAATGTAACTTGTTGTTCTTTAATACTACCTCTTTCCTATTCTGTACTGGCAGTTTTACTTTTCATTGTGGAAATCAACTGTCTAGTTTACAAATTTTACCTGGGCTTTCTTTCATGCTAAGCCCTCTATCCTCAGAAGGCATTGTCTTACTAAGATTAGTAAGGGATTGGTTATCACCCGTTTTTTTACTCATCATTCTTTACTCACTTCTTCTGAAACCCAAAATGTTGTTATTTTAGCAAAACTCAGGAGACAAGAATCGTAATCAAGTCCTGTATCTGTTATTAAGATCATGACTATGATATTAGCTCAAGTAGTAATTAATTGTAAATTCCCCACTGTTTGAAATTTTTAATGATCTTTGCTTTGAATTTCTAATTACCTCTGTGCTTCTGTGTAGAATTCTAATTTAGTGAATTATTCAGAGTGATTTTGCTTTAATAATGCACTATTTCATTCCTTTTCTCTGTCCAGTATCAGTTCTTAGACCATTAATTTTCCAAATAACCCAAAGAACATTTACCTGTTTTTAAAATGAATTGTGTGTTTTGGTTTTGCAGATGAGCAGGATGAAGAAACAGTCACAGCAGGAGGAAAGGTAACAATTCAGTTAAGCCTGGTGTGAGAGAGCTTCTCTAAGGGTCCTGTGTACCGAACAGTAGAAGCACTGAATTGGACATAACCCAATTTTTGGACTATGAAGCCCTTCTGGTTTTTGAATTTTTTTTTGTTTTTAGTTTTTCCCCTAAGGAAAACAAATACAATATAAGAACCATTTCTGGAAGGTGTTTTTGTTAGTTTTTTCTTTTGAGACAGGCTGTTGGTTCTCACTGTAACCTTGACCTCCTGGGCTCAGGTGATCCCCCTCCCACCTCAGCCTCCCGAGTAGCTGAGACTACTTGTGTGCACCACTACACCCAACTGATTTTTTTATTTTTTGTAGAGATGGAGTTTTTTATGTTGCCCAGGCTGGTTGCGAACTCCTGGGCTCAAGCAATCTGTCTGCCTCAGCCTCCCAAAGTGATGGCATTACAGGTGTCAGCCACTGCGCTCGGCAAAATACTTGACTTTCTTGGACCCCAAGATTTTACTTAGAGGAAATTTTTGTCCTCCCTGCTAGTGTCCCTCATGTGCTGTAATTTCTAGTTTCATACTCCCCTGGTTGCAAGGTAATATTCAGTGCCGACCACAGTATTTCAGATGTTATCCGACAGTGCAGATGAGCAGGGGCCATGTGTTGTCTTGATTTTTCTCACTGCCATTTCTATTGATGCAGTGTAGACTTTGAATCATACTTTGACCTTTCTTGAGCCTTATTGCGAGCTACTTCCTGCTTTATGAATTCTGCTGTAGCGATACCTCAATCATTATGCTTTTGGAACATGTTAGATTTAAGGTAGGATTTAATTTTTTAAAAATAAACGGCGTCTTGTTTACTCAGGCTATCATGTTTGACTGTGTGATTAACCCCCAATCTTCTTGAAATAATTTCCTTAACTTGCTGAATATAGATTTTTTTTTTCATTTGCAAAGAAATTCCCTAAGATGATCCTTATCATTGTTGTATACATTCAAGGATGAACATATGCATGACAGGATTTCCGGAAAAGTATTTCAAGAAACTCTTTTCTTATGACTCTTCACCTGTATTGTTCTTATGATTAAAAAAAAAAAAAAATCAAAGTTATTTAGTCAAAGAGCCACTTCTTTTTGTTTTGTTTTTTGAGATGGAGTTTCGCTCTTGTTGCCCAGGCTGGAGTGCAATGGCATGATCTAGGCTCACCACAACCTCCGCCTCCCGGGTTCTAGCGATTCTCCTGCCTCAGCCTCCGGAGTAGCTGGGATTACAGGCATGCACCACCACGCCCAGCTAATTTTTGTATTTTTAGTAGAGACAGAGTTTCACCATGTTGGTCAGGCTGGTCTCGAACTCCCGACCTTAGGTGATCCACCTGCCTCGGCCTCCCAAAGTGCTGGGATTACATGTGTGAGCCAACACACCCAGCCAAGAGCCACTTATTAATGAACATTACCTGTGCAAAAATATGTCATTATTTAGAGTAAATAGAGATTGGCACCTATGACGTCAGCATTTTGGAAAGCTGAGATGGGAGGATTGCTTGAGGTTAGGAATTACTATGCTGGCGTGAGCCAAAATCCTGCCACTGTGCTCTAGCCTGGGTGACAGTGCAAGACACTCTTTTTTTAATAAAAAGTGCTGAGTGCAGTGGCTTACGTCTGTAATCCTAGTTCTTTGAGAGGCCCAGGTGGGAGAATCACTTTTAGCCCAGGAGTTCAAAACCAGCCAGCACAACACAAGGATACTCTGCATCAACAAAAACTTAAAAGATTAGCTTGGTGTGGTGGCACCTGCCTATGGTCCCAGCTAAAAAGGAAAGTCAAATTCCTTCGTTTTAATGCCAAAGATAAGAGGATTTGAAGCCATATACCAGTCGTTTATATATCTTAAAAGGATTAGAGGTAGTGTCTCTAAAGCTGTCTCCCACAATGTCATCTTCCTTGTTGTTTTCTGATTGAAGTCATTAAAACTTATACTGTTGGCCTTCATTAATTGCAATGCCAGCCTCTTCCTGTTTTTTCTGAATAAGGGAAATTTTTTGTCTCCTAATGATTTGTAAAGTCTGTAACACAAAAATATATTAACTAAAGCCAAAATAAAAACAGGTGAACATTGAGAATATTTTTTGCTAGCTTCTGTGATTTGGGAAATAAAATTTGTTACCCTTGTCATCGTTAGTATCACATTTGTATTCAATATCATTTAAGTAATAACTAGAGTCCTTGGTGTTTTCATGCTTTAAATTTATTCCTTTTTACTATTCTTATAGAAACTGTTATAGGTAGTAACACTAGATCGTCACTTCAAATACTGTAACAGGAGATTTAGGTTGAATTAAGAAAAAGGTAGAAATTAAATTGTGGAACCATTGTAAAAGAAAACTGATTCAAAATTTGGGTTTTTGCTTATTTTATTTTTTTTTGAGGCAGGGTCTTGCCTAGACTGGAGTGCAGGGCAGTGGTGGAAACACAGCTCACTGTAGTCTTGACCTCCCATGCTCAAGCAATCTTGCTGACTTCAGCCTCTAAAGTAGCTGGGACTACAGGCATGTACCACTATGTCCAGCTAATTTCTAAATTTTTAGTAGAGACAAAGTCTGACTATGTTGCCCAGGCTGGTCCTGATCTTTTGGTCTCAAGTGATCCTCCTGCCTCAGCCTCCCAAGTGTTGGAATTACAGGCATGAGACACCTTGCCCAGCCCATAATTTGGTTTCTTAATAGAAAATAATTTCATTAGGTTACAAATAATAAAATCACCACAGAGAGAAAATTGTAAAACATTTCAATATCAAAAAAAGTATTTAAAATACGTTTAAATGTATGCAATAAAAATGTGTATCAAGTAAACATTTACTTCAGATTAAGTAAAACTGGACAAGGAAGAAGCAAGCTATTATGGAACGAGATCTGGGTTATGAGTTATTTATTTAGTCTGAAGTCCTGTGCATTGAAACAGACTTTCTTCAATCAACTTGTTAATCTTATTATGAGAGACCTACCTTCTCTGCATTGATTCCCTCATCATCATAAATGAGCAACAAAACCTTATCAGCTGGCTACCTTGTACCTTAAATACTGTGAAAGGTTGTTTTTACTTGAAATTTGTTTTTCAAATATCTGATCGAATCGGGGAGCTTCATTTTATTTAACCTAACAACTGAAGTGTAAGAGATGTTATATATATCTCTCTCTGTAGTTCTTTCTTTCTTTGAACTTTGTCTTCTTTTCTATAGGAAGATGAAGATCCTGCCAAAGGTGATCAGAGTCGATCAGTTGACCTTGGGGAAGATAATGTGACAGAGCAGACCAATCACATTATTATTCCTAGTTATGCATCATGGTTTGATTATAACTGGTGAGTGGACCACTTCCATCTGTGAGCATGGTACTGAGCAGTACAAGAACTTTCCTTGAAATCAGGTTGTGCCTTTCTGCCCATGTTCCTTATCAGAAATTACTATCACTTTGGATGAAGGGAGATGGAGAGTGATTTTTATCTTTGGAATGTGTTTGTGTTTTTTGTTTGTTTGTTTGTTTTGTTGTTGTTGAGACAGAGTCTTGCTTTGTCACCCTGGCTAGAATGCAGTGGTATGATCTCGACTCACTGCAACCTCTGCCTCCCGGTTTCAAGTGATTCTCTTGCTTCAGCCTCCTGAGTAGCTGGGATTACAGGTTCCCGCCGCCGTGCCAGGCTAATTTTTGTATTTTTAGTAGAGATGGGTTTCACCATCTTGGCCAGGGTGGTTTTGAACTCCTGACCTCGTGATCCACCTGCTTCAGCCTCCCAAAGTGCTGGGATTACAGGCGTGAGCCACCGCGCCTGGCTCGAATTTTTTTTTTTTTTTTTAAAGAAAAACAATTCAGGGATTGAAACTAGATTTTGTTGTAATTTAGGTTTGTAAAATTTTGTAAGCTTGAATCTAACTCATTTAGAATCAGCTATAATTCAAACAAGCAAATACTTGAGTAGTAGTATAAAATGTTTTAAATTATTATAAAAAGTTTTTAGTTACTTGAAATTAACTCTAGATTAAAAATACTAACTGAAAATTTCCAGAAGTAAACAATTCATAATTTTCCGTTGTGTGTTATTCTGAGTAGTGGGATGAAATCTTGCAGTTTCATGCCAGGAGTATGAATCATCCTTTTTTTTCAATGTAGACACACTGTACATGCTACCCACCTGTTAGTCATTTAGTATCCGTATCAGTTATTAGACTAGCTGTCAAGGGATTTCAGTGCTTCTGTTCAAGGAACCCCTATTTTAGTTAGTGGCCCCAATGCATAGAAGTAGTGATGGTGATAGTTCGGATACGCCAAAGTGAATGTATAAAGCGCTTCCTTTAAGTGAAAAGGTGAATGTTTCCGACTTAAAAAGAATTGTGTGCTGAGCTTGCTAAGATCTATGATAAGAACAAATCTTCTGTTCATGAAATTGTGTATAATAAATTGTTATACTTGTTCTTTTTTATTATTGGTTTTTGTTAATCTAGTCCTGTGTCTAATTTATAAATTAAACTTTGTCATAGGTATGTGTGTGTTTATGTGTATACGTAGGAAAAAACTTAATGGCCCTGTCCACAGTTTCAGGCATCCATTGGGGGTCTTGGAACACAAACTCCACAGATATGAAGGGACTACTTTATATAAAGGAAAAAAATTGCCCAGCATGGTGGCTTATGCCTGTAATCCCAGCACTTTGGGAGGCCGAGGTGGGCAGATCACCTGAGGTCAGCAGTTCAAGAATAGCCTGGCCAACCTGGTGAAACCCCGTCTCTATTAAAAATACAAAAAAATTAGCCAGGCGTGGTGGTGGGTGCCTGTAATCCCATCTACTTGGGAGGTTGAGGCAGGAGAATCGCTTGAACCCAGGAGGCAGAGGTTGCATTGAGCCGAGATCAAGCCATTGTACTCCAGCCTGGGCTACAAGAGCAATACTCTGTCTCCCAAAAAAAAAAAAAAATTACTACCCAATAATAGCTTTATTTTAATAGGAAATATTTTAACATCAGGAGGCTTTTAAAATATAAATCCTGGCATGTAAAAATGTTTAAGAAAACAGACCTCCTTAGCATCGTCTCTGATTTTTACAGCAAGCACTGTGGCATGCTTCGAGCATAGTTGGATGTAACTGGAGTACTGTCTTTTTTTTTTTTTTTTTTTTGAGACGGAGTCTCGCTCTGTCGCCCAGGCTGGACTGCAGTGGCGGGATCTCGGCTCACTGCAAGCTCCGCCTCCCGGGTTCACGCCATTCTCCTGCCTCAGCCTCCCAAGTAGCTGGGACTACAGGCGCCCGCCACTACGCCCGGCTAATTTTTTGTATTTTTAGTAGAGACGGGGTTTCACCGTGGTCTCGATCTCCTGACCTCGTGATCCGCCCGCCTCGGCCTCCCAAAGTGCTGGGATTACAGGCGTGAGCCACCGCGCCCGGCCGAGTACTGTCTTTTTTATTGATTGCTTATGAGATGTGACTATTTAATATTAGAATGATTTTTGTTTGTCTTTTTGTTTGTCTGTGCCTCGACTGTTTTGTTGTTGTTGTTTTTTTAAAAACATAAATACCAGAACTTACCACTCCAAATAGATGTTAGCATCTTTAAGGTACCTTTACAGGAAAGTTGTCTACATTGCTGATGCTGCCATTACTCAAAATCTTGGGTTTTTTTGTTTCTGTTTTTTTGAGACGGAGTCTCAGTCTGTTGCCCAGGCTGGAGTGCAGCGGCGCAATCTCGGCTCACCACCAGGCTGGTCTCGAACTCCTGACCTCAGGTGATCCACCCACCTTGGCCTCCCAAAGTGCTGGGATTACAGGTGTGAGCCACTGCGTCCGGCCAATCTTGGGGTACTTTTTATACCTTTTGCCTGCTCTCAATGATTACCGTGTTATTTTTAAAGGATGAATGTGATTTTTAAAATCCATGTATGTCCAGAAGTCTTTTTGGAGACAATTTAAAAGAATATAGTCAGTGATCCACTTGATATGCCTTATTTTTGTCTGACATCATTCTGTGGCTCAAATATTGAGACTTTCCTGAGTACATTTAAAACCAACTGAATAGGCCGGGCGCGATGGCTCACACCTGCAATCCCAGCACTTTTGGAGGCCAAGGCGGGTGGATCACGAGGTCAGGAGATTGAGACCATCCTGGCTAACACGGTGAAACCCCGTCTCTGCTAAAAATACGAAAAAAAAATGAGCCGGGCGTGGTGGCGGGCGCGTGTATTCCCAGCTACTCAGGAGGCTGAGGCAGGAGAATGGCGTGAACCCGGGAGGTGGAACTTGCAGTAAGCTGAGATCGCGCCACTGCACTCCAGCCTGGGCGACAGAGCGAGACTCCGTCTCAAAACAAAAACAAAAACAAAACAAAAAACGAATGCTATTTCTGGATGTTT
Source organism: Homo sapiens (assembly GCF_000001405.40). Lineage (NCBI taxonomy): Eukaryota > Metazoa > Chordata > Mammalia > Primates > Hominidae > Homo > Homo sapiens. The sequence goes on along the minus strand of NC_000003.12, from coordinate 47,683,010 downwards.
TCAGTAAATACAACCTGGAACAGAATAAGTGCATATCTTTGAACATCAGTCTTCATTACATTTGTTACTCTCTTTAATTATTTTTAAACATTTGGAAGTGTCTCAGTCTTGTTATCTTTGCAATTATGTGTTTAACATTCAGAATTTTTAAACATTCACAATTTTGCTTTTGGCTCACAATAAAATTATGTTTATGTACTTTTAATGTAGCTTTTTGTCAGCTGACACCAATTTTTATATCATAAACAATTATTAATATATGACATACTAAATAGTAAACAGTAAATTACTTTTAAAAAACATATTCTATCTTTATATATTTTTGCTGTTTTAATTATTCCAAAATAGTGAGTTGTTCTGTTAAAATTGACAAACTTTAAAACTCGTTAGTACAATGGCCTAAGAGGACACACATGAGAAACCGGCATTCTTTTTCTCTAAAATTAGATAAAGGGGGCTGGTGCTATGGCTCTTGTCTGTAATCACAGCACTTTGAGAGGCTGAGGCTGGTGGGTCGCTTGAGCCCAAACATAGTGATACCCGTCTCTACAAAAAATTTTTTTAATTAACCAGGCGTGATGGCACATGCCTGTAGTCCCGGCTATCCTGGAGGCTGGGGCAGAAAGATTGCCTGAGCTTAGGAGTTCTAGGTTACAGTGAGCTAGCTATGATCTTGTCACTGAACTCCAGTTGTTGTTTGTTTTTTTTTTTTTTTTGAAACGGAGTCTTGCTCTGTCCCCCAGGCTGGAGTGCAGTGGCGCGATATCGGCTCACTGCAAGCTCCGCCTTCCGGGTTCACGCCATTCTCCCGTCTCAGCCTCCCGAGTAGCTGGGACTACAGGCACCCAACACCATGCCCGGCTAATTTTTTGTAGTTTTAGTAGAGACGGGGTTTCACCATGCTACCCAGGATGAGACCCTGTGTCTTAAAAAAAAAAAGTGTGTGTGTGAATTTCTTTTTAATTAAAAAATAAAATTAGAAAATGGAAAATCATTACAGTAAATAACTATGTAAGATTATAGTTTACAGAAACGTTTTCATTTGCCTGATCATCTTTGCATGTCACACTACATGCAGTTAAATAATAGAAATACTAGTTATGATACAGAATTTTTTTTAAAAGTGGGCCTTTCCTAACCTGTAACAATGAAAACATTAGGAGTTATATTAGAATTATGTAATTAGTTCCTTACGGTTATTCTTTTAAGAGTCATTATATATATTTATATAGCATTAATCCATCTTAGAAATTATCTTTCTAGAAGTTTGCCGGTAATTCATTGTATTTATAGTATTTGACCCTACAAATCCAATTTAATTTAAATGTTACCAAATATTCAAAAAGTGAATAATTTGAATTATATTCCCAGACCATTGATTTGCTCTTTGCCGTGCAACCACTACTTAACATGTTGCATATCTGGAAAGTCACTGAGAAACTAAAATGTCATCAGGAAGAAACACACACTTATATTAGCAGCAGAAACTTTGTGCTAGATATACAGTTTGTTCTTTTTTTACTGTTAGGCCTGATCATTTTACCTGATCTCTGCTTATGACCTGTAACATGTCATAAAATTATTAGCGTTTGCATATATTGTTAAAATGTACTTCTGTGATATTATTAAAAGCAATTGATAGTGAAATTTTTAAAAAAGTAATATATCTCCCCAGCACCTCCACCAAAAATAAAAACTAAAAAGTTATTAATTTATCACAGTGTTTCTGAGGGCTGGACAAAGGCTCATTTATGTTAACAGCCTGAGAAGCTGAGACTAGCAAATTCATTGTCTCTACTCTGGTCATTTGTTTCATCAGTTTGTTGCCATGCCGTGCCAGCTCCTTTGTTTTTGTCACCATTTTTCAAAGAATTCTTCATATCTTATGGCTTCTTATCTAGTTATGTTGTATTATCCCAAAAAATAATAAAATGTATAGTTTTCAGTGTGTCGATAGTAGTTTTTTAGTTTGGTTATGGGAATAGAAAAACTACAGTAAGTACTGGGAGTGAGAAAGAGAAAGCTTTCCTTAACTTTTTTGTATGCTGTTAATACATAGAAACTAGTGTAAGCCAATTAATTTTGGCAAGCAGTACTCAGGTTTTGGATTTATCACTTTTACTTAGAATATTTAATGATTTTATTCTTTTAAAAAGAACACTCCGGCCGGGCGCGGTGGCTCACGCCTGTAATCCCAGCACTTTGGGAGGCCGAGGCGGGCGGATCACGAGGTCAGGAGATCGAGACCATCCCAGCTAAAACAGTGAAACCCCGTCTCTACTAAAAATACAAAAAATTAGCCGGGCGTAGTGGCGGGCGCCTGTAGTCCCAGCTACTTGGGAGGCTGAGGCAGGAGAATGGCGTGAACCCGGGAGGCGGAGCTTGCAGTGAGCCGAGATCCCGCCACTGCACTCCAGCCTGGGCGACAGAGCGAGACTCCGTCTCAAAAAAAAAAAAAAAAAAAAAGAACACTCCTAAATCTTTTTTTCTTCTTCTTTTCAGTATTCATGTGATTGAACGGCGTGCTCTTCCTGAGTTCTTCAATGGAAAAAACAAATCCAAGACTCCAGAAATGTGAGGCCAGTGTTTTAGAAAACTTGTTTATTTGCCTGTGTGCGGTAGGGGCTCTTCAAGCATCCACCTGAGTTCCTTATTGCTGATTCTTGGAAGTTTGCAAATACTCCTTTCAGAACAGTGTTCATATCTCATTTGCATAGCATTCCATGGTACACAGGAAATTGTATCTAGTTTCGTTTTTTGTTTTGGGGGGTTTTTTTTGGTGTTTGTTTGAGACAGGGTCTCACTCTGTTGCCCAGGCTGTTGTGCAGTGTCATGATCTTGGCTCACAGAAATCTCTGCCCCCTGAACTCAAAGGATCCTCCCATCTCTGCCTCTTGAAGTAGCTGGGACTACAGGCACATGTCACCACACTTGGCTGATGTTTATTTATCTATCTATCTGTTTATTTTTTGGTGGAGACGGGGGTTTCACCATGTTGCCTAGAGTATTCTTTTATTTCTAAACCTTGAACTATATGCACATCAACTCTTAGAGTTAAAGTTTGGATTTTAAACCAATTTTTACTATAATGAATTCAGGTCTATCCTCACAACTTTCTTTTTCTTTCTTCCTTTTTTTTTTTTTTTTTTGAGATGGAGTCTCGCTCTGTCACTCAGACTGGAGTGCAGTGTTGCAATCTCAGCTAACTGCAGCCTCTGCCTCCTGGGTTCAAGCTATTCTCCTGCCTCAGCCTCCCACGTAGTTGAGACTACAGGCATGCACCACCACACCTGGCTAATTTTTGTATTTTTAGTAGAGATTGGGTTTCACCATGTTGGCCAGGCTTGTCTCGAACTCCTGACCTCAAGTGATCCACTTGCCTCGGCCTCTCAAAGTGCTAGGATTACAGGCGTGAGCCACCAAGCCCGGCCTGTCCTAACAACTTTCAACTTGTGTGTGAATGTATGTTTTGGATTGTTTCTATTCATCCAGGAGAAAATAGAATCTTTATCTTCCTGATGTGTGACTGCTAATTAAAAGAGAGATATGATGATATAGCTGCATGTGAATGGAGCTTAATTGCATAAAGGATTTTTGTGGTTTTGCATTGGAAATAGAAAAACTCTTATTGGAAGGAAGAAGTTTGGCCGGAAGTACTTTTTGTCTTTCCCTGGTGATTCATCAGTATATACTTCTGGAACCCTTGTCCCTATATATAAGTACATATCTGTCAATACTGTACATACCCTCCCATGTATTAATCAGGGTATTAATCTGTTACTTTTTTTTTTTTTTTTTGAGACAAAGTCATTCCGTCATGCAGGCTGGAGTTCAGTGGTGTGATCTTGGCTGCCTGCATTTTGTTTTCTTTGTGTGCCAAGAACTGTTGCTAGGTCTCAAAGTCCTTAACACTCTTGTTGTTAAGTACTATATTTTGTGACAGAAGTCCTTAGTATCTGCTGTAACAGAATCTCAATTTCTCTCTCCATTTTTGTATGTTCTTTTCTGAATTTGGTCTCATGGATTCTACTTATTGCCCCGCCGTGATCTCCCTTAAAGAACTGCTGTGAGAAATTACATAGCTATTTGCAGAGCCAAATCCACATGACATGTGTGAAATACAGAAGTGATAGGCAGCAGAGGTTGAGAGCATAGATTGAAGAGCTACCACACTGGCAGCATTGAATTCTGGCTCCATCAGTTACCAACCCTGTGGCTAGGACATATTCTCTAACAACTCAGTGTTTGTTTCCTCACCCATAAATGGGATGATAGCAGACCCTACCTGCAATATAGAGCGATTATGAGGATTCAATTGTCAGACATACATTGCTTATAACAGTGCCCTGTACACAGTAAAGTATAGATATGTGGTAGTGAGGCAGATAGCCTATGTAACCACGTGTTAGTTTCCAATTCTGCAGTTAACTACCACCATGACCAAGTTTGAATTTATGTTACTTCACATTAATGTCATTAGATTACTTGTTGTTATACATTAATAAACAGTTGTTTTGCATATTCGTGGTTCTAAATTCACTCATAACTTTAAATGTGCAATATAATATCAATGTTTTTTATGCTCTTGTCTTAATTTGTTGTTGTATTTTTAAGGAATCTGAAGATTTTTGAGTTTCTAAGTAACATTGTTTCTGAGAGGATACATGTCCACCTTATGAATTTTGCCATTGCTTTTTAGATACTTGGCATATCGAAATTTTATGATTGACACGTATCGTCTAAACCCCCAAGAGTATTTAACTAGCACTGCTTGTCGGAGGAACTTGACTGGAGATGTGTGTGCTGTGATGAGGTAAACTGTTTGACTTTTTCTGAGACATTTAACTGTAGGAATTTACTTATGCATGCTGTCTAATGTTTGCTTGATTAAACTGGTTGTTTCAACTGGGTAAAACACCTAATTTTAGTTATGCCATTTAGGGGTTGATTATATTTTGTTTCCTTTCATTTCATTCAATTTAATTATTTTATTTTTATTCTATTTTATTAATTTAATTTTATTGTCAAGATGGGGTTTCACAGTGTTGCCAAGGCTGGTCTCGATCTCCTGGCCTCAAGCGATTCTCCTGCCTCCGCCTCCCGAAGTATTGTGATTGCAGGCATGAGCACTGTGTTCAGCATTAGAGGTTGAAAATTTTAAATATTTAATTTAGGCTGGGTGCAGTGGCTTACACCTGTATTCCCAGCACTTCAAGAAGCCAAGATGGGCGGATCACCTGAGGTCAGGAGTTCGAGCCTGGCCAACATGGCGAAACCCCATCTTTACTAAAAATATAAAAATTAGCCAAGCGTGGTGGCACATGACTGTAATCTTAGCTATTGGGGAGGCTGAGGCAGGAGAACTCAGGAGACAGAGATTGCAGTGAGCTGAGATCGTCCCACTGCATTCCAGCCTGCGCAACAGAGCAAGATTGTGTCTCAAAAAAAAAAACACAAAATAAAATATTTAATTTAGCCTTCTAGATTTTACAGTTCACATTTTAAATTTTTTAGTCAAATCATAAAATAACCAGGGATGGAGTGGATTCAGGTTGGGAGTGGATAAGCTCTGCGCCCTAGCTCTGCCGAAATTAAAAAAAAAAAAAAAACGGCCAGGCATGGTGGCTCACACCTGTAATCCCAGCACTTTGGGAGGCCGAGGTGGGTAGATCACCTGAGGTCAGGAGTTCGAGACCAGTCTGGCCAACATGGCGAAAACCCATTTCTACTAAAAATACAAAAAATTAGCTGCGCATGGTGATGGTCACCTGTAATCCCAGCTACTTGGGAGGCTGAGGCAGGAGAATCTCTTGAACCAAGGATGCGGAGGAGGTTGCAGTGAGCTGAGATCGCACCATTGCACTCCAGCCTTAGAGACAGAGCGAGACTCTGTCACGAAAAATGCGGATTTTTTTAATGTGTGTATTTGGTCTATGTGTGAGTTCTTTTATTACCATGGACCTAAATGCGTATTCGTGCTCTCATTTCTGTGATTGAAATGATTAGGCTTTGTAATAGGTTTGGGGGTGCTGTGTTATCAACATTACTTGTGGCTTGTAGAAATTGTTCGTCACATAACAAAATCTGTCAAGTAGTTTGTGATGTTTGACAGCCTGCTGAGCACATTTACTGGTTTTATTGTTTCTGTTTTTTAATGGCATGATGATGATAGTAAAAGCACATGAAGTTGATTCTTTAGATTTTAACTTTCCGAGCTTTATTCTTTAGGGTCCATGCCTTTTTAGAGCAGTGGGGACTCGTTAATTACCAAGTTGACCCGGAAAGTAGACCCATGGCAATGGGACCTCCTCCTACTCCTCATTTTAATGTATTAGCTGATACCCCCTCTGGGCTTGTGCCTCTGCATCTTCGATCACCTCAGGTAAATTAATGTTGACTTTTCATCAGACCTGGATAGTAACAAATGGCCATTTATAGCATATCTATTTAGAAACAATTATTATTATACTATAATGCTATTATTAGTGCTATTTCTTTGATCCTTGCTTGTGTGTGTATTTTGGTGTACTGTAAATATTACAGTCCAAAAGAATATATAGTGTTTAAGTTAATGCTGTCCCACCAATCCCAAGACCGAATGCCTTACTCTGTCAAATTATTAATTTACTTTTATATGCATAAAAGTAAATTATCCTTCTGTCATCAAAAAGACACTCATAAGTAAGCAGATGATGCAAAATCTTCTTTCCCTTCCTTCAATCTGTGTTCTAGAAATGTGAAGCAAAGAAATCTTTATAACTTGTCCTAAGATTTGTAAAGTGTATATCCATATATACATTATCAAAACAGATTATGTCAAACAAATTATATATAGCATTAAGTTGGATTCACAGGAACCTAAGGTATAAATTTTGTCCCATTGTGAAATAGAAGATAGTAATGAAAATTTGTTATCCTTTCTGGGATTTAAAGGGACACCAAAATGTGACTTATATGTTGAATTTTTGTTAGAAGTATAGTGTAGAAGTGTGGGTATTTATTGTTTTTTGTAGGAAATCCACCAAGAGTGGTTTAAGTGCCAATATTAAACTTTTTTTTTTTTTTTGAGACGGAATCTTGCACTGTTCCCCCGGCTGGAGTGCAGTGGCATGATCTTGGTTCGCTGCAACTTCCACCTCTGGGTTATAAGCAATTCTACTGCCTCAGCCTCCTGAGTAGCTGAGATTATAGGCACGTGCCACCACGCCCGGCTAATTTTTGTATTTTTAGTAGAGACGGGTTTCACCACGTTGGTCAGGCTGGTCTTGAACTCCTGACCTTGTGATCCGCCTGCCTCGGCCTCCCAAAGTGCTGGGATTATAGGTGTGAGCCACGGCGCCTGGCCCAAACAAATTTTTAAAAACATTTACCCTCTTGACTTTAAAGAGGCTAACTCAGCCATTTATCATTTATTTGACTCAGGTTCCTGCTGCTCAACAGATGCTAAATTTTCCTGAGAAAAACAAGGAAAAACCAGTTGATTTGCAGAACTTTGGTCTCCGTACTGACATTTACTCCAAGAAAACATTAGCAAAGGTAATTTTTCTAATCACACATGGGCTGCAATCCAGCACATCTTAGTCCTTCTAAGATACATCTAATGAGCTTTCTACTCAAATCTGATGGTATTTTTAAAAACAATTATGATTTATCTTACCTTTTATATTCCTATATGACTTAGTAGATAGGTATTTTAAAAATAACACTATTAGAGAAATTCGAGGGGAAAATGGAGAATTTGAAGAGAGAATTAGAATCTGTAAAAAGAATCATGAATATTTTAGAACTGAAAAGTATACTTGAAATTATTTGATAGGTTTAATAACGACTGCATACAGCAGAAGACAGGTTAGTGAACTCAGAGACAAATTAGTAGATATATTGAAACTAAAGTACCAAGAGAAAAAATTGGATTGAGGTAGGGAGGGGCCAGGACAAAGAGAGGAGAGTGGAACAGATATGTGAGATAGAGTTCAGGCTGGACACGGTGGCTCACACCTGTAATTTCAGCACTTTGGGAGGCCAAGGCAGGAGGATCACTGGAGCCCCAGAGTTTGAGACCAGCCTGGACAACATAGCAAGACTGTGTCTCTATTATTAAAAGAAGAAAAAGAAAAATGAATGATACAGTCCAAAGAATTAATGTTTATCATTAGAAACCCATAAGAGAATGAATGGAGGAGGAGTGATACTTGAATATATAATGGCTAAAAAGACTTCAGAACAAATAAAAAGATACCAACTCACAAAACAAGAAAGACAGAGCCAGGCCAAGCTCAACACTTTGGGAGGCCAGGGCAGTAGGGTTGTCTGAGGCCAGGAGTTCAAGAGCAGCCTTGCCTCTACTGAAAAACACACACATAAAAAGAACAGATCCAAATTTATATAGAGAGAAGACCACACTCGGGTACATTATGCTTAATTTCTTAAAAACTAACATCTTAAAAGCAGACATGGAGGGTGGGGGCGAGGGTAGAGAAGAACATATTACATTCAAAAGAACAATAATAAAACTGATAGCTGACTTTTCAACAAAAATGATCAAAGCCAAAGGACATTTTTAAATTGGAAAAGAAAAACTATCTATCTGGAATTCTCTATCCAGTAGACATTACTTTCAAAATTGAAGGTGAAATAAAGACGTTTGTAGGCATTCACAATGTACAGAAGTTATCGCTAGCACACAGTATAAGAAAAGTAAAGGAATGTCTTCAGCATGAAGGATAATGATCCCAGATGAAAGCACATGACTCCATGAAGGAATAAGGAGCAGAGAAAAGGGTAATCTGTGTGGTTAAATATAAAGTAATACAGGTTGTTTAAACAATAATATTTGGGATTTATAACGTGTAGAAATTACAAGAATGGCAGAAAGGCAGAAGGAGATTAAATTGAATAAACTGTTACAAAGTTTACATTATTTAGAAACATGACAAAAGTCCTGATTCAGGGTAAACTATAATTTGACACAACAGTTTGGGACCTGACTGGATCTAATGGAAGAATAAAGAGTGATAGAAAAAAGGTCAACATGTGAGTCAGTATAAAAGACATCTTCTGGCCAGGCACAGTGGCTCACACCTGTTTTTGTTAATACAAAATTCAGATCCAAGAAAAACTAACCTATGGTTACAGAAGTCAGACTAGTATATACTTTTGTGAGTGGCTATCAATTGAGTTTTAAAGGAGGGAGCCTTTTGGGTTTTGATTTGAGTATTATTACATTGTCATATAAGTTAAATTGTGTCAAGTTTTATACTAATTTGTGTATTTTATTGTGTATGTATCATACCTCCAGAAATACAAAAGAATTTTTTGTTTTGAGACTGAGTTTGCCCTTTTCTCCCAGGCTGGAGTGAAGTGGCGCGATGTTGGCTCACTGCAACCTCCACCTCCACGGTTCAAGTGATTCTCCTGCCTTAGCCTCCCAAATAGCTGGGATTACAGGCGTGTGCCACCACGCCTGGCTAATTTTTGTATTTTTAGTAGAGACAGGGTTTCTCCATGTTGACTAGGCTGGTCTTTGAACTCCTGACCTTAGGTTATCCACCCACATTGGCCTCCCGGTGTGCTCTGATTACAGGCCTGAGCCACTGGCCTGCCCCCCCCCCACCCTTTTTTTTTTGAGACAGAGTCTCGCTCTGTCGCCCAAGCTGGAGTGCGGTGGCGCAGTCTCCCCTGCAACCTCTGCCTCCCGGGTTCGACCAGTTCTCCTGCCTCAGCCTCCCAAAGTGGTGGGATTACAGGTGTGAGCCACCACACCCGGCTTTTTTTTTATTTTTATTTTTTTAAAGAGAGAACATCTCACTGTGTTGTCCTGGTTTGTCTTGAACTCCTGAGCTCCAGTGATCGACCTTTTTTACCTTCCAGAGTGCTAGGATTACAAGCATGAACCACCATGCTCAGCCTAATACAAGAAAAAAATATTTTAAAATCATATGAAAGCTTCAGCAGTCATTTTGTGGGCTCTAATGAGGCTTATATTGTAGAGCCAATTGTTATCAAGAGAGGAAACGGGCTGGGCATGGTGAAACCCTGTCTCTACTAAAAAAAAAAATACTGAAACTAGCCAGACATGGTGGCGGCTGCCTGTAATTCCAGCTACTCAGGAGGCTGAAGCTCGAGAGTCGCTTGAACCCAGGAGGAAGAGGTTGCAGTGAGCCGAGTTCATGACACTGCACTCCAGCCTGGGTGACAGAGCAAGACTCCATCTAAAAAAGAAGAAGAAGAAGAAGAAACATTGACTTAAGTCTGTGGGGCAGAAAAAATTCTTTCTACACTTTGTGGCTGAGAAGTGGAGAAATGGTTGTTGAGGACCTATCCTATAAATGTCTGTGTCTAGGTTGTAGAGATCTTCCTTATATTTGCTCAGGTTTTGTTTCTTCAGAATTTAGATTAAATGTTAATGAATTTTGTTCTTCTTGGGGCTCCAAATCTGATTGGTGATTACCTCTGATTTTGGTTTTTTAAAAGAACCTTTGGTTATCTTAAAGTAATCCTTGCGGGGCTGGACGCGGTGGCTCACACCTGTAATCTCAGTACTTTGGGAGGCCGAGGCATGCGGATCACGAGGTCAGGAGATCGAGACCATCCTGGCTAACACGGTGAAACCCTGTCTCTACTAAAAATACAAAAAAATTAGCCGGGCGTGTTGGCGGGCGCCTGTAGTCCCAGCGGCTGAGGCAGGAGAATGGTGTGAACCCGGGAGGCGGAGCTTGCGGTGAGCCAAGATCGTGCCACTGCACTCCAGCCTGGGCAACAGAGCGAGACTCCATCTCAAAAAAAGAAAAGAAAAGTAATCCTTGGGGACCTGAGCTGTATATTCTGCGTTATAGATACAGGCATCTTTTCTTTCTCACAAAGCCATACTGTAGGAGTTTAATTCTTAGTTCTGCAATGCTTAGGTCAACTGTTTATTCTTTAGTTCAAAGACTACTTATTTTTGATGCATTATTTTTTTTTGTGCAAGTGAACAGCGTATGTCAGAATGCTATGAATTGAATGCCCCAGAGATGTAGCAAATCAGGGTTTAATTTTGTTGTTGTTTTATTTTTGTTTTTTCTTTCTTCCTTCATACAGAATGTAATTTTTTTCATGCAGTGTGTAGCACTAATGCACTGAGAGTTTTAATTATCTAAACTGAGAAACTTTATTGACATATACAGGAAAATCACAGATTGTAGAAATGTTTATTTATTAAATGGTAATCTCTCAAAATAGAGTTTTGAGAGAGGGAAATATGTTAGAATGTATATTTTGAATTAGTAATGTTTATAGCTGCATGATAGTATCAGCTATACTACAAATCAAGTCCCCTGAAGATGAGTGAATGCAGCAGGGTCTGCAGATAAAGAAGTATGAATTAATCAATTAAATTTTAGTTTTTACACAAGCCAGTCTCACTTCTGTTATACTCACATCGTCACATGAATCATAAACTATAAGGGACTCACATGGAAAAGGTGATTTTGAGTTTAGGGACTCACTTGGAGATTCTTTCATAATTGAGAAATGTTTTAAAATGAGATAATATGGGCTTATTGCAGTTGGAATCAAGAACCTGTCAGTGTTTTACGTGTGTAGTACATCTGATCCTTGAATCGTGGAAGAAGTAGTCTCTTCAAGTTATTACCAAGATGTGTACTATGTTTGTGATATTACAGCTGATTTATGGTATGCAGTAAAACAATATGCCTTTTTAGCTTGCCAAAGATACTGTTAAGTATCAAAATAATAGAAATAACATATCCAAATAGTTATGGGTCCTTGTTTGACAGCAGGAAGTCTTTTTTGGTTTTGGTTTTTGTGTGTGTTTTTTTTTTTTTTTTTTTTTTTTTGAGATAGTCTCGCTCTGTTGCCCAGGCTGGAGTGCAATGGTGCGGTCTTGGCTCACTGCAACCTCTGCCTCCTGGGTTCTCTTGCCTCAGTCACTGGAGCAGCTGGGACTATAGGCATGAACCACCACTCTCGGCTAATTTTTGTATTTTTAGTAGAGATGGGGTTTCACCGTGTTGGCCAGGCTTGTCTAGAACTCCTGACCTCAAGTGATCCACCCACCTTGCCCTCCCAAGGGCTGAGATTACAGGCAGGAGCTACCACGCCTGGCCAGTCTTTGAAATAAGCCAGCATTTCTTATAGAAGTTTAGGCTCCTTAAAGTGTTTTATTCCTGTTAGTCAAAGACTTACCATGATAGTTTGCGTAACACAGTCCCCTGAGCTTGGAAAGGAATTCTACTGAGCTCCATCTTCAGCATTTAAAAATGAGCAAATAATTTCTGATTTTGTTTCCTTAGAGTAAAGGTGCTAGTGCTGGAAGAGAATGGACTGAACAGGAGACCCTTCTACTCCTGGAGGTAAGCAGATTAATGCATATGGGATGTGTGCTAAGATTCTTTGACTAGCATTTTATTTTGTTTTGTTTTATTTAGAGGCAGGGTCTCGCTGTGTCACCCAGGCTGGAGTGCAGTGGCCTGATGGTAGCTCAGTGCAGCCTCTACCTCCCAGGCTCAGGCGATCCTCTTACCTTCAGTCCTGAATAGCTGGGACTAAGGGCGTGTGCCACCATGCCTGGCTAATTTTTGTATTTTTTGTAGCAATGGGCTTTCACCATGTTGTCCAGGCTGGTCTCAAACTCCTGGACTCAAGCAATCCTCCCACCTTGGCCTCCCAAAGTTCTGGCATGAACCACTGTGCCTGGCCTGTGACTAGCATTTTAAACTCACCTATAGTATTCTGTTTTAAAAAGTGTCCACTGGAGCTCAAAACTCAATCACAAATGTGTTTTCCTTTAGAACAGCCATCATGCTTTGATAGTTGATACTTAAATCCTTTTCTGTGTCTCCATGTAGTTAGGTATTGAGATGATTAAATTGATAATTTTTATAGATTCATTGAGGATGTTTAAGTGAAGCTAATTCCTAATCACAAAATAAGTTGTGAATGTGTGACAATTAGAAATAAAGTGACTACTAAGACAATTGGTGTCATTGCCTGGATTTATCCTAAGATGTCGCTGCTCCTTTTGCACCATGAATGCAAATGTCAACATAATGAAAAAGGCAGTAGTGTCTTAGTATTATCAAGGAAATTGTTTGACATCGCAGTCCTCCTAAAAGAGCCTGGTGCCCTCTGGGTTCCCAGACCACATAGAGTGGACTTGGTGACATTTTGGTTGCTGTACTGCTTTGATGGTTTTTCAGGTTGTTCCAATAGTTGTAATTACTGTAGAAGTATCATTGGTGCATCATCAAACTATTTCCATTTCTTTTTTGTATTCCTCTTTTACTTTTTCTTGCTGTTTTCTGGTTCTCCCCCCAACCTTATCTTTCTCTGTTGTGATCAAAATCAAAACAATCCCTTGTTTTGTGTTTTTTTGCCTCTATTTTAATATATTCTCATATGCCCATTCAGTATCAGTGATACGCAGAGAGCTTTGCTGACTCACTTTTTACTTATTTATTTAACTATCTTTCCTATGGTACTGACTGACTCACTTTCAATTTCAGGACTATTTTGTATAGCCATATCTACTAGATTTTAATATTAATTAAAATGAACCGTGTTTTCAGTACTTGTGGGTGACTATAAACACACTTTTGTATTGCTATTTTGGAATCTTTGGGCTCTGGAGAGAAAGTAAGTTGTATAACAATGACTGGAGCAACAGTTGTTCTTTTTCCTGCTGCACATTGATGCTGGAACTTTTCTCCTTTTTCACATTTAAGATTAGTAGGTAGTAAAAGTGAGGTAAGAATGACTGAGCTACTGTTGACACTAAAGACATCCAAGAAAACCACAGTATTACACAACAGTGCATTTTCTCTCCTTCAGGTGGAATCTGTGAAGTGTTTGATTTTTCTTTTAATCTTGCAATTCAGTCAACAGGAATTGTTTGCAATAACACAAAGAGAAATAAAAGACTTCTCCACATCAGTGTTTACCACTAACATCTTCGATTTATATAGTTTATTTAGAGATACTTAATAGCTTAAGAATATGAAGTCAGATGAGTATTTTTAAATGGATTTATAATCAAATATAGTCTCTTTCTAATAAATCGATAAATCTGGTAGACTCATTGGGGTTTGCTGTTTTCAAAATAGCATCGTACCTTTTTTTTTTTTTTAAGACAGGGTTTTTCTCCCTTCCCCCATGCTAGTGTGCAGTAGCGCAGTCTCAGTCCACTGCAGCCTCAATTTCCCGAGCTCAGGCGATCCTCCCAGCTCAGCCTCTCGAGTAGCTGGGACTACAGGTGTGCACCACCATGCCTGGCTAGTTTTTTTGTATTTTTAATAGAGATGGGGTTTCACCATGTTGCTCAGGCTGGCATACTATTTTATTAAACAAATATACCACACAGGCAGCATTCCAAATATTTATCGTATTCTTGAGCACACCCCTTTGATTTTTAAAAGACCTTGTTTCATAAAGTCTTTTATCAAAGCACAGCTTTTGGGTAAATGCTGAAGGTTAATATCTGGTTATGTTCATTTCCTTGTTATCTTATTGTAAATATTGGAGGCAACATTTCAATTTTGGAAATAGTCAAAGTGGAATGTATACGATAGATGAAGGAATGCAGTTTGAAAAAGAAAAATCTTTAATCGGTAGAAATGAAGGATAATGTAAGGTTTTATATTAACGTTTTAAAAAGAAATTACTCTGTAAGATCAAGATGATGATGGCCTGTTTGAATAAGACTTCAGTTGTAAAAAGGTGTGGGGAATTTCTACTTGAAAATATGTCATTAGAATGAGTAGGCCTATAAAGTCTAAAGTTTGAGGTAAAAAAACAAAACAGCACAACAAGAATAAGTAGCTATAAAAGGCCATGACAGTCTTTATGGAAGTTTGAAATTCTGTTGATATAATCAGGGCACCAGAATGAAAGAGAGATAATGGAGCCACTCTATTCCACAGTGACTAAAGAATTTTTTTTCAAGTTAATATATATGTACATGCGTATCTATATATATATGCACATATTTATTTATTTAATATAGAGGCAGGGTTTTGCTATGCTGTCCATGCTGGTCTTGAACTCCTGGTCTCTAGTGATCCTCCTGCCTCAGCCTCCCAGAGTACTTAGATTACAGACGTGAGCCACTGTACTGGGTTCACAGTTTCTTTTTTCTTTGAGAAGGAATCTCACTCTGTCACCAGGCTGGAGTGCAGTGACATGATCTCAGCTCACTGCAACCTCTGCCTCCTGGGTTCACGCAGTTCTTCTGCCTCAGCCTCCCGAGTAGTTGGGACTACAGGCACGCGCCACCATGCCCAGCTAATTTTTGTATTTTCAGAAGACACGGGGTTTCACCATGTTGGCCAGGATGGTCTCGATCTCTTGACCTCGTGATCTGCCCGCCTCAACCTCCCAGAGTGCTGGGATTACAGGCACAAGCCACCGCGCTTGGCCTTCACAATTTCTTTTAAGTCCACAACTGATTGCAGTATTCTTCCTGTTCATTTATAATTATTCTTGGGCTTGAAAGTGACAAGACTTGAATTTGTGAGCTCACTGATTCTCCCGTGATAGCTCTAGTGTTTGTCATGTATGCTTTGCTTTCTCATGCTATTTATTTTCCCTTAGATAATTAATAGACATAAAGGCTATGCCTGCAAAGAAAACTTGTAATTTATTAACATTTATTTATCACTGTAAGAGTTTCTCTCTCTCTCTTTTTTTTTTTTTTTTGAGACGGAGTCTCGCTCTGTCGCCCAGGCTGGAGTGCAGTGGCGTGATCTCGGCTCACTGCAAGCTCCGCCTCCCGGGTTCACACTATTCTCCTGCCTCGGCCTCCCAAGTAGCTGGGACTACAGGTGCCTGCCACCATGCCCGGCTAATTTTTTTGTGTTTTTAGTAGAGACGAGGTTTCACCATGTTAGCCAGGATGGTCTCGATCTCCTGACCTCGTGATCGGCCCACCTCAGCATCCCAAAGTGCTGGGATTACAGGCGTGAGCCACCGTGCCTGGCCCGAGTTTCTCTCATTTTTTATGCCAGCTAAATAATAGGAAACATAGCATTAGAAGATATTCAGTAACCAACATGAAAGATTTCCTCACAGTGTGCATACACTTTACATACTTTTTCTTGATGCAAAACCCAGGAAATATATCATTCTATGTACTTTTGAACTACACTAAGATGCATAGTAAATCTTCTATTAAAAAACTTTTCTTAAGGACAGAGATGTCCAATCTTTGGCTTCCCTGGGCCACATTGGGCCACACATAAAATACACTAACACTAACAATAGCTGATGAGCTTAAAAAAAAATCCCCCCAAAAAATCATAGTGTTTTAAGAAAGTTTATGAATTTGTATGGGCCACATTCAGCGCCATCCTGGGCCACATGTAGGCTGCAGGCCACAGGTTGGACAAGCTTGGTTTAGCTAAGAGAACCTTTTTTTTTTTTTTTTTTAATTAGGAAAACAGTCTGCCTTTTTACATTTGAGAGCCATAGCAAAGTCAGATTTATTTCTTGGTTTAGTTCAGTTTCCTGTGGTTTGAGTTCAGTAAACTTTATTAGGTATTGTGTTTTGGACACTGACAGACACTGCAGGTAGAGATCTGTAGAACACAATCTGTACCTTTAAGGAATTCATAGTCTGCTTAAGTGACAGAGAAAGATAAAACACAAAGCTTGAATGCGGAATTCCCAGCTTTATGATTAGAGGTATGTCCAGAGCACAAGAGCTGTACAGAGGAGTTGCTTTGCAAACAAGCCAGGTAGATAAGACATAATGAACAGGCTTCTGGGAATGGTATAGCTGTGTTGGTCCTAAAACATGATGTTTCCAGTGCAGAACAAATGGTTCATAGGCACAATACCTAGTAGGAATAGATCAGTGGGGCCTGTGTATTGTTGAAACGTGAAGAGTAGGGAATAGGGCGGGAGAAGTAGGCAGTGTCCTGATCATGTTTGGCTTAATTTCATAAGATAATGACACATAATAAAATAGTTTTAGGCAGGAGAGAAAGAGTGTTTTATGTAAAACATATTTCACCCTAGCAGCGTGGAGAAGGATGAAATTACTATAGAAAGGTAATTATAATAATCGATCTATGAGGCTGAGATGGAAGGATTGCTTGAGGCCAGGAATTGGACAGCAGCTTGGGCAACATAGCAAGACCGTGTCTCACAAAAAAAAAAAAAAGAGAGTGAGTGAGTGTATCCAGGTTAAGTAATGATGAAGACCTGAACCTGGGTTATGGCAGGATGAATGAAGCTGTTTTGTAGCATTATAAGATACTTACTAAAAACTTTCATTGAATCATCCTCCTTCCTGGCCAGTGTGTCACCGCATTATTCTCTTTTCAAAACATCACTTTAATTTGCCTCTCTTATTAGCATTATTATCAGTTCCTAGGCTCAGACATTTACAGATTCTCAACTCTGTGCTCTTCTGGATGCTGAGTCTTGCTTGGATTTTGTATCTCAGAAGTTTCCCCAACTCCACCTTTATTCTGGAAAAAAACTTGATGAACTTTCTTATTGTTCCCTGGCGAAAGGAACATGAAAAAATATTTTTTAATTAAAAATTTCATTGGAAAAGGGCATGATAGAGCATGTCTAGAAAATCCCTATTTATAATTAGAAACATAATACAGCCCCAGTAGATATATTTCTACTTCCGTGGACCCGAGTGAGATTTATTTTTCTTTTTTCTTACAATCTGGATCTTTCAAAAAGTAATTCCTTCTCGAACTACCTGAGGTTACTGAATATCCAGAGGAAACCCAGAATTAGCCTAGTTTTTCAAGGGATTTAATGTGTCAGGCCATTTGCTGGCTTGGGTTTTGAGAAGTCCTCTACCATTCCAGCAGAAATGAAAGCCTGAGCAGCAGTTGGAACCCAGAGTTAAGAATTAATTGATGTCCAGGTGCAGTGTTTCACACCTGTAATCTCAGCACTTTGGGAGGCTGAGGCGGGAGGATTCCTTGAGTTCAGAAGTCCGTGACCATCCTGGGCAATACAGTGAGAACATGTCTCTAAAAATTAAGAAAAAAAAATCTTTGAAGTAAAATAATTAACTGAAAAAGTAAACATGGAGACAACTATTGTTATAGAAAGCTCAATCTCACAGTGTAGAGCAGCAAATTAGGCTCTAATGCAAGGTTTTTCAGTTGGAGCATTCAATATTGACATTTGGGCCAGATTTTTTTGTTGTTGGGGTGGAGGGTTCATATATGTTTTACAGCATACATGGCCCCTCCTTGCTGTTAGATACCAGCAGCACTTCTCCAGTTGGGTCAACCAAAAATGTCTGCAGACATTGCCAGTGTCCTCAAGGGGGCAAAAATTACCCTTCATTGAGAACCATGGTCCTGGAGAGAATGGTGTGAGAGTAGCAACTTCAGTATGCCACTAAATAAATTCTTTTTATCCAATTAATTCCTCAACATTCTTAGCACCACATAGTTGTGGTTTTCTTTCTACTGTTCTATCCGTTTTTCCCTCGGAGACTCCTTTTACTCTTTTTGTTGGTTTCTTTCAGGATTTTCTCTGAAAAAATAATAAATTATAAAACTAGAAATGTATGTAGTTTATAAATTTTAGAATCAGTTTATCAATTTCTACTAAAAAGAAGCCTACTTGGAGTTTGACTGGAATTGTATTGAATCTGTAGTTCAACTTGGAAAGAACTGACATCTTAATACTGAGACTTCTAATGAATGAACACAATATATCTCTTCCTTTATTTGGGTCTTTGAGTTCTCTCATGTTTTACTCATTCTAGTCTGTTGCTCTTATACATTCTTTATTATGTTTATTCCTCCTAAGTATCTCATTATGCTATTTAAGACAGGGTCTTTTTTTTTTTTTTTTTAGAGTTTATTAAGCAGGGGAGTGGAGGGGAGATGTGGCACAAATAGAAGTATGTAACATTCAAACAACAGAAACTAGGATTTTTGAAAAAACTTTCAGTTACAGTTACGCAAAGGGTCACTTCCTCCCCCAACGACGCATGGGCCTCTCAAAGGAGAGGAGGGAGTAAGTCCCATGGTAGGGCCAGTGCTTGCTCCTGGGTTTTGGAATCATTTCTGCGGAGCTTTCAAAGCCAGACCCTGGGCTCAGGGTTGAGACTTCATAGCGGTGACAGCTAGACCCAGCAAGATGGCTGTGACCGTGAAACCCTGGGCGGCGATCCAGGTGCACATCATGAGCTGAGAGCGCTGGCTGTTGCCCCGGTGGAAGGAATAGAGGCTGTAGGTGAGGGCGGCCGCCGTGGCCAGGCAACCTATGGGTACCACCGGGTTCTCGTGGGTCTTGTGAAGGAACTTTTCCTTGAAACTCTCTGGATTCCTGTAAACAGTGGGGCTAAGCCCCTCAATGACTGGGGGCTTCGATGGTTCAAAGGGGACCTCTGGAATCACAGGGCCGGAGTCGCCATGTCTGGGCCACAGCAGCAGGAGAAAATCGCGACCTAAGACAGGGTCTTGCTGTGTTTGTCAGGCTGGCCTTGAACCCCTGGGCTCAAGAGATCCTCTCGCCTCAGCCCCCTGAGTAGCTGGGAGTACAGATGTGTGCCACTACACCCAGCTTTTATGTTATTTTAAATACTTTTTTCTTCCTATTTAAAATTGTTCATTGCTATTATGTATGGAAATATAGTTCAGTTTCTCTATTGCCCTTCTATCCTGTGACTTTGCTCAGCTATTCAGTTTTAGTACTTTTTTTTATAGCTTCCTTAGAATTTTCTACATAAACAGTCATGTCTGTATGTATTAGTAAAAAAGCCCTTCCTTCCTTCCTTCCTTCCTTCCTTCCTTCCTTCCTTCCTTCCTTCCTTCCTCCCCTCCCCTCCCCACCCCTCCCCTCCCCTCTCCCCTCCTCTCCCCTACCCTCCCTTCCCTCCTTTCCTTCCTCCCTCCCTCCCTCCCTTCCTTCCCTCCCTCCCTCCCTCCCTCTTTTCTTTTGTTTCTTCTTTTCTTTCTTTCTATCACTCTTGCCGCCTAGGCTGGAATGCAGTGGCACAATCTCGGCTCACTGCAACTTCTGCCTCCCAGGTTCAAGCGATTCTGGTGCCTCAGTCTCCTGAGTAGCTGGGATTACAGGCACGCACCACCATGCCCAGCTAATTTTTGTATTTTTAGTAGAGATGGGGTTTCACCATGTTATTGGCCAGGCTGCTCTCGAACTCCTGACCTCAGGTGATCTGCCCACCTCTGCCTCCCAAAGTGCTGAGATTATACGCGTGAGCCACCGTGCCTGGACTACTTTCTTTACAGTATGCATGTCTTTTATTTATTTTACTTGCCTGATTGAAAATAATCTAAGGAAACCATCAAATCTTTCTATTTATGCATAAATATTTGCATTAATTTTTTTTAAAAAAGCTATCTAAAGAACTTCTAATATTACACATTACTTTCTTGTTACCTGACATGAAAGCATCTGTTTTTTCTGTCTTAGGCCCTGGAGATGTACAAGGATGATTGGAACAAAGTGTCGGAACATGTTGGAAGTCGTACTCAGGATGAATGCATCCTCCACTTTTTGAGACTTCCCATTGAGGACCCATACCTTGAGAATTCAGATGCTTCCCTTGGGCCTTTGGCCTACCAGCCTGTCCCCTTCAGTCAGTCAGGAAATCCAGTTATGAGTACTGTTGCTTTTTTGGCATCTGTGGTGGACCCTCGCGTGGCATCTGCTGCAGCAAAAGCGGCTTTGGGTATGGACTTCCCTAAACCATCTCCTCAACAGAAAAACTCAGTTTATCCCAATTTAAATATTACCAGCCGTTACATTCATTTCTTTTAATGTAAATAACAAAAATCAGATATTACCTGTGAAAGATACCATATTCTTTATAAAAGTATTACAATATTTGGCTGGACACCAAATTAGCTGGGTGTGGTGGCACATGCCTATAGTCCCAGCTACTTGGGAGGCTGAGGCAGGAGAATCGCTTGAACCCAGGAGGCAGAGGTTGCAGTGAGCCGAGATCGTGCCACTGCACTCCATCCCCTGGGCAATAGAGCAAGACTCCGTCTCAAAAAAAAAAAAAAAGTATTACAAAATTTTTAAGTAATGCACCTTAAAATTAAGAGCTTTAGGAATTGGAGGGACAGAGGTTTTTTATTGTGTATTTTGTGATTAATTTAGAATTTGGTGTAACTAGCAAAGGAAGTCATTTAATATTCATGGGTTACACATTAATTGTAACTAGAACTTTGTCACATCATAGAACTCTTTCTTGGTTTTATGGATGTTTAATCCTTGCTGTTTTTGTTTTTTTGACTTATTAATCTAGTAAGCAGTTAAAATATGGACAGCAGTTTTGATTATTACTGGCATAAGTTGAAAGATCTCTTATTTCAAGGCTCTGTGATGTGTAGGAGAAAATGTAGAACCATAGAATTTCATTATTATTACTATTTTTTGTCTCATTTAGTCCTCTCATTTTTCTGGTATAGAGGGACTGAGAGCCTGAAGAGGTTGCTACACCTAAGACAATAATACTGTGTTGGGTTTCCTGGTGGTGGTTTTACACTGAAGCAAATTTTTGTGCAAAGTTAGATTGCTGTTCCATTTTTATTCTTGAACCAGAGGAGTTTTCTCGGGTCCGGGAGGAGGTACCACTGGAATTGGTTGAAGCTCATGTCAAGAAAGTACAAGAAGCAGCACGAGCCTCTGGGAAAGTGGATCCCACCTACGGTCTGGAGAGCAGCTGCATTGCAGGCACAGGGCCCGATGAGCCAGAGAAGCTTGGTGAGTCACTGCTGCTTTTAAGGGACAGGGTTAATATATGTTTGTATTCCTGTCAGTTTACTCAAATAATTGGGTTTACTTGCACTAAAAAGTGAGTACAATGATCAGTATAAACTTGTCTTTTAAGATTAGTACATGATTTTTTTTCTCTTGTCTGTTTCTTTTGGTAGCTAGAACTAAAAAATTATCTTGTAACTGTTAATGGTATTACAGTTGTGAATTATCTGGTTGCTGTTTGTAGATCCAGGTTTTGAATAGACAGATACAAGAATACTGAAAGATGCATGGAACTGTAGGTGAAAAAAAGAATATTGAAAGGACTTATGATTATGTTAATTTATATGTTGCTGAGTGGGTTTAAATTCATTGTTTTGGGGGTTTTTTTAGCTGAGGAAAAATTCCTGTAACATAAAATTCCTCATTTTAACTGCTTAAAAGTATATAACCTAGTAGCTTCTGCTATATTTACAATGCTGTGTGTCTATCACCACTATCTAATTCCAGAACATTTTCCTCATCCCAATAGGAAGTCACATACTTATTAAGTGGTCACTCCCCATTCCTTTTGCTCTTCAGCTGTGGTACCCACTAACAATCTGCTTTCTGTCTCTATGGGTTTGCCTATTCTGGACATTTAATATAAACAGAATCATATAATATGTGGCCTTTGTGTCTGCTTCTTTGACTTAGCATAATGTTTTCAAGGTTCTTCCATGCTGTAGCATGCATCAGTATCTCATTCTTGTCAGTGCTGATTATTTCTTTGTGTGGATATACCCAATTATATTTATTTGTCAGTTCATGGACATTTTTATTGTTTCCACTTTTTTTTTTTTTTTTTTTTTTTTTAGACAGAGTCTTGCTCTGTCGCCCAGGCTGGAGTGCAGTGGCGCGATCTCAGCTCACTGCAAGCTCTGCCTCCCTGGTTCACGCCATTTTCCTGCTTCAGCCTCCCGAGTAGCTGGGACTACAGGCGCCTGCCACCACGCCCAGCTAATTTTTTGTATTTTTAGTAGAGACAGGGTTTCACCATGTTGGCCAGGATGGTCTCGATCTCCTGACCTCGTGATCTGCCCGCCTCGGCCTCCCAAAGTGCTGGGATTATAAGCATGAGCCACCGCACCTGGCCTATTGTTTCCACTTTTATACTACTATGAAAAATGCTGCTATGAGTACTTATATACAAGCTTTTTTGTGAACTAAGGATTTTCACTTCTTTTGGTTGGGTGTATACCTAGGGGTAGAATTGCTGAGTTATATGGTAATTTTGTTTACCTTTTTGAGAAACTGCCAGCCTGTTTTTCATAGTGGCTATACCATTTTATGTTCTTACCCGTAATGTATAACATTTCTAAGTTTTTCATGTCCTTGTCAATACTTATTTTCCATTTTTACCTGTAATAGCCAATCTAGTGGTTTGATGTTGGGGTTTGTATTTGCATTGATGACTAATCATCTTGAATATCATGTGTTTATTGGCCATTTTTATGTCTGCCTTGGGAAATACCTACTCAGATTCTTGCCCCCCCCCCCTTTTTTTTTTCTTAGTAGACTTTATGTCTTAGAGCAGTTTTAGGTTCATAGCAAAATTCAGTAGACATTACAGAGTTTCTGTATACTGCCTGACTACCCCTACATGCACAGTTTTCCCCACGATCAATACCAGGGTGGTACATTTGTTATAGTTGA
Organism: Homo sapiens; assembly: GCF_000001405.40. Taxonomy (NCBI): domain Eukaryota; kingdom Metazoa; phylum Chordata; class Mammalia; order Primates; family Hominidae; genus Homo; species Homo sapiens. The sequence continues at coordinate 47,659,604 of NC_000003.12, read as the reverse complement.
TAAACCTACTTTAACACATCATCATCAACCACAGTCCAAAGTTTTAGTTTATTCTGTAATTGATTCTCACATGTTGAACCACCCTCCCTTTTTGTTTTTTGGTTTTTATTTTGATAAATCCGACATGGCCTTTGTAAATAATCCATTTAACATGCTATCAGATTTGGTTTGCTAGTCTTTTGTTGAAGATTTTTGCATCTGTATTCATATATTGTTTATAGTTTTCTTTTCCTATGATATCTTTATCTAGTTTTGGTATTACGGTAATAACCAGCCTCAAAGAATAAGTTAGGAATTGTTCTTTTTTTTTTCTTTTTTTTTTATTTTTTATTTATTTATTTTTATTTTTAGAAAAGTTTGAGGAGCATTGGAGTTAATTCTTTAAGTGTTTGGTAATATTCACTGGTAAAGCCATCGTGTCCTGGACTTTTCTTACTTTCTTGATTACTGATTCTGTCTCTCTCTCTCATTTTTTTTTTTTTTTTTTGAGACAGAGTCTCACTCTGTCACCCAGGCTGGAGTGCAATGGTGTGGTCTCAGCTCACTGCAGCCTCCGCCTCCTGGGTTCAAGCAATTCTCCCTGCTCAGCCCCTGGAGTAGCTGGGACTACAGGCTTGTGCCACAACACCCGGCTAATTTTTGTGTTTTTAGTAGAGATGGGGTTTCACTGTGTTGGCCAGGTTGGTCTCGAACTCCTGACCTTGTGATCCACCCGCCTCGGTCTGCCAAAGTGTTGGGATTACAGGTGTAAGCCACCGTGCCTAGCCCTCATTCTGTCTCTTGTTATAATTCTACCAAGATTTAAACATTTCTTAATGAGTCAGTTTTGGTAGTTTGTGTCTTATAGGAATTTATTCGTTTCATGTAGATTATCTAATTTGTTGGCAAAAAATTTATAACAACAAAAAGGGGAAACAACTGGAATGTCCATCATCTGATATGTGATAAGCAAAATGTGGTATATCCATACAATGGAATATTACTTGGCTGTAAAAAGGAATGAAGTGTTTACATTTGCCACATGATGGATGAATTTTGAAACATTTGGTAAGTGAAAAGCCAGTGAAAATAGCCAATATATTATATGATTGCATTTATAAGAAATGTCCTGAAGAGGGAAATCTATAAAAACAAAGTAGATTAATGGTTGCTCTGCATAAGCGGAATGGAGGATTGGGGGTTGATAGCAAAAGGATATCTCTTTGAAGTAACGAAAATGTTTTAAGTTTTACCATGGGGATGGTTGCACGTATCTGTTGATATACTTAATTTAATTGACTTGTACTCCTTCAATGGGTGAATTTTATATTATGTGAATTACATCTCAATAAATGGGTGAATTCTATAGTATGTGAATTATATCTCAAAGCTATTTTTTTAAGTTCACAGTGTTCTCTCATAACTGTTGATAGTAATGTCCTCATTTTCATTACTGATTATAGTAATTTCATCCACTTGCTTTTCTTGTTTTAAAGTCAGACAAGATAAAGGCTTGTCAATTTTGTCTCTTCAAAGAACCAGCTTTTTTGTTTCATTGATTCTCTGTTTTTCTGTTCTATAATTTCTCTCCACTCTAATCGTCATTTTTTCCTTCTGCTTGCTTTGGGTTAAATTTGCTTTTTTCCTGGTTGTTTTAAGGTAGAGTATGTTATTTGAGATCTTATTTAGTAATGTAGGTGTTTACAGCTGTATAAATTTCCCTCAGCACTGCTTTTGCGACATTCTATAAGTTTTGCTGTATTTATTTATGTTTCCATTCTTCTCAAGTACTTTGTAATTTCTTTTTTTTTTGAGACAGAGTTTCTCTGTTGTTGCCTAGGCTGAAGTGCAGTGGTGTGATCTTGGCTTACTGCAACCTCTGCCTCCCAGGTTCAAGCCATTCTCTTGCCTCAGCCTCCCGAGTACCTGGATTACAGGCACCCGCCACCACTCCTGGCTTATTTTTGTTGGTGTGTGTGTGTGTTTTTAAGTAGAGATGGGGTTTCACTATGTTGGCCAGGCTCATCTCGGAACTCCTGACCTCAGGTGATCCACCTGCCTTGGCCTCCCAAAGTGCTGGGAGTACAGGCGTGAGCCACTGAGCCCAGCCCCTGTACTTTGTAATTTCTGTTGTGATTTCTTCTTTGACCCACTGGCTATTTTAAGAGGATGTTATTGTGAATTTTCATAAATTTGTGAACTTTAAAGATTTTCTTCTTTTACTGATTTTTAGTTACATTTCGTTGTAATCAGAGAAGGTAATTTGTGTGATTTCCGTATTTTTAAATTAAGACTTGTTTTGTTGCCTAACATGTGGTCTATTCTAGACAACATTCTTTGTGCATTTGAGAAAAATATGTTTTCTGCTCTTATTGGATAGGGTTGTTCAAGTTGTCTACTTCCTTGTTTATCTTTTGCATACCTCTCTCCTTTATTGAAAGTGGGGTATTGAAATCTCCAACTATTATTGTTGAATTATTTCTTCCTTCAGTTCTGTTTTTGCTTTATGTATTTAGAGACTCTGTTGTTGCTTATATGTTTATAATTGTTACATCTTTTTGATGTATTGAACCTTTTATCTTTTACAGAATGTCCTTTTTGTCTTATATAACGTTTTGTGTCTTAAAGTCTATCTTACCTGATATTAGCGTGCCATTTCAGATGTTTTTAGGTTTGTTTACTTTTGTTGTTGTTGTTGTTGTTGTTGAGATGGAGTCTGACTCTGTTGCCCAGGCTAGAGTTTAGTGGCATGCTCTTGGCTTACTGCAACCTCAGCCTCCACCTCCTGGGCTCAAGTGATCCTCCTGCCTTAGCCTCTCAAGTAGCTGGGACTACAGGCGCATACCACCATGCCCTGCTAATTTTTGTATTTTTAGTAGAGACGGGGTTTCACCATATTTCCTGGCTGGTCTCGAACTCCTTGGCTCAAGTGATCCACCCATGTCTGCCTCCCAAAGTGCTGGGATTACAGGCATGAGCCACCATGCCAGACCTGGTTTCTGTTTACATCGATTTACTTTTCCATCTTGTTACTTTCAGTCTCTTTGTTTCTTGGTATGAAAAGTGCCTCTCTTGTAGACTGCATTGTCATCATTGGATTTGAGAAGTTGAGACTTAGGTTCTACCTTTCTTTCTACCCTTCATAGCCATAGGGCTTTAAAAAGCAATTTACCTTTGCTGGTTAGCTCTGAATTATCTCATCTGTAGAAGAACAGGTATTATTAGATACTTTCTGTAATGTATTGTTTACTAGTGCTGTTTTATGATGTTAGAAAGGAGACATTTTTGCTATTAAGGACTTAATTACCTGTTTCTCTTTAATCAGTCTTAAAGAGGAGTGAAATTAATAAAGCAACTTTATACGTAGTACCGGCTTCTCAAATGGAAGTGCTCTTACATAAGAGGCTTTTTTTTTGAAATGGAGTCTTCCTCTGTCACCCAGGCTGGAGTGCAGTGGCGTGATCTTGGCTCACTGCAACCTCCGCCTCCCAGGTTCAAGCGCTTCTCCTGCCTCAGCCTCCCTAGTAGCTGGGACTACAGGTGCGCACCACCAAGCCCAGCTAATTTTTGCATTTTTAGTAGAGATGGGAATTTAGCATATTGGCCAGGCTGGTCTCGAACTCCTGACCTTGTGATCCGCCCGTCTCGGCCTCCCAAAGTGCTGGGATTACAGGCATGAGCCAACCTAAAAACATTATTGTCTCTGTAATTATTTGTAGTATATTCCCAGCATTTTTTACATTGTTCATTAATATTTTTCTTTTCTATCATTATGAAACTATGTATGTCTGGTGATTAAAGAACTATAGGTGTCATTTTGCCTAATTATTTCCATCTTTATCTCACTGGTATGAAATTTATATACACTGTGCTTTAGATACAGTGATTTTCATTTGTCTTTTTAATTATTATTATTTTTTGTTTTGAGACAGAGTCTCGCTCTGTCACCCAGACTGGAGTATGGTGGTGTGATCTCAACTCACTGCATGCAACCTCCACCTCCCAGGCTCAAGCGATTCTGCTGTCTCAGCCTCCCAAGTAGTTGGGATTACATGTGTGTGCCACGACACCTGGCTGATTTTTGTATTTTTGGTGGAGACAGGGTTTCACCATATTGGCCAGGCTGGTCTCCAACTCCTTACCTCAAGTGATCTGCCCGCCTCAGCCTCCCAAAGTGCTGGGATTATGGACGTGGGCCACCGTGCCTGGCCTATTATTATTTTTTTTGAGACAGTGTCTCGCTTTGTCACCCAGGCTGGAGTACGGTGGCGTGATCACAGCCCATCACAACCTCTGCCTCCCAGGCTCAAGTGATTTCTCCCACCTAAGCTTCCCAAGTAGCTAGAACTACAGGCACATGACACCATTGCTGGCTATTGTCTTTTTCATTTACTCTTAGAATAAAGATAATAGGAAGTAAAAATTAAAATTGCTAGCTAGTGCTCTACAGAACATATCATATAAACACCTAGTGCTCCCTTCTTGGCAGTTCAAGTGGATATCAGTGAGGTCCTTTCAAACCTAAAATCTTACCATTTTTTATGAGTTTGCATAGGGCCTACCCCTGTTGTTCTCTCTACTTTGTTTGAATTAAGTGCCAGTCTAGCCATCTCATTTTGCTTATATGGAAACATTTTCAGATTAATGAAGCCTCTTATCCCTGCTGCTGGGGTTTGGATATGGTTTCTTTGTCCTCACCAAAACTTATATTGAACTTTGATCCCCAGTGTTATGGTGTTGGGAGGTGTTTGGGTTGTGGAGGCCTATCCTTCATAAATGGCTTGGTGCTATTCTTGTAGTAGTGAATGAGTTTCCACTCTCACTCTTGGGGAATTGGATTAGTTATCCCAGTAATGGATTCATTCGCCTCAGAGTGGGTTGTTATAATTTCAGGACCCTCCTCAGGTTTCTCTTCTTGGTACACCTGTCTGCGTCTCCTTTGACCTCCTCTGCCATGTTGCGACACAGAACAAAATCCTTTGCTAGGAATCGGGGCCATGCCCTTGAACTTCTAAGTCTGTGGAACTGTGAGCTAAATAAACCCTTTTTCTTTATAAGTTATCTAGTTTCAGATAGGCTTTTATAGCAGCAGAAAATGGACTAAGATCCCAGTCCTCTGCGCAAATTATTGTTCTAACTCTTCTTAACGTTGGTTACACCTAGAGTACCAACTCTTTGATTTAAAAGCAATTTGAGAGTATCTATAATTCTTAGTTTGAAAATTAACTTATTTTCTTTTTCTTATATGGAGACTGAAATTAGCAGGCGAAGTCACGTCTCTGTTCTTCTATGTTGATTCTGCACCACCAGACAGTACCCAGCATAGGCTGGAAAAACCTGGGGCTAATGAAGCCTGGGTCTTAATTTCCTAAATGTTTTTGGTATTGGTTCATTTGTAGGGTCTTTTGGTTCTCTGTGGTTATGGAGTTGAAAAAACATTGGCAGTCTTATTTGATTCAGTGAGATTTGTGTACTTTGCCAAATGAGGGATGTGTTTTTACATGTATGTTTTGAAAACACATTTTGGTAGACGATACCATAGAGCATTAGTGGCTATGAAATAGGTTGCAAATTTAGCCATTTCTAGTTTAGTGGGTTTTGAAACAAGACTGAAGTATCTAGCAACCTTGGTTTCTTTGGGGCTGGATTCTCCTGATTCATTAGTGAATTTATGGTTTGTGGAGCATGCAGAGGTTAGACTGCTACAGGAGGCACATGAGACTACAAGGGCTGACCTTTGAGTGGCATTAACAGTAAAATTCATTCACGGTATCTGGAAGTAGCCTCCCAGTTAACTTCTTTCAAGTGTGTTCTGTACTCACTAATTGCAGCAACAGAATTTGGGTCCTCTTATAATAAGGGTAAGGAAAACAGACCATAACATAAATATTTCAAATGAGTTGAGAATAGGTCCCTGTAACTTATGCTGGACTATTATAGATAATATGATTTATATTGGATTCTGACAAATGGAATAAATTGAAAAACAGCAAATGTTTCTCCCTTGGGAATTGGCTCAACAAAATTGTAGTAGGAAGTCAACAGTATGTCTCTTACGTTTCATGTCACAAATACTGCCTTATTGCATAGCACACTGATTTGAAACCGAGTGATATAGGATTTTACTTAGCAAGATAATAGTGTACTTGGGTGGTGGGTTCATGGTACTATTTATTGTGATAATTTACTGTGTTACAAATGTGTACACATAGGTATTAACTATGGTAAAATCATACTATAGGGAAAATAAGCTTCCTTAAGAAATATAGTACTTGTTTTGGGTTCCTGTCATTAACCTATCTAACATTTCATTGTGAATTTGGATAAGAAAAGAAATATATGATGTATATGGTGAAATGAAAGTAAAGCGGCCGGGCGCCGTGGCTCACGCCTGTAATCCCAGCACTTTGGGAGGCCGAGGCGGGTGGATCATGAGGTCAGGAGATCGAGACCATCCTGGCTAACAAGGTGAAACCCTGTCTCTACTAAAAATACAAAAAATTAGCCGGGCGCGGTGGCGGGCGCCTGTAGTCCCAGCTACTCGGGAGGCTGAGGCCAGGAGAATGGCGTGAACCCGGGAAGCGGAGCTTGCAGTGAGCCGAGATTGCGCCACTGCAGTCCGCAGTCCGGCCTGGGCGACAGAGCGAGACTCCGTCTCAAAAAAAAAAAAAAAAAAGAAAGTAAAGCTGGATGAACACTCAAAACACCTCTTACATTTATATTTTAAGTGATTTCCCATAGGAATTATTTAGGAAATGAGTGTTTTCTTATGAGAAGGGTCTTCTTCAGTCCATCTTTTTAACTATGGTCACTCACCAAGAACTATTAATTTCTGTACATTTATATATTTTTTGTTTTTCATTGACTGGACCATTCTAGGCATACAAAAAATACTTCTGAGTACCCATATTTAGTCCACATTGTATAGGGATTTTTGATTGGCCATTTGAGTTTCTTTTCAGGAGAATCCTTTGGAGGAAGTAACTTTTTTTTTTTTTTTTTGCAAAAGCAAGGAAACTGAGGCATGGAGAGGTTACATAAGTGTGTATCTGAACCAGAAATTTAACCTAAATCTCTCTAATCCCAAAGCTCTACTTCTCTTCATTGTAGCAGGCTGCCAGAAGTAAAATTTGTAGATGTGTCTGTGTGGTTTTCATTCATTGAACAAGCATCTTTAAAGGCTTAATAGCTCCAAAATACTATTCCGTCTTAGATACTATGGGAAATATAATGCTGAAGAGCCCAGGCCCTCTTGAGAACTTAACACCTGTCTCCTGAAATAGGCAAATGCATCAGGCAGAGCAGCTGTGGTTGACTTCCTCTATATGCCACTGAATGCCAACAAAACCCACAGAAGCCTGGGTGCTGTGGCTTATGCTCGTAATCCCAACATTTTGGCAGGCAGGAGAATTGCTTTAGGCCAGGATTTCGAGACCAGCCTGGTCAACATAGCAAGACCCCATCTCTACAAAAAGTAAAAATAAAAAAATTAGCTGAGCATGGTGGTGCAAACCTGTAGTCCTAGCTACTCAGGAAGACAAGGTGAGAGGATCACCTGAGCCCAAGCTACAGAGAGCTGTGATCCACACTACTGCATTCCAGCCTAGGTGACTAAGCGAGACCATGTCTCAAATAAAAACCAAAAACCTTACACCAAAATTCAGTCAGTGTCATTCAGTGCATGAGCCTGTGCCAGAGAAGCTTTCTTGGACATAATCACAAAAAATCAAACTCAGTGTATCATATTATCACATCATTTCTTTGTGTTCTGGATGCTAGGATACTGGTAAACAAAGTAAACCAAAATTTCTCCCCTTTATATTTTATATTTATAGAGTGTAAGATGGACAGCAATCTAATCAAATAAGTAAAACTTAACGTGTATAGATGTAATTATATATGAAGAGTATGTTGGCTGATGTGCTATGGTGAAAAGCAAAGCAGGGTTGCAAGGATATGAGTAAAGTGTGGGAATTACAATTTTAAATGATCAGGGAAAGTCTCATTGAGAAAGTGACTTTTGAGCAAAGATGTAAATAAGGTGAGCAAGACTGCTATGTAGGCATCCAGTGTAAGAGTGTTCCCAGTATTGGCAGAAGCCAGTGTAAAGCCCCCTGGGCAGGAGCTACCTGGCATACTTGAAGAACAGCAAGGAGGCTCATGTAAAGTTATAATAGCTCGATTGGTGGGGGAGGGGAGGTCATATGAGATGTTAAGGTAATTTGTGGGCTATTGTAAAATATTAATGTTTAAGTCTTTATGCAAAGTGGAGCAAGTGGAGCAGTTTGACCAAAAGAGTGTCAGAGTCTGACATATATATTTGAGACAGGGTTTCACTCTGTTGCCTAGACTGGAGTGCAGTGGCACAATCTTGGCTCACTGCAACCTCTGCATCCTGGGCTCAGGTGATTCTCCCACCTCAGCCTCCCCAATAGCTGGGACCACAGGGGTGCATCACCACACCTTGATTTTTGTGTGTTTTTTATAGAGGCAGGGTTTCGCCATGTTGCTTAGGCTGGTCTCAAACTCCTGGACTCCAGCAATCTGCCTGCCTTAGCGTCCCAAAGAGCTGGGATTGCAGACGTGAGCCACCACACCTGGCCTGAGTCTGACCTATATTTTTTCAAGTCTTACTGTAACTTTTCGATTGAGAATATACCCCCATGTAGAAGTTGTTAAATTGATTTATTATGCAGATAACATATTTGATTTTCAAAGAAAATTTTCTTCATTGCATCACTAAGGCTTTTATTAAAAAGCTCTATAAAGATTTTATTAAACTTTTCTTTATTTATTTTTATTTTTTTTTAAAGAGACAGGGTCTTGCTATGTCTCCCTGGCTGGATACAGTGGCATGATCATGATTCACTACAGCCTTGACCTCCTGGGCTCAAGTGATCCTCCCACTTCTGCCTCCGAGTATCTGGGACTACAGGTGTGCACCACCATCCCTGGCTAATTCTTTTAGTTATTGTAGAGACAGGGTCTCACTATGTTGCTTAGACTAGTCTCAAACTCCTGAGCTCAAGCCATCATCCCACCTTGGCCTCTCAAAGTGCTGGGATTACAGTCATGAGCCACTGCACTCAACCCAAGGCCACATTTTATGCTTGTGTTTTGCTAGGATTACAGGTAGATATTTTTTTACATGACTTGGAAACTAAACAAAATCGCCTATCTTGTAGTTTGTTTACTTACAGCAAACATTGATAGGATAGCACAGTGAAATCTTGTATACCTACTAGTTAGGTTCAACTTTTTGATATTTATTTAGCTATCTAAAGAAATGTTTTTATTTTTTTCTTGAATAATAATAATAATAATAATTATTATTATTATTATTATTATTTTAAACAGAGTCTCGCTCTGTCGCCCAGGCTAGAGTGCAGTTGCACGATCTCCGCTCACTGCAAGCTCCGCCTCTGGGGTTCTCGCCGTTCTCCTGCCTCAGCCTCCCAAGTAGCTGGGACTACAGGCGCCCACCACCATGCCTGGCTAATTTTTTGTATTTTTAGTAGAGACAGGGCTTCACCGTGTTAGCCAGGATGATCTCGATCTCCTGACCTCGTGATCCGCCTGCCTCGGCCTCCCAAAGTGCTGGGATTACAGGCGTGAGCCACCAAGCCCGGCCTGAATTATTTCAAAGTAGGTTGAAGACATTCGATGATTCTTTGTAGCCTAAATAGTCCACCATGTATTTCCTAAGGATAAGGACATTTTCCTACATCAGTTATTTAATACAATGAATTTTAGTCCCTTTTTGGGACACCAGCCCTTTCCCTCAAGAGAGTTGGAATGTACTTGTACATTCAAGGGCTAGTCAAGGGTTTCTCAAAAATCTTTTATTGTTACCCTCATTTATATTTCCTGATCTCAAGTATTAGTTTCATTTCTTTTGCTACTGAGTGGATTTACTGTCTGCATCTCAATTCTGGTTTGGACAGGTTTTGAGGGATTGAGTTAATTGAAGTGTTTTCCTTACAAGTTGATGACTTTTGGTAAAATTTAATCACAAATAGAATAATCAAGAGTTTTTAAAAATATATCAATGAGTAGATTGTCTACCGAGCTCCTTAACAGCCTGTGGAATACAGGTTTCCCATGAGTACATCTTGAGCCAGTTGTCACAGCTCTGTGTTAAAGAACCCAACTAATGGTTCCTAGTTTTTAAGAAGGTTAAGGACTAACTAGTCTCTAGACCATTATGAGATTAAGATAATCCTGAAATAAATAATACCGAAGAAGTAACTTTCTAAGAACATACAGCCCAGAAATGACTGTTAGAATTCTCGCCTCAGATGCTATTCATAGCTTATAAGTAGCCTTGCTCTTCTCACCATGAGGATTTCCATAACATTATTTTTAAAGTCAGGCACTTCTAAAACACCATGTGTGAAAACACCCTAGGCCAATGCATGTAAGAAAAATGTGGAACCATATTTGATCATCAGACTTACATCACGTGGAGTGGGCTTCTCTCTTTCTCTTTGTTATATTTAAAGGGCTCTTTCAAGTATAGTAAAAACATATTGAAATATAGACTCAAACTTCTGAATAGCTCATAATTGGACATTTAATTTCTAAGGACTGACTAGGGTTTACGTGACTTTCCTGATGTCTCATATTTATTAGGTAGTAGGATGTATATTTTCAGGAAGAAATTGGCTTTTGTTACAAAATATAACTGTCTGCCTTTGGGGGATTGTTTAATCAAATCAGGCATTTTGGATATTTGAGATATTCCCCTTGCTGTGGGCAAGTCATGTCATGCGACATACAGTTAATACTCTACTAATTGAAGCTATTTTTTGTGCTACACATACATGAAAAAAATAATTTTAGCATTTGGTGGGTTGGCAATAGAGTGAAGCATAGTATTATTTGTCCATGGAAGACTCTACACAGGAAGGGCTATAAGAATTATTACACAGGAGCCAGGTGTGGTCGCTCACAACTGTAATCCCACCACTTTGGGAAGCTGAGGTGGGAGAATCATTTGGGCTAAGGAGTCTGAGACTAGTCTGGGCAACATACTATAGTGAGACCTCGTCTCTACAAAAAAGAAAAAAAACCTAGCCAGATATGGTGACACACACTTGTTGTCCCAGCTACTTGGGAGGCAGAGATGGAAGGATCGCTTAAGCCCAGAAGTTCGAGGCTGCAGTGAGTTCTGATTGTGCCACTGTACTCCAGCCTGGGTGACAGAACAAGACTCTGTCTCTTAAAAAATAAAAAAATGAATTCTTACAAGGGGACATGTAATTTTTGATGGAGGAATGCTTCACAAAAAAAAGTAGTATTTGAGCTGAACATAGAAAAAGAGGTTTATAAGGCCGGGTGCGGTGGCTCATGCCTGTAATTCCAGCACTTTGGGAGGCTGAGGCATACAGATCACCTCAAGTCAGGGGTTCGAGACCAGCCTGCACAACATGGTGAAACCCTGTCTCTACTAAAAATACAAAAATTAGCTGGGTGTGGTGGCGCATCCCTGTAATCTCAGCTGTTTGGGAGGCTGAGGCATAAGAATCACTTGAACCCAGGAGGCAAAGACTGCATTGAGCCGAGGTCATGCCACTGCATTCCAGCCTGGGCAACAGAGTGAGACTCTGTCTCAAAAAAAAGTAAAAGAGGTTTAGAATGTCAGTGAGCAGATTCAAGAAAGTATTTGATTATGTAAAACAGTGTGATTGAAGTCACAGAAACAGAAGTGGAAAGTTATTCAGAGAATGGGAAATAAACTAGATTGGCCACAATACAAAGTTCAAATAAGGACATGGAAAGAATAGCCTACAAAGGTAGGTTGTAGCTAGATTATAGAGATTGTGATGCCAAAGGTTGTGAGCTTGGACTGTGTATTGCTGGCTTTATGGAACCTTGCAGTTAAATATAGGGAATGACGTGATTAGTCTCACATAAGTATTGACTGGGTTCCTGCCATGTGCTTCATTCTGTTCTTGACAAGACAGAAATCTCTGAGACTAAGTTCTCCCAAGTTTTTGGCCTCAGGACTCCTTTATACTCTTAAAAGATATCCAGGAGAACCCGAAATGCTTTAGTTTATGTGGATTATGTCTGTTGATGTTTGCTATACAGATGGTTCTTGGCTTTCAATGGGATTACATTCTGATAAACTCATTATAAGTTGAAAATATGTCAAAAATGCATTTAATACACCTAACCTACCAAACGTAACTTAGCCTAGTCTACCTTCAACATGCTCAGAACATCTACGTTAGCCTACAGTTGGTCAAAATCATGTAACACAAAGCTTGCTAACGTATTGAATATCTCATATAATTTATGGAATATTACATCAAAAATGAAAAGCAGAATGATCATGTGGATATTCAGATTATGGTTTCAACAGAATGCATCGCTTTTGCACCATTGTAAAGCTGAAACACCATGAGTCAAATCACTGTAAGTCAGGTACCATCTGTAATATAAATCAAGACTGAGGAACTTTTGAAAGAATTCACGAGTGCATTCTTTTCGCTGTCTGACCGATCATTTCATTGTGCATCATGCAGCCTCTAAAGTGTCAGACTCTAAATCTATGTGAGAATGAGAATGAAAAGGCAAATAACATCTTAGTGTTATTATGAAAATAGTTTTGACCTTAAGTAGAGGCTCATGCAGAAGAAACACAGTTAGTTTTGCTTGGGTCCATTAGGGAAGTCTTCACAAAGAATGTGACATTTTATACAGGAACAAATAAGGAAAAAATGAAGGTAGGTGGCATATTCTGGAATGAATGCCAAGAGGTCTGTGGGGAGCAGGTACTCTGGTCAAGTGCATGCAACTCTGGAGATGGCTGGGGGACTGATTTTGAAGGGTTGTTACCTTGCAGACATTGGGAAGTCATCAGAAAATAGAAGTAGCATGATTCAGTCTGTTTTTGAAAATAACTGCTGGCAGTTTACAAATGAAGTGCAGAAAATGGAGGGTGGTTCCTGCCAAATAGTCGTAATTCATGATTATTACACACTTATATTAAAGGCAGCTATGTGGCAAACATTTAAATCTCTTCTCCAATATGCCTCTCCCAGTTATTTCAGCCTGTTAGGAAATAATTACTAGACCTTTCTTCATACTGTTTTTGCTAACCATGTTATTACTAGAATGTCTTTGGCACGGGACCCACTAGTTTAAGTTATATGCCTTCTTGTTTAAGTCGTTTAATCCTCTTTTAACGCTGCAGACATGGGTCAGATTACACATTTTTGGGGAAGGATTTTTAACCTGTTGGTTTATCAACAATAACAAAATGACATGAGATACATGGAGAGGCTGCAGCCTCCTAAGTGTTTATGATTCAGACCAGAATTTAGACCAAAGAGAGACTTTTTCTTTTTTCAAGAGATATAAGAGATTTAAACAAATATTTTGTGGAATAGAAATTGTTTTACATACTGTTCCACATAGCATCTTGAGAAATGCACAACAAACTATTAAATTATTTATTTTTTTTAGAGACAGGGTCTTGCTCTGTTGCCCAGGCTATTCTTGAACTCCTGGGCTCAAGTGATCCTCACGCCTCGGCCTCCCAAAGTGCTGGGGTTACAGGTGTGAGCCACCACACCTGGCCCTATCATTAAATCCTTAACAGACATCACCTTAAAAGTCCGAGCCAGGTCTGAGCAACATAGCGGGACCCCATCTTAAAAAACAAAAACAAATGCCTGAGCATTGTCTCTGGATTTTTCCACTTATAGAGAGTCTGTCTCTATCTGTACTATTATCATATAGATATTAATATTATGTAACTTCATCTTGGAACCATAGCTAATTAAAGAATTGATTTCAAATTTGGCTTGCCTTACCAATACAGAAAGTGGGTGTGTCATCCTTTTGGAATGTGGACCTACAGATGGTGTGTAGTCATTTCAAAAGCAGATATCTTTGCGAGACAAAAAATCATATTGCGTTTCTCCCACATTATACTTATTCAGTCTCTGAGCCAACTCAGTCAAGGTGACCTAATTCATATTTATTTACAAGTAATTTGTGCTTAATCTGTCATGGGATTAGAAAGAAATTTTAAAAGTAACCTGAAGTTTGGGGGTTTTGTTTGTTTTTAATAAACAAGGTCTTACTCTGTCACCCAGTGTGGACGGCAGTGGCACAATGATACCCTGCTGTACCCTCAAACTCTTAGGCCCAAGCCATCCTCCTGCCTTCTCAGCCAGGTAGCCTGTAATTTTTATTTCAGTTTTATTTAACTTCAATTTTACTCATTTTAAGAAGATTGAACCTTTATCTTCATCTAATGTCTGCTCATACTCACTGTGGGGTTGCATATTTGAGGGTTGGTTTTTTTTTTTTTTTGGTGGGGGGGACAGGGTCTCGCTCTGTCACCCAGGCTAAAGTGCAGTGGCATGAACACAGCTCAGTGCAGGCTTGACCTAGGATCAAGAGACCTTCTGGGATCAAGCAGTCTTCTTTCACAGCCTCCTTTGTAGCTGGGACCATAAGCATGCGCCACCACGTCCAGCTAATTTTTTGTAGAGACAGTGTCTCACTTTGTTATGCAGGCTGTTCTCAAACTCCTAGTCTCTAGTGAACCACCACACCCAGCCTGAGATATTTTCATTGATGGAGTTGATAGAAATTATTGACTAATTGCTATTGGAAGGTGAGAGAGTGAAGAAAGTCAAGATTGGGTTGACTCCCCCCACCTTGCCGTTTCATGGAATACCAAGAGGATGATACAGTTAATAAAGATACTGAGAAATACAGAAATTAATCTTTCATCCTCATTTCCTATTTGCATAAAACCAACCTTTTAAAATTTTTAGTTTTTAAAAAAGTTATTCTTGGCTGGGCACGGTGGCTCATGCTGATAATCCCAGCACTTTTGAAGGCCGAGGCGGGCGGATCACTTGAGCTCAGGAGTTCGAGACCAGCCTGGCCAACCTGGTGAAACCCTGTCTCTACTAAAAATACAAAAATTAACCAGGCCTGGTGGCTGACACCTGTAATCCCAGCTACTCAGGAGGCTGAGGCACGAGAATCGCTTGAACCTGGGAGACAGGGGTTGCAGTGAGCTGGGAGCATGTTACTGCACTCCTGCCTGGGTGATAGAGCGAGACTCCAGCTCAAACAAACAAACAAAAAAAGTTTTTCTTTTGAGACAGTGTCTTGTTCTGTCACCTAGGCGGGAGTGCAGAGGTACAATCATAGCTTATTGCAGTCTCAAACACCTAGGCCCAAGTGATCCTCCTGCTTCAGCCTCCCAGGTACCTGGGACTACAGGTGTATGCCGCTGTGCTCAGCTAATTTTGTTTTTCATTTTAATTTTTTTCTGTGTAGAGGTGGGCTTTTACTGTATTGACCAGGCTGGTCTCGAACTCTTGGCCTCAAGCTGTCTTCCTACCCCTGCCTCCGAAAGTACTGGGCATTACAGGCATGAGCCACTGCACCCAGCCTTAATTTTTATTTGTTTAGAGACAAGGTCTCCCTCTGTCACCCAGGCTGGAGTGCAGTGGTGATCATTTCTCATTTTAGCCTTGCACTTCTAGGCTCAAGCAGTCCCTTTTCCTCGGCCTCCCAAGTAGCCAGGACCACCGTATCACCATGCCCAGCTAATTTTTAATTTTTTTATAGATATGGAATCTCGCTTTGTTGCTCAGGCTGGTCTTGAATTGCTGGCCGCATTCCTCCCACACCAGCCTTCCAGAGTGCTGAGATTATAGGCGTGAGCTTCCCGTGCCTTGCATTTTGGGGTTTTTTATAATCCCATCTGCATTTAATTTAGTTTTTTGTTCCGCTCTCTTCATTATTGTATTATAGTGTGTCTTAATGCAGGTTATGTATTTAATTTGAACCAAGTATTAGAACATTACCAATAATTTGAATCATTCTGTTCCTTCCATATCTTCTCTCACTTTCCCTTTCCCAGCACTAAGCATCTTGAATTTTGAATCATTCTAAATACTGTGAAAATAACTTTTATCACAAACATAAATGTACTTAAGCACTGTGTGACATGTAATTTTGTTTTTAAAGTTTATAAAACATGGTATATTCAGACTTTATTTTTTTCTTGGACCTCTAAATGACCGTGTCAGACTTCTGAGACTTGCTTTTTTTTTTCTTTTTTGTTCACTCCATATTATGTTTTTAAGATTTATTCATGTGGTTACATTATGCATGTAGCCATTTATTTTCACTGCTGTAAAATCCTCTTGTGTGATTCTAATCCAGTTTAATTATCCATTCTATTATTGAATGAGCAGTTTGGGTTGTATCCAGTGGTTTCTGTGTTACACATGCATGTACTGTCTTGCATGTGCCTCACAGTGCACATACACAGGATTTCCCTTAGATGCATTGCTACTCAAAGTGTGATTGGTCGACCAGCCGACACGCCAAGATAAGGAGCTTGCATCACTGAGCTTGCTGTCTATATCATTTGTCACTTTTTCTTCAGATGAATTTGTCCGTGAAGGAAGAGTAGTGAACATTCTTGAATATTGAACTTTGAACACTTCTTGCTCAACTCCTTATTTTGTGGTGGACGGGTTCTACGAGTAACAACATTTTAGGAAATTCCAGTTATTTATTTGTTTGCTTGCTTTCAGACAGGGTCTCGCTCTGCCACCTAAACTGAAGTACAGTGGTGTGATCAAAGCTCTCTGCAGCCTCAACTTCCCAGGCTCAGCAGTCCTACTGAGTAGCTGGGACTACAGGCGTGCACCATCATGCATGGCTAATTGTTTTTTGTTTGTTTGTTTGTTTCTTATAGAGACAGAGTCTGACAATGTTGCCTAGAGTGGTCTCAAACTCCTGGACTCAGGTGATCCTCCTGCCTCTGCCTCCCAAATTGCTGGGATTATAGGCATGAGCCACCACACGTGGCCTGGAAATTTCAGGTTTTTTTCCCAAAGCATATGTACTATTTTACATTCCAGGCAGCACCACTTGATCCAGTCCTTCCTGGTGTTAGACTCTCTGCTGATCTACCAAGCGTAAAATGACATTTCATTGTGGTCTTCTATTAGGTTTTTGTTGTTGTTGTTGTTGTTGTTGTTTTTGGGACAAAGTCTCGCCCTTTTGCCCAGGCTGGAGTGCAGTGGCGCAATCTCGGCTCACTGCAACCTCTACCACCCGGGTTCAAGCCATTCTCCTGCCTCAGCCTCCTGAGTAGCTGGGATTACTAGCATGCGCCACCACATCCAGCTAATTTTTGTACTTTTAGTAGAGACGGGGTTTCACCATGTTGGCCAGGCTGGCCTCGAACTCCTTACCTCAAGTGATCCACCTGCCTTGGCCTCCCAAAGTGTTGGGATTACAGGTCCGAGCCACTGCACCGGGCAAAACCTAGTATCTTTTCTTATATTTATTGGTCATATGTACTTCTGTAAAGCAACTCTTCCTGACTTGCTTACTTTTGTATAGTATTTGCCTTTTTCTTTATAGATCTTATGTACTAATCTTTTGCAAGTTACTACACTACATGTTTTCTTCCATTTTGCTACTTCTTTCTTCTTTTTTTTGGAGTCTTTTAATGAAGAGGAGAAGTCCTTGATTTTAATAGTTATATGTTTCAGGGATGGATGCGATAGCTCACATCTGTAATCCCAGCACTTTGAGAGGCAGAAGCGATTGGATCGCTTAGGGCTAGGAGTTAAGACCAGCCTGAGCATTACGGTGAAACTACCATCTCTATCAAAAAATAAACAAAATTAGCCAGACACAGTGGTACACGCCTGTAATCCCAGCTACTCAAGAGGCTGAGGCGGGTGGATCAGTTGAGCCCAGGAGTTTGAGGCTGCAGTGAGCTATGTCTCGCCACTGCACTTCAACCTGCATTACAGAGACCATTTCTCTTAAAAATGTACATAAAAGTAATTTTTAAAAAGTGATGTTTATCATTTTTATCCTAAATGCTTTTTGTGTCTTGTTTAAGATAACATTCAAGTTTTATTTTTTCACGTGTCTTTATCTAGATTTTTTTTGTTAGCATATCAAAATGTAGCAGTTGGTTTTATATGGTAGTTTTATAGCTCACTACCTTCCTAAACCCTATCATTATTTCTAATAAATTTTCTGCAGATCTTTGTATGTAGACAGTTTTAGTCTGTGCACATTTTAACTATTTTCTTTTCAGCTTTCCTTTTATTCCTTCTTTTTTCCTTTGAAACAGGGTATCACTCTGTCATCCAGGCTGGAGTGCAGTGGCAAGGTCTCAGCTCACTTCAGTCTTGACCTCCCAGGCTCAGGCGATCCTGCTCCCTCAGCCTCCTGAGTAGTTGAGACCAGGTGCTCATCACCATGCCTGGCTCGTTTTTGTATAGTTTGTGGACACGGGGTTTCACAGTGTTGCCCAGGCTGGTCTCAAACTCCTTGACTCAAGTGATTCACCCATCTTGGCCTCCCAAAGTGCTGGGATTACAGGCATGAGCCACCACGGCCAGCCTAATTTCTTTTTCTTAATTGACTGTGTTGGCTTTGGCCTGTATGACAATATTGAAGGGAAATAGTAATATTTGTATTCTTGTCTTGCTCTTAATTTTATATAGAGAATACTGTTGGCATCTTTCAGCAAAGAATGTTATTTGTTGTAGGATTTTTGAGAACAGCCTTCTGGAGATCAGGAACCTTCCATGTAGCCTTGATTTTCCAGGAGCTTATAATGGACAGTACTGAGTTTTGTCAGATACTTTTCAATGCATTTAATTAAATAGGTTTGTAGAGTACTAATATTAAGTCATCCTTGATATTACTCTGTCTAGTATAGATTTTCTTGTTAAACATATTGCTCTATTCTTTTTTTTTAGTATAATTTGCTTAGTTTTTCGTTTGTGATTACAAATGAGATTTAGCCTAGTGTCGTCTAATATTTCTTATCCGTTGTCCCTGTTTGATTTGTGAATCAAAGTTATACTGGTATCATAGACTGAGGTAGGGGAATTCCCTCTTTTTCTATTCTCTAGGAAATATTATGTAAGATTGTAATAATCTTTTCCCTAAGAGTTTGGTAGAATTCCCCAGTGTAAAACATCTGGACCTGTGTATTTTTAAGTTTTATAGTTGTTTCAGTTTTTCTGACTAATGTAAAGACAATTCAGGACTTCTTTTTCTTCTGGAATCAGTTTGATAAAAATAAATTTTTAGTAATTTTCCCATTTGATCTAATTTTTAAATTTTACTTGGAATAAAGTTTTTCAGAATATATTATCACTTCCTTTTTGACCTTGTTCTGTCATGAGCTTTCTTTCATCCATTCCTCATATAGTTTGTTTATGTCATCTCTCTCTTTTCTTCATCAGTTATATTTATCATTTTTATTCATCATTTGAAAGAACCAACGTTTGGGAATATTAATTCTCTTGTATATTTTTCTAAATCTCTAGTGTATTTTTTTTCTATTTTCTTTTTTTCCATCCCTACTTTCTATATTGTTTTCTTTTTTCACTATCTCATAAAGGACATGGAGCTCATATACTTTGAGCCTTTATTTCTTTTCTGATTTAAGCCTAAGGCTTTACGTTCTCTGTAATTACTACTTTTACTTCCCACAATTAAGTTTCCATGCATAGAGAAGTTTATTTTTATATTTTAAACATCTAATTTCATTGCATTGTGGTTGGAGAAATTGATCTGTATGGTAGTGGTTATTTGAAATTTGTTGAGGACTCACTTTGTGACCTAATTTGTGATCACTATTTTTAAAATGTTGTGTGAGCTTGAAATTAATGTGTATTATCACCTAATTGATGGATGTAGAATTCAGCATGTGTACATTTGTACCATCTTTCTGTGTTCATATCTGCTCTATATCTTATTGAGAGGTGTATTCAAATCCTTTATGATGATGTTTGTCTTTGTTTCTTCCCTGCCACTCTCAGTTTTTGCTTATACGGTTGGTTGGTTGGTTGGTTGGTTGGTTGGTTGGTTGGTTGGTTTTGAGATGTAGTCTCACTCTGTCTCCCAGGCCGGAGTGCAGTGGTGCAATCTCGGCTCACTGCAACCTCCGCCTCCTTGGTTCAAGTGATTCTCCTGCCTCAGACTCCTGAGTAACTAGGGCTATAGGTGCACACCACCGCACCTGGCTAATTTTTTTGTATTTTTAGTAGAAACAGGGTTTCACCAAGTTGGCCAGGCTGGTCTCGAACTCCTGACCTTGTGATGCAGCCGCCTCGGCCTCCCAAAGTGCTGGGATTACAGGCATGAGCGGCCATGCCTGGCTGCTTACACAGTTTGACATTAGTTTATTAGGTTCCTAAAAGTGTAGAAAATTAATAATTTTCTCATATTTGAAATAATAATTTTCTCATGTAATTTATTGATATGTGCTTCTGTTATACTGTGCTGGTTTGTGTCCTGTCTAGCCAAAATGATATCCTCTTGAGATTTCAGTGAATATCTGGGTCATAGTGTTTCCCCAGTACCTGAGTCAAAATACATACTTGTCAGGCATCTGTTAAATAATAATGAATTATTTTTATTTTGCCTTTATATTTTAATACATACAGAAAATCGAAAATCCTAAGCAGACAGCCTAGTTCATTTCTACAAATTCCAGACCTAGAAACAGAGCGTTACCAGCACCCTAGGACCTCCCCTTTCCCAATTGAATCTGCTTTCTGTATAATTCACCCCTTCCCCCTGTTAACCACTGTTCTGAGTGCTGACACCATAGATTACTTTTCACCTGTTTTTGAACTTTATCATACAGTGTGTGTTGTTTTGTGCCTGACTTCTTTTTTCAACTGTATGGCTATGATATTCGTTATGTATTACTGTATATATTTGTATTTCAGACACTCTCACAGCTGTATAATAATAGCTTTTACCTTTTTCCACATTGGAGTACTTGTTCTTATTCTTTTACTTGTAGAAGGAGCTGAAGAGGAAAAAATGGAAGCCGACCCTGATGGTCAGCAGCCTGAAAAGGTAAAGTCTCACAGCAGTAAAACCACAGATAGCATGCCTTTCAGACCATAATGGTTTGTTTTTTGGGTGTTTTTGAGTCCCTCTTAGGGGACTCTAAATAATTCTATCAGCTACTTGGACTTTGCTGGTTTAAGGTATAGTTCTCACAGGATATAATATAGGACATTTTTCATTTGTTCACTGGGGAGGTGTATTCACTCCCTATCCTCTTCTTTTATATTTTAAACATCTAATTTCATTGCATTAGAAGAAGAAGGAATATGAATTTCCCACAAAAGAAGAGGGAATATGAATACACAAGTTGGGACTATGAATACAAAAGTTATGGTTCTTGGCTGGGCGCGGTGGCTCACGCCGTAATTCCAGCACTTTGGGAGGCTGTGGTGGGCGGATTACAAGGCCAAGAGATCGAGACCGTCCTGGCTAACATGGTGAAACCCCATCTCTACTAAAAATACAAAAAAATTAGCCAGGCGTGGTGGTGGGTGCCTGTAGTCCCAGCTACTCAGGAGGCTGAGGCAGGAGAATGGCGTGAACCCGGGAGAGACAGAGCTTGCAGTGAGCCGAGATCGCGCCACTGCACTCCATCCTGGGCGACAGAGCGAGACTCTGTCTCAACAACAACAACAAAAGTTGTGGTTCTTGTGAATATCGAATTTTAAGGTTTGAGTCCTATTCTTGTGCCAGGAGAGAATGACAGAATAGTAAGTGATTTCCTATGAGGGCTAACTGCCTGCAGAAGAATCTTAAGAAAAGAATGAGAAGATGACATATGAGGTAGGTTTTAAAGAGTAGGTAGAACTATAAAGATTGAAATAGAGGTTAGAAAATCAAAGATTCCCACTAGTTGGAGAGGAGAGACACTAAAGCCAGTGTGTGAAGAGCTTCAAAGTAGCCAGTGTGTTAGTGGCTCAATCTCTCTTCTGTAGGAGACTGTAAATGCATGATGGGTGAGGCAGAACAGGAGGTTACAAAGGTCAGGATGTGGGCCTTTGTATTCCTTTTTTTTTTTTGAGACAGAGTCTCACTCTGTCGCACAGGCTGGAATGCAGCAACGCAATCTTGGCTCACTGCAACCTCCGTTTTCTGAGTTCAAGCAATTCTCCTGCCTCAGCCTCCCAAGTAGCTGGGATTACAGCCACGCGCCACCACATCCAGCTAATTTTTGTATTTTTAGTAGAGACGTGGTTTCACTATGTTGGCCAGGCTGGTCTGGAACTCCTGACCTCAGGTGATCCACCCACCTTGGCTTCCCAAAGTGTTGGGATTACAGGTATGAGCCACCACGCCCAGCCTCTGGGCCTTTGTGTTCCTAATACTGTTACTGCACATAGGGATCAGTCAGTCACTATTTGAGTGAATATATATAAGCCAAGATTGAAGGTCTTGATTATATGTGGTATTCTAAAATTGTATATAGTTAAGGGGAGGGTGAGGGTAATAATGAAATTGATTATAGTTCCTGCATTATTCTAAAGACGATATTTGTACTTCACATTTTTAATTTCATTTAATTCCTAAAAGAGTCTCAGCTGGGTGTGGTGTGTCATACTTGTAGTCCCAGCTACTTGGAAGGTTGTAGGATCACTTGGGAGGCTGGAGGATCACTTGATACTAGGACTTTGAAACCACCCTAGGCAACATAGGGGGACCCTGCCTCTAAGCAAACAATATAGCCTCATGAAGTCAGTGATAGTCAGTTGCGGTTTTTTCAGTTTCTAAAGCATGATCACTGATGTTCTCTCATGGTTCTTCCTGAAATTATTAGCAGATGGCTGTATTAAAAGACTTTGTCAACTTTTCCAGCAGCATTTCAACTTGCTTCTTTGTTGATGGTGTGACATTTAAATGCTCTTAATTCTTTAAATCAATCAGTAATTATTAAGTACACACACACACACACACACACACACACACACACACACACACACACACATATATATATTTTGTTGTGGTTGTTGTTGTTTTTGAGATGGAGTCTCACTCTTGCTGCCTAGGCTAGAGTGCAATGGTGTGATCTTGGGTCACTGCAATCTCTGCCTCCCGGGTGTTCAAGGGATTCTCCTGCCTCAGTCTCCTGAGTACCTGGGATTATAGGTTCCCATCACCATGCCCGGCTAATTTCTTTTTTGTATTTTTAGTAGAGACAGGATTTCACTGTGTTGGCCAGCTGATCTCAAACTGCTGACTTCAGGTGATCTGCCTGCCTCAGCCTCCCAGACTGCTGGGATTACAGGCGTGAGCTACTGCACCCGGCCCGGCCTGTTTTTAATCAACAAAAATATCAGTTAATTCCCTTCACATTCCTCTGGGCATGGTAACCCTTGCTTTATAGCAGAGTATGCAGAGAGGGCAGCGACTCTGTGCTTTGGAGGAACATCTTGTGAGCACTCAAGTGTTGAAGTGGTAGAAAGTATTGCTTGGAATGTATTAGTTCTTTTCGAGCTGTTCTCTACAAGTCACTTTTGAATCTAGTCTATTTCTTGCCAAAAATATTGGAACCTTTTGCTAGTCTAAGATAATTACTCATAAAAAGGTCTGGGGTTTTTTTGTTCACTGCCTGTCCTCTTGTTTTATATCCCTTTCAGGCAGAAAATAAAGTGGAAAATGAAACGGATGAAGGTGATAAAGCACAAGATGGAGAAAATGAAAAAAATAGTGAAAAGGAACAGGATAGTGAAGTGAGTGAGGATACCAAATCAGGTAATTTGAGGAAACTCCTTAGATATTATTATGTAAAACTGTAAAAGGCACTGGAGAAATGAAGGTGGTTTATATAGAAATATTTCCTCATTTATTTTGGGTTTGTTTCTTAATGTAACAATAAGTATGTAATTGAGTTTCATTCAGATAGGTGCTAATACTAATGCTGGTGGCTACACTTTTTTCTGTGCTTTTAATATGTAGAAGAAAAAGTTATTCAACAGTATTGAAGTCACCTCACAGACTTCCCATTTCATTTTCTGTGTCAGTTGCTGATACACCCCATCATGCCTGTCAGGCTTAGAGAAGTAGTCTGTTCTCAGCTTCTGATTTCCTACAGACACTAGAGTTCCTAGAGCATTTCATTGATTGATGAGCAAGTACGTTGGCCTTAGACTTAGTTCCCCTGTATGTTCCTTTAAATATATATATCCAAGGGACCTCCACATAGAACTTAGCAAAATGATAGGAAAACAAGTGTGCTGTTTAGAAAATATGTCCCCAATAGAGGCAAACCTAAATGCATGGAATGGCTCAACAGAACTCTTAAAAAGAAGAAAAAGGCATTGACATCTCTTTGTCATATCAGTCCTAGTTTGTTATAGTGGTGGAGGTAAGGAGAAAGATGGGTTTTCGAGAGTGGGCACGCTAGTAACAAAGCTTTCTGATATTTTCAGAAGAAAAGGAGACTGAAGAGAACAAAGAACTCACTGATACATGTAAAGAAAGAGAAAGTGATACTGGGAAGAAGAAAGTAGAACATGAAATTTCCGAAGGAAATGTTGCCACAGCCGCAGCAGCTGCTCTTGCCTCAGCGGCTACCAAAGCCAAGGTTTGCCCCTGACAGCCCTTTTCCAGTGCTCTCTTAAGGCATGAATGGTCGTATTGTTTTTAGTTAATTGGGAACATTTAGTATAAAGAGCTTTGCTCCCAATAGGAGATGACTGCTTGAATGGCATTTCTAGGTTAAGAAATCCACAGGCAGGAGGAGGGTTATAGAAATAGTAGATCCAGTCTAAAGGGTGACTTTTTTCATTCCATTCATTATACCATTTAGCCTTGTAAAGACTGCAGAGATTGAAGGCAAATTTTAAAGTCTCTTTAAGGAACTGATTATCATTTTGTTTTTAATTTGCCTGCAGAACTTATCTTGGACTATTGTTCCAATAATTTCTACCAGATTGAAATATTTATGATTTTTAAGACAAAAACCTGTTTCCTTGCCTAAATACTTCACCCTGATCTTACAGACTGAAAGGAGAGAGAGACCCTAAAATAGCTCTTTTTCTTCTTGAATTTGCCAGCTTTTCTGGGGGTGGTTTTTTCTATTTATAGTATTAGCTGCAGAGCATATTTAAGAAGACATGAGAATGTTACTTTCCTCTCTGTGTTAATTTAGCATTTTAAGTAATTCTAAACATGAATATGTAAGTTTTTAAAAATCTTTTCCCCTGTTCTTCATTCTACTTCAGAAGTAGTTTCCTTCCATTATAGGATACCACATTTCAAGAAACAGTGATTACTAGAACATTGCTAATCATTTTATTTTGAACTGTTTTTGATCTTTTAATAAAGATGCTTTTTCATGATCTTTAATTCCCCAGATCATTCAGCTACTGTGAACTACTTCTCTAAGTGTTTAATCTGATATGATGAACCAATTCAAACTACAAGATTACTGTTTTGAATGCCCACCCATCTGACATAGATAGAGACAATGGAGGTTAGGGAGGTGTTTACAGGCCGCAGCAAATGCTCAGTCAACCCAGAGAGTTACTCCGGCTGATCATTGTTATTATACTAACTCGAAATCCTACAAATTTATACTACCTGCCCTTTTCCTAATAACTAAAACTAGGTAATACTTCCTAATAACTAAAATTAGCTAAAGAATCAGAAAGATATCTCCTGTCTGATTCTTTAGCTAATTTTAGTTATTCTATCTCCCCTACATCCCCCTCTGGGAAGTTTTGAGGTACATGCTTGCTTAAGTGACGGCTAATATAACTTGACTCTTTTTCACCATTTGTCCGGTTTTGCTCTTTCATTGCAAACATCTTTTTTAGTCTGTCTTCTGCTACCCTGGAGTGTTTGTGCATCTCTTTGTCTCTGAGCTGCTCAAGTTCTTACTGTAATACTGTCATTAGGTGTTTTAGAGATCTGAAGGATTATCGTGGTCATAGTCTCTCACATTTTATATATATGTGTGTGTGTGTGTGTGTGTGTGTGTGTGTGTGTGTGTATATATATATATATATTTTTTTTTTTTTTTTTTTTTTTGAGACAGTCTCACTCTGTCCCCCAGGCTGTAGTGCAGTGGTGTGATCTTGGCTCACTGCAACCTCCGCCTCCTGGGTTCCAGCGATTCTCCTGTCTCAGCCTCCCAAGTAGCTGGGATTAGAGGCGTCCATCACTATACCCGGCTAACTTTTGTATTTTTAGTAGAGACAGGGTTTTGCCATATTGATCAGGCTGGTCTTGAACTCCTGACCTCAGGTGATTCACCTGCCTCAGCCTCCCAAAGTGCTGATATTACAGGCATGAGACACCATGCCCGGCCTCTCGCATTATAAATGAGGAGCTAGAGGTGGAGAGGGCTTTCTCCTTTGTGCCCTTCCTCAGTCTTCAAACCTGCAACCTCGGCTCATTTTTGACTCCTGGTTCCATCATTTTCCATAGCTATTCAGCCAGGAAATTCTTCATGGTGCTTTAGATCACCTGCTAATGTTCAACTGCTCACTCAGGTCAGCATCCCTTAATCTTTTGCCTGTCTCCTCAGTCCCATTCTCTAACCCGCAGCCAATGTAATCTTCTTGCTTTTTAACTTGTTCTTAAGTATAACTCACATTCAAATAAATGGACATACTGAAGCCTACACCTTTGTGAATTTTTGACAAACTGGGCCCACCTATGTCACAAGCATCCGTTTCAATAAACAACATTACCAGCCCCTCCAGAAGCTTCCTCTTATTCCAGTTACTTTGCCTTCCCTGGAGAGTAATCACTAGTCTGTCTCATTACACCGTAGATTAGTTTCTCCTTTTTTTTTTTTTTAACTTCATATAAATGGAATCCTACATTATGTGCAGAAATCTTTAAAAATGCAAATAGGAACATGTTACTTTCTTCAGTAACCTCCCTATCTCTCTCTGGCTGCAATTTCAAACTCTTTAGTAGAGAATTTAGGATTTTTCTATAATCAGGACCCTACTTAGTTCTCAACCCTTATTTCTTACCTGTCCTTCCTGAACTGTTTCTTGTAGTTCTGCCAAACAGAATTGATTCTTTTATCTCTATCTAAGCTTTTTCGGACATTCTTTTCTTACAGAGCATGGTTTTTTCTTCCTATTATTTCTCCTCTTTAAATTTTTTTGTAGAGACTGGGTTTTGCCATGTTACCCAGGCTGGTCTGGAGCTCTTGGGCTCAAGAGATTTGCCCACCTTGACCTCTCAATGTGTCAGGATTACAGGTGTGAGCCACCTCACCTGGCCAGTTTCTCCTCTTGATACCACTGTGCTATGCTTCAGTGTATATTGCCATAGGAAGAACTAAAATGGTAGATTACCTTTTAAAAGTTTCATGAGGCTGGGTGCAGTGGCTCACACCTGTAATTGCAGCACTTTAGGAGGCCAAGGCAGGAGGATCACATTTGCTCAGGAGTTCAGGA
Source organism: Homo sapiens (assembly GCF_000001405.40). Taxonomy (NCBI): domain Eukaryota; kingdom Metazoa; phylum Chordata; class Mammalia; order Primates; family Hominidae; genus Homo; species Homo sapiens. Next base: position 47,632,353 of record NC_000003.12, on the reverse strand, counting down.
CCAGCCTGGGCAGCATAGTGAGACTCTGTCTCTACAAAAAAAAAATTTTTTTTTTAAGTTTCACAAATCCTTCATGATGTTTTCCTCTGGCCTCATAGCTGTTACTGTGTGCAACTTTGGGCACAAAGATTTGCCTGGTATACACTACTGATTATCTTAAAATAGCTTGACTCCTTCACTGCAGAGAAACTACTTTTATGGATCATTTGGCCTGCCCCTTCACTATTCCATACAAAATTTAAAAGGTGTCCAAAGAAGAATTTCTCTCCAGGTCATTGAACTTTCACTCCCTCGTCATCAGTCACTCTTCCTTCTATTTACTAGGAGCTCGTATCTTCATTCTCAAAACACCTAGGTTTCCCTCTGAGTTATGAAAGTGTACAAATGCTCATGCTGCACGACTTGGCACATGTGAACCCTTCAGTGCCACTTACAGCTGGGATCTGATAAATTTGATAGCACACATGATCATTTTCATACTACATGGTAATTAGGGGGGTAAGGAATTCACTTAAATTACTATAATTAATATATAACTTATGTAGCCAGTCCAAGTTTCTCTTATTCTCATTTTCTTCTGTGTCTATAAACAGCTTTGTTATTAAAAGTTTTCCTTAAGAATCTTTTGTCATACTGACGTGGAGTGATAATTAGAGGTTCTAGGTCTATCTCCTAAACAGATGAGGTGGCATGCTTTATGGCTTCTGTTATTGTCCCCTGAAAGGTTTTTCAAGAGCATGTCCATTTTTTCATTGCACCTGCTGACAAGCTGTGAATTGTCTCAACTAAAGGAGTGGTGTGTGGGTGTAAGCAGAAGTACCATTGTTTGGGTGCTCTGGATCCTTTCTATCTGGGTCTTTAGGCTTAGAGGAGAAGGAAGGCCCAGAACTATTGCCAGGATAAACTATAAATCCCCCATATTAGAGCATGTTCTCTTTTTGTCAGCAGTAGTAGGTTCAGTTCTTCCAAGAAAGCAGAGATCACATTTTCTTAAAACCACAGATATTTCCTTTGAATTTATTCTACAAACCACCTCATATATACGTTTTCCAAAATGGCAAAAGTAGGTTTGTATTCGTGGCAACATGGTAATTGGGTATTAGCTCTGGGACAACGGGAAGACTCTTACCCCCTAGAAATGTCTCATAACTTGATGCATTGTTTCTGCAATTTCTCATTCTTTTCCTTCTCTCTCTCCTTCTCTCTTTCTCTTTCATTCATTCTTGCTTTTTTCTCTTTCTCTCTCCTTCTCTCTCTTTTTCTTTCTCTCACTCTCTTGCTTGCTTGCTTTGTCAGGGTCTTGCTCTGTTGCCCAGGCTAGAATGCAGTGATGTGATCACAGCTCACTGTAGCCTCCATGTCCTGGGCTCAAATGAGATCCTTTCACCTCAGCCTCTCAAGTAGCTGGTTCCACAGACATGTGTCACCACACTCAGCTAATTTTAAAATTTTTTGTAGAGACGGGGTCTCCCTATATTGCCCAGGCTGGTCTCAAACTCCTGGTGCCAAGGAATCTGCCCACCTCAGTCTCCCAATGTCCTGGGATTACCGGTGTCAGCCACTGCTTCCAGCATGAAACTCTTTCTGGAGGTGTGAAAAATGTCATTGTATACTTTAGTCACAAGGTATTAACGGACAGGGGTTGATTGAAATTGATTTACACTAAGCAAGTTGATCGTTGTTACCATACCTTAATAATCCTCTCAATGTGTCAGGAAAAAATAGCCCATTTGATTATTTTGCCTACAGTTAGTCCTGTTCAGTTTCATTTTTGTATGACTACATAGAAACTACTTCTGTTCTACTCGTTGGAATTCATGCTTTGTAATGCAAAATTGGCCTCAACCCTATGCCAGCTGGATTATTGCTTCTTGTTAATCATTTATCTCCAGTTGTTTCTCCTATGTTCCATATATCAGGGGTCCCCAACCCCACTGGCCTGTTAGGAGCTAGGCCACACAACAGTAGGTGAGTGACAGGGCAAGTGATAGCAAGCATTACTGCCTGAGTTTTGCCTCCTTTCAGATCAGTGGTGGAATTAGATTCTCATAGGAGTGCAAACCCTTTTGTGAACTGTGCATGCGAGGGATCTAGGTTGTGTGCTTCATTTGAGAATCTAATGTCTGATGATCTGAAGTGTAACAGTTTCATCCTGAAACCACCCCCCACCCCCCACCCCCACCCTGCCCCAGGCCCCGTGGAAAAAATTGTCTTTCATCCTCTTCCGTGAAACTGGTGCCTGCTGCCAAAAAGGCTGGGGACTGCTGCCGTATATCTTCTGTGGCACCATCCCAGACCTCATCATTCTTCTCAGGCTCTATAAAGCCAATATGTGAAAGGTTGGGCCTCTCCCTGTAGCTTCTGCTTGGAACACCCTGGTCACCACTGTTGCCAGACCTTTCAAGAATCTGTAATCTGAGCATCAGCAATATTCCTGTTACAGTTATTTATTGCTATGTAACGATGTAACTACCCTTGAAGTTAGTCGTTTAAAACCTCAGTCATTTTATTATCTGTCATGATATTGCAGTGAGGAACTTGGGCAGGTTTAGCTGGTAAAATGTGCTCCATGTCGCATTGACTAGAGTCACTCAGTACTACCTCATCGCTGGGCTATTATAGAGGGCCAGAGACAACTTCATTTATATGCCTATGCCTCGGCTGAGATGGCTACCATCATTCTCTATACATCCTTTCTAAGAAGCTGGTATAAGGTAGTCTCAGGAGTAGTTGGACTTTTTACAAAGCTTAGAACTTTGAGAGAAGAATGTCACAAGTAGCAAGGAGGAGGATCTGCCAGTGTCTTATGACTTGGAACCCCAAACTGACACAGCATAATTTCTGCCCTACTCTACTGGTCAAATGTTCTGTCCAAATTCAAGGTAAGGGGACACAGAGCACAGCTCAAGGTAGAAGATGTGCCACCTTAACCCTCCACAGTCTACTCTCTTGTCATAAATTGTATACCTTTCCCCCACTGAAAAATAGATCTCTCATGGCTTTATCTCATTATGATATCAAGCTGAGGTTGGAGGTCTCGGATCTTATGTAAATCAGGTCCACATACAGATGAGGCTCTTTAGGAGTGGTTCCTATTTACAACTTCTTGAATGCTGATACTATAATTTGAAGATTTTCTGGACTAGTATAGTAGGGGTGAGACACATCAAGGTTAACTGCACTCTGTTCAAGGAGGGTTTGAATTGGAGACACAGAGCAGTCATCGTTGATGGCAAATTTGAAATCTAGCCAGGCACACATTTCCAGTTCCTTCATCAGGGCCCAGTCCTACTCGCAGAATTGTTCTCCACAGTTTGACTTGGCCCTCTGGGCTTTCAGTTTTTTCTTCTGAGTCTTTTTCCTTTTCCATTAAAAAATTAGCAGAGTTTTGCAGTGATTGGCTGTCTTGGCCTGCATTCTACTTGTTGTAGGCCCAGTTTATGTTCTTTCTACTTCAGTTCAAGGTGTTGTAATTTTTTGAGAACTTTGTGGGATTTCTGTGTTTAAAATGTAATCCCCACTTTGGGAGGCCGAGGTGGGCGGATCATTTGAGGGAGGTCAGGAGTTCAAGACCAGCCTGGCCAACACGGTGAAACCCCATGTCTACTAAAAATACAAAAATTAAGCCAGTCATAGTGGCACGTGCCTGTAGGCCCAGTTACTTGGGAGGCTGAGGTACGAGAATCACTTGAACCTGGGATTTCAGTGAGCTGAGATCATGCCACTGCATTCCAGCCTGGGGACAGAGTGAAACTCTGTCTCAAGAAAAAAAGTAATTCCCGTTAGACAAAAGCCACACCTATGTTTTCTTGCCTACATAGTTCCCTTTTTGCCCTAGTCTTAGTTAAGATGTTATGAGAACAAAGCCCCCAATTTTTGCCTAGTCTTAGTTAAGATGTTATGAGAACAAAGCCCTTAATTTTTGGATCCCTTTTTGTCTAGTTGGAAGGATCTTAGATTTGTAGCTTCAGTAATGATGATGCAAAGAAGCTGAGAGGTGAACTTGTAGAGGTGACACAGAAAACTAGTTTAAAACTAGGGACAGTGGTTAGAAACAAATCTTTCAGCACAGTGATATGAACTAAGCAGAAAACAAAAGCAAAGGCAGTTATTCCTGAAAGGTCATAAAGAGCTTGGTTAGGAAATTGTGGGACAAGTAAGTGTCCAAACATGGGGCTTCAGAAAGGAAAGAGTGTTGTAGGCAGAATAAAAATAAATATTGGCTGTGTGGAAACTTTCCGAATTTGATGAAAACTTTAACTTACAGACCTAAGAAGCTCAATGAAAGAAAAAATATATATATATATAGGAGACATGCTATAAAGATGTTTAGACCCAGCACAGTGGCTCACACCGTAATCCCAGCACTTTGGGAAGCTGAGGCAGGAGGATTGCTTGAGGCCAGGAGTTAGAGACCAACCTGGGCAACAGAGAGAGATCATGTCTCTACAAAAAGTTTTTAAAGTTGGCCAGGCGTGGTGGTGTAATGCCTATAATCCTATCTACTCGGGAGGCTGAGGCAGGAGGATCTCTTGAGCTGAGGAGTTTGAGGTTACCGTGAGCTGTGATCTCACTGGTGCACTTCATCCTGAATGACAGTGAGATCCTGTCTCAAAAAAACATCTAAAAGATGCTTAGAGGCCCTCATGTCTAGTAGAAAGCTCTAAGGCATATACTCAAGACTCTTAGAAGTCCTACTATAAATACCATTCAAAAAGCTTTATAGCCGCACCTCGAGCTCTTTACCCTGAGGTCATCCTTTGCTGGTAGTGCTCTGGATTGGATCTTTCTCCCAAAGCCATTTCTTAGCTTCAGACTCTTGCTGGAAGGAACCAGAGATGAGAAATAATGTTTTATTCAAATCCCACTTTTTCATATTTCCTCTAAATTCTGCCTGAAAACCTAATAGTTGCTTCTTTACTTCAATGCTCTTCTAGCTGCTCACAATAAAATAGAAAAAGAATTTTTCCATGGCCTGGAAATGCCCCAGCCATATCCACAAGTTTATTAATTACCCTTTCTATTTCCTCATGACTAGAGATGATGGTGTTTCCAAAAGTTGTGCTACTAGATAATAAAGATCTATTTCTTCAACCTTCAGTACTATTTTCCTCCCTGTACTTTATTACCTAATGATGGTTTTCTTAAAGCCCTTTCAGCTTGCACCCACTATGTGGTCCCAAAGCCAAAGAGAAACATTTTAGGTTTCTGTTACAAAAGCTCCCCATTTCCAGATACCAAATTATTTTACAATAGCAAAATTGAGTAGTTTAAAACATAACAATTTTATTAAATCTCATAATTTTGTTAAATTTTAACACCAAACAGCTGGGCAATTCTGCTACATGTATCAATTGAGTCATTTAGTAGTATTAACTTCATAGGTAGGTTTATGTAGAAGGTCTGAGACGGCTTCATTAGAATCCTAGTCCTTGACAGGGGTAACTGAGGTTTTTTTCCACTCCATGTAGTCTCAGAATTTCCCCTTGTGGTCTTTCCAGCAGGGTGATCATACTTTGTACATGGCAACTTGAGACTCCCAGAGAGAACATTCCAAGAAACAGGACATGAAAGTTTGCAGGATTGTAAGGCCTGGGCTTAGAAAAGGCTACCACTAATTTTTATTGGGCAAGGCAGAGAGCCTGTCTTGATCTGCCTCTTAATGAAATAAAGGCCAGTGAACTTGTGGCTATCTTTAATCTACCACAAGTCCCTTCTAAGAATTACCCAGGAAAGTATCCACTCAAGTATCAATTATTCCAAAGATGCATTGGAAAATAACTAATGGGCCTTTGGGTTTGGAATTTTAATTTTTAGTTCCAGCTCTGCCATTTACTCGTCTCTTTTTTCTTTTTCCTTTTTTTTTCTTTCTTTCTTTCTTTTTTTTTTTTTTTTAAAGACAGGGTCTCACCAGGCACGGTGGCTCACACCTGTAATCCCATCACTTTGGGAGGCTGAGTCAGACAGATCACATGAGATCAGGATTTAAGACCAGCCTGATCAACATGGTGAAACCCCGTCTCTACTAAAAATACAAAAATTAGCCGGGCTTGGTGGCGGGCGCCTGTAATCCCAGCTGTTCAGGAGACTGCAGCAGGAGTGTCACTTGAACCTAGAAGGCGGAGGTTACAGTGAGCCGAGATCATGCTACTGTACTCCAGCCTGGGCGACAAAGCTAGACTCTGTCTCAAAAAAAAAAAGGACGGGGCCTCGCTCTGTCACCCAGGCTGGAAATGCTGTGGCAAGATCACAGCTCACTGCAGCCTCAAACTCCCAGACTCACGTGATCCTTCCTCCTCAGCCTCCTGAGTAGCTGGGACTATAGGAATGTGCTACCATGCCTGGCTAATTTTTAAATTTTTTTGTAGAACGGGGTCTCATTATGTTGCCCTGGTCTCAAACTCCTGGCCTCAGGCGATTCTTCTGCCTCAGCCTTCCAAAACACTGGGATTACAGATGGTAGGCAACTGCGCCTGGCCTCTTTTCAGTGGACTTCTTGGTGGTACAAATGTTTTTAATTTGATGAGGTCCAACCTAATTTTCTCTTTTATCATTTGTGCTTTTTACATGTCTTGAAATCTTTGGCTTAAGCTAAGATCATTTAGATATACTTTGTTTTTTCTTCTAAGAATTTTTTAGTGTATACTTTTATATTTAGATCTATGATCCACTAAGTTAATTTTTCTGGGTGGTATGAGATAGGAGTCCAAATTCATTCTTTTGTATTTGGATATTCAGTTTTCCCAGCTCCATTTGTTGACCTACCCCAACCCACCTTTAAACTTTTATTATGGAAGTATTAGAATATATATAGAAGTAGGCTGGGCACGGTGGCTCATGCCGGTAATCCCAGCACTTGGGGAGGCCAAGACAGGCAGATCATTTGAGCTCAGGAGTTTGAGACTAGACTGGGCAACCTGGCAAAACCCTGTTTCTACCAAAAATACAAAAGTTAACTGGGTGTGGTGGTGTGTGCCTGTAGTCCCAGCTACTTGGGAGGCTGGTCTTTCTTTTTTTCCTTTCTTTTTTTAAAATTGTAAAAATAAAATAAAGAAAAATAAAGAAGGGATTTTGCCATGTTGGCCAAGCTGGTATCAAACTCCTGGCCTCAAGTGATCCACCCACCTCGGCTTCCTGAAGTGCTGGGATTACAGGCATGAGCCACAGCGCCGGCCCAGACTCTGTCTTTAAAAAAAAAAAAAAAAATTCCAACATATACAGAAGTAGACAAAGTAGTAAAATAGTCTCTGCATGCACATTATCTAGCTTTGGTTATCAATTTTTACCAGTCTTGTTTCATTTGTCTCAATTTATTTTATTTTTTGAGAAAGCATCTTGCTCTGTCGCCTAGGCTGGAGTGCTGTGGCGCAATCTTGGCTCACCACAGCCTCTGCCTCCTGAGTAGCTGGGATCACAGGCATGTGCCACCACATCCAGCTTTTTTTTTTTTTTTTTTTTTAATTTTTAGTACAGACAGGGTTTTACTATGTTGGCCAGGCTGGTTTTGAACTCCTGGCCTTCTGTAATCCACTCGCCTTCCCAAAGTGCTGGGATTATAGGCGTAGGCATGAGCTTCTGTGCCCAGCCTCAATTTATTTTTGAATCATCGCTTGCCCTATAAACTCAGAGTTTCTTTCTTAGGTTTGGTCTGTGACTTTTGAATCTAAGGTCTTTATCTTTTTCTGGTATTACATTACTTGAGCTAGAACACATACCTCAGTAGCACATGTAGGAAGTGAGCTTTTTAGTCCTTGATTTCAGGAATGTCTGTTCTCTATTCACACTGTTACAGATTGCTATATAGGAAATTCTAGTTTGAAATTCATTAGCCCTCAGAGTTGAAAGGCATTTTGCCATTGTTTTCAAACATCTCATTTTACTTTTAAGAAGTCTGATGCAGTCCAATTTTTTGGGTAACCTGTTTTTTTGGGAGGGTGCCTTTCTGAAAGCTTGTAGGATTTTCTATGTCTTGTGTTCTTAAAATTTCAGTAATGTTTCTTGCTGTGGATCTTTTTAATTTTTTTGATACCTGCTGCCTCTTTTATTTTATTTTTTATTTTTTTTGAGATGGATTCTTGTTCTGTCACTAGGCTGGAGTACAGTGGAGGGATCTCGGCTCACTGCAACCTCTGCCTCCTGGCTTTAAGCGATTCTTATGCCTCAGCCTCCCGAGTAGCTGGGATTACAGACATGCACCACCACACCCAGCTAATTTTTTAATTTTTAGTAGAGACAGGGTTTTTGCTGTGTTGGCCGGGCTGGTCTCGAACTCCTGATCTCATGTGATCTGCCCACCTAGGCCTCCCAAAAGTGCTGAGATTACAGGCGTGAGCCACCACGGCTGACCAATGACCTGCAGTTTTAAAAGGAAATATTTTGGTATTATTTTATTGAATAACACTTAAGGACCCCCTTTCCACCTACCGCTCCCCCCACCAAGTTCCTGCATAAATCTCAAAAAAAAAAAAATACCAGAAACATTTTCTTTCAAACCAGCTGAGTTCTAGGAGTCATATTCTCATAAAAATAGACCAGAAATTGATAACATTATTATCTTCAAAGGAAGAGTTACTGATGTATAGCTGACAGAAGTGAGGGGGAGACTTACTTTTTATTTTATACCTCTTTGTAACTTTTCAGTTTATATCGTGCGCATAAATTTTTTTGTTCAAAAATATAAATTGTATAACATTGTACAATGATAATGCCTTAAATTACATAATATTTATTTAAAGTTTTGGTGTCATTGATGTAGCTCATTGTAGTTTAGGGTGGCAGACATGATCATTAATAGCTATAAAACCTCATTGTCACCTCTTGTCTACATTTCTGAATCTTTTTGCAAATGGGTCTCCATATTTGTAAAACTACAGTTTTTGTTTTCAACTGTAAATGAATGAAAAATTAGGCTTTCGTCTAAGTGTTAGGTCTCAGCATAGTTCCCAAAAGCCTGTATTAAGTTGCATGGTTGCTCCTAGGTTCTCTGGGAAACCTAAGATCATTAAGAGATCAGTAAAATAGCCACTCCATGCTATTTCTTAAGACCTTGGTAAGATGCGTGCTGTGACACACACAGCTGTGGCTTGTCACAGCTACTCAGTTGGCTTAGGCAGAAGGATCACTTGAGCCCAGGAGTTGGAGGCCAGCCTGGGCAACATAGGTTTTTTTTTTTTTTTTATGAAGAACCCTGCTTCTTTAAAAAAAAAAAAAAAAAAAAAAGCCTTGTGTAGAAGCAAGATAAACACATAAATTCAGCAGACATAATAAAAGTGAATGAAAAATGGTGCTGGGAGTTTGCTGGGAAAGTTCTTGGATGACGTCTATAGAGGGTGGGATTGATTACTAGCTAGTAGTTAGGGTCTTAAGCAGATATAAGTAATGTGGCATCTTCCTGTTTGTGCTGTTGAGTTGGCAGGAAGCATTCACCATCAGTCTTGTGGCAAAGGAGTGAGTCTTCCAGAGTACCTTTCTGTTTAGTACTGTATTTATTTTTCCAGCTATGGACTTGGACCTGGAATTACAGATCAAATATTGTTTTCCCCTTTGTTTCCACACATGAGGTCTGCTCACCAAAGAGAAGGGAGAGGCTTTGTATAAGAGTGTCAGGTGCTGTCCTCAGCAGCCTGCCTGCCTGCCCACCCCTAGAAAAGTTTTAGGGAGGAAAGGATAGTGAGGGGACAGACCGAGTGCCAGGATGGGGTGGTAGGTGGCAAAGTACCTCCTGTCCTCATCTTTGGCCCATCAGGGTCCTGGTTTGCCCTCTCCTTCTTGATAGCCCTTTTGAAGGTAGTAGTTTACCACATGAGGCATTTCCTTTAATCTTTTAAGGGTTGATTTATCTCTATAAGGACCAGAAATTCAGAGACAGTTATTTTAGATTGTACGTTACAAAGGAGACATATAGGGTACCATTGTAAATTATATAATCTCTACTTTGAATATTGTCAGCATTTTCTTAATGTTCTTTAAGCAAATGTTTACCTAAATAGCTTGAATGATCTTGTACCCTTAGCACCTGGCTGCAGTGGAAGAAAGAAAGATCAAGTCCCTGGTAGCTCTCTTGGTTGAGACACAAATGAAGAAACTAGAGATCAAACTTCGACATTTTGAAGAGCTGGAAACTATCATGGACAGAGAGAAAGAAGCTGTAAGTATTTGGAATTTTTTAGTGGCTTTTTCACAATTAAACCTTGGTCACTTTTCACAAAACAAGTTAGATAAAATAAATGGTAGCCTGTTCTCTTGGTCTCCATGGCTAACTTCTGTCCTTTTTTCTGTGTTTGATTTGCCCTTTCAAAAGGATTGTTAGCCAGTGATGTTAAATAAAAGGCACTCTGTTAACTCTCTAAAGTGAATTATCTAAATCTCAGCTTCTTGTGCGTGTTGGCTGTGAAGATACATGATGATATTAAATTCTTCACTCTACAAAACTTAGATCTTAGAGTTATTTCATTACCTACTTGTTACCAATAAAGTAGAAACTGTATAACTCTATTATCTGAGTCAGGGATTTTCTTTCTTTTTTTTTTTTTTTTAAAGTTTTAATTTTTATTTTAGATTCAGAGGTACTTGTGCAGGTTTGTTACATGGATATATTGTATGATGCTTAGGTTTAAGCTTCTATTGAAGCTGTCACCCAAATAGTTAACATAGTACCAATATGTAGCTTTTCAGTCTTTCACCCTTTTCTCCTCTTCCCCTTTTGGAGTCACCAGTGTCTATTGTTTCCATGTTTATGTCTGTGTATACACAGTGTTTAGCTCCCACTTAAAACTGAGAACATGTGGCATTTTTTGCTTCCGGGTTAATTCACTTAGAATAATGGCCTCCAGCTGCATCTATGGTGGTGCAAGGGACATAATTTCATTCTTTTTTTTATTGCTGTGTAGTATTTCATAGTATATATGTACCACATTTTCTTTATCCAGTCCACTATTGATGGGCACCTAGTTTGATTTCATGTCTTCGCTATTGCGAATGGAGCTGCAATAAACATGCATGTGCAGGTGCATTTTTGGTAGAACGATTTCTTTTCTTTTTTTTTTTTTTTTTTTTGAGACGGAGTCTCGCCCTGTTGCCAGGCTGGAGTGCAGTGGCACAGTCTCAGCTCACTGCAACCTCTGCCTCCTAGGTTCAAGCGATGCCCCTGCCTCAGCCTCCCAAGTAGCTGGGACTACAGGCGCACGCCACCACGCCCAGCTAATTTTTGTGTTTTTAGTAGAGACGGGGTTTCACCATGTTGGCCAGGATGGTCCCTATCTCTTGACCTCATGATCTGCCCACCTCAGCCTCCTGAAGGGCTGGGATTACAGGCGTGAGCCACCATGCCCGGCCGAACAATTTATTTTCTTTTGGGTATATACCCAGTAATGGGATTACTGGGTTGAATATTAGTTATATTTTTGTTTCTTTGAGAAACCTCCAAACTGCTTTTCACAGGGGCTGAACTAATGTACAGTCTTATCAGCAGTTATATAAGTGTTCAGAGATTTTCTTGATTCCCTGACTTCTTCAAAATAAATACTAGAAAGGAGAACTTAATCTCATCTTGAGTTAGGAACCTAGTTTTCTGTTATCCTCCCTCAGATCCATCCTTGGGCTTTCTCACACTTCTCTTCCCTCTCCTATACTGAATGGTAGCTGGAAGTAGGCCCATCCTGAGTCTTGTACGTAGCATTCCCTGGAGCAGAAACTTTTGACATAAGGTCATGGGCCAAACGGGACCAAGAGAATTATGAAAAGGGCCAAAAGTGAGAGTGGAAGTCATAAAAAGTAAGAAATTTAGAAGCAGAGAAACATTTGGTTATCTTGGGAGAAGTTCTGGAGAAAAAGAGATTAAGTAAGCTCTTAGTGGAAAAAAAACAAAAACAAATTTTTTTTTTTTTTTCCTGAAAACGGAGTCTTACTCTGTCACCCAGGCTGGAGTGCAGTGGCATGATCTCGGCTCACCACAACCTCCACCTCCCAGGTTCAAGCCATTCTCCTGCCTCAGTCTCCCGAGTAGCTGGGATTACAGGCGTGCGCCACCACGCCCAGCTAATTTTTTGTTTTTTTGTAGAGACAGGGTTTCACTGTGTTGCCTGGGCTGGTCTCGAACTCCTGAGTTCAGGCAGTCTGCCTGCCTCAGCCTCCCAAAGTGGTAGGATTACAGGCGTGAGCCACCGCACCTGGCCAAAAATAAATTTTTGTAATGAGTTGACTAGATAAAGAATTAGTGACTCCCTAAGCATGGGCTAAATTTGAGCATTTAGTTAGGACTTTTTACCTCTGACGATTTTGACTTTTTTATCTACATGAGAGATTCTGACTCCAAATGGTAGAACTTTAAAAAGAAATTATTCCAGAATACTGATCATTTTAGGATTTACATTTGCCTAAGTATCTTCTTGCATTATTTAAAGTGTTTCTTAGTGGCCAGTCCAAGCAAGTCCTCTGTTGAACTCCTCATGATGAGTAGCCCAGTACCTGTCACCATAGCCCATATCCATTTTGTCCTAAGACCAGCTGGCCCCAAAAGTAGGAAGAGGCTGCTTCAGTAGCTCTCCTACCCCAACTCTATACCACCCCACCCTCAGTTCCCTGATTAGGAAGCAGCCTAGTCAGGGACTTACTGTGCTTCTCACTCCATGCTGTACATCTGTCATTGAGCTTATGTCTCTGTAAGCATCTCTCACACCATTGATTGTCTCCTGCCCCGGGAGCTCATGAGACCTGGGTTTCATCTCTGTCACCCTCTGTGTATGCTGGACCAAATGCAGGCTTCTTCACAGCCTTACTCTCTTTGCCACCTGTTTGCATCCTGCTTCTCTGGCCAAGAAGGCCCTTTGCCCCACTTTTTGCCTACCTCCTGCAGTCCTCAGCTGTGGGTGGCATGGCCTTCACATTTACTGCAGTGGCAGCCTCACAGAGCGCTTAATTGCACTGTAATCACCAGTTCATGGGTTCGCATTTCTGTACCAGAGTATATACTTTTTGAGGGCAGGGACTTAATCAGATGTCTTTGTTAACACAGAAGTAGCACATCACAGGCCCTTACTTAAATGAGTGCGTGCCAGCATTGTTGCCGTAGTTGGGAAAGTGGAAAGGATAATCCACCCTTTGAGACTTAGTTTAATGGGGGAAACAGTCAACAAATAACGACAATACAGTATGTTTGTATAGTACAGCAGTTGTACAGATGCTGCTATGGGAACAGAAAGGAGGAGTTCCCAGGAGATGGGGAGAGGGAGAAGTTATCAGAGAAAACGTCCTACAGGCGGAGCTTTAGGGGATGAGTCTTTGTGTTTATTTTTCCCTAATAAGCTTCCCTTTTGACATTTTACAGATTTTCTTAGAGGGCCTGGAGTAATAGGGGGCTATAATATAGTGGAGTGGATTGTTGGCATATGCGGGATTCAAATGATGGTTGGGTAGATCCCACTGGCAGTAAGACATCTTGCTGTCATTTGCAAAGCATAACTGATCCATTAGCCTTGAATATTGAGTCAACCCTGAGCGCTTACAGAATATATCTAGTTTGGCAAGGAGCTCTTTCCTCAGCACTAAATTGCTTTCTCTTCAAAGAATGAACCTGCAGGTCCCCCGGTTTTTTAAACCTTCTGATGGATCTGTTGTCTGTCCCCTAAGAATAGCAGAGTTCGCATCCCCTTTCCACTTCTGTCTACTGGCCCCCAGACACCAAGGGGCAGTGTATAACCGCTCCTCTTCTCTCAGCCCTGCAGAAGTTTCCTTGTGTGATGTCTATTTTTTAAATAACTACTTAAATTATATAACTTCACTATTTTTTCTCTTTTGACTTTTTTCTGGGAGGACAGGGCTCACTCTGTTGCCCAGGCTGGAGTGCAGTGGTGCAGTCATAGCTCACTGCAGCCACAAACTCCTGGGGCTCAAGTGATCCTCCCTCCTCAGCCTCCCCAAGCAGCTGAGACTACAGGCATGAGGCACTGTGCCCAGCTAATTTTTTTTTTTTTTTTAAATATTGACAAGATCTTGCCATGTTGCCCAGGCTGGTCTCAAACTCCTTGCCTCAAGCAGTCCTCCTACCTTCTCCTCCCAAGGGGTTTGGATTACAGGCATGAGCTGCTGTGTCCAGCTTTTTGACTTTTAAAAAATGTTACTTTCTAATCAGATCACACACAATATTTCATAAATATTTTCTGAATAAAACAACACAGCTGAAAATGTTGGGAAAATACTCTCCGGACTCCATCCCAATACACAACGCTGCTCTGCTTGAATTCTTCCATGGTGGACTGTTATTTTCTTAATCAGCATTTGGTGTCAGCTGTTTGTGGCAGGAAAATTCTTTGTATGAGACAGTCCCTACCCCTACTGAATGAATGTCAATAATCCAATTGTATTAGTTATAAATTGCCATGGTTTCTGAGTAAGTGATTTAAAAAAGTAAGAGTATGAAAAAGCACACAAAATGGGAGCTATAATGTTCTTTATAATGTAAACATACGAGTCACATCCCTTCTGCCACATCCTGTTGGTCACAGACCAACTTTGGATCTGGGTTAGGTGAATAGTTTTCAGTGGGAATGTATAAATATTAGAAAGCAGGATCGTTGGCAACCAGCTTGGAGACCTGTTCTCTTACCAACCAAAATGTGTCATTTGAACTTCAAAATGCCACCCGCTCATTTTGTGTATAATTAAGACATAACCTCTTTCTCACTCTAGCACTAGCATCCTATCCTTCCCTGTGGGAAGCAAAGCTATGAATGTTTTTCTACTGATGATTTCCACACAGAATTCTTGTGAAAATTGAGAGAAGTATGGCATATGCCTGGCACAGTGTCTAGCACATACATAGTAAGTGTTTGGTAAATATATGCCTCCCGTTATGCAAACCAGTAATCAACAAATATGTACAAAATTCTTAAGATTCATAAGCCATTGTTGGCTTTGTGAGCATTTATTGGGTCAGTTACTATGCCAAAGCACTTTAAATGGATTTACTCACTTTATTTCCTGGCAAACTATGTGAGGAAGCCATAAGCAAGAAAGTAATGTTTGCTTTGAATCCCCTTATTCAAGAATCCAGCAGTGATGTTGGATGACAGCATAAGCCACTTCTTTGTTAGCCCTTCTTACATTCCAGACTGGAGCTTGAACCTGGTAGGTTGTGTACCTCAGATCACATGGGTCAGAAATGACAGAGCCAGATCTCAAACCTGTTTGTTCAGCTCTTTGTATTTATCTAGTACTTCGTAATTTATAAAGAAATGAGCTTTTGCTATTTCATTTTAACCTAGGGACTCAGATATATATGCAGCTTCTGTCATCCTATTATGAATCAATAAAGTTGATACTCCAGATAGTGAATAGATCAGCTAGGAGTAGAGGCACCCAACTCTCCACCTCCCCCACTGCCTCAGTTCATTTTAGATTGCACTCTTGCTCATCTTAACCTAGTAAGCAGTAGCTTTAGGATAACATTTTTTTAAATAGAACGTTTGGTTTGGTTTAAATAGCAATAGGTTTCAGAAATTAAGACTCAAAATCAAATATAAAGCTTTTTTTTTCCCTCTAATGACTTAAAGCCAGATGTTCTTTTTAGTCTTAAGTAATTGTAATTAAATGTAATCATATAAAAATTTCAGGGCCAGGCATGGTGGCTCATACCTGTAATCCCAGCACTTTGGGAGGCCAAGGCGGGAGGATCACCTGAAGTCAGGGGTTTGAGACCAGCCTGGCCAACATGGTGAAACCCCGTCTCTACTAAAAATACAAAAATTAGCTGGGCGTGATGGTGGGCGCCTGTAATCCCAGCTACTTGGGAGGCTGAGGCAGGAGAACCACTTGAACCCGGTAGGCAGAGGTTGCAGCGTGCAGAGATCATGCCATTGTACTCCAGCCTGGGTGACAATAGCGAAACTCTGTCTCAAAAAAAAAAAATCGAATTTGTTATGGGTATCATGAACTCAGCTATAATTAGTAGCTATTCCAGCTCCCTCATATTTTAAAGCATTAATATTAAAGGAAAGGCAGTTATGGAAGTTACAGAGTATATCAGGGAATTGACATGAGAAAAGCATTCCAGTTCAGGGGAGGGTGTTGAGCTGCCAGTGGGTCTACCACTCATTGTGTCTGTAGACTGAGTAGCTTTTGATGCTAGGCAGAAGCACACAGCCGTCAACAGAGCAGGTTTCAGACATGGGTTGTGTTGTAGACTAAATTACCTGGAGAGAATTGAAGGGCCTGGGCCCCACATAAGCCGTTTACATTTGAATGTTTTTTTAAAAGACACTTTGAGGCCATTGAGAATGGATCTATGAGCTGATTCCATTTATAGCTTTTGGACTAAATGTTGTCTGTCTCTCTGAAGTTCATTTGGCTAGGTATAGAAATTTTATACCTTCAGAGGCTGGGTGCTGTGGCTCACGCCTGTAATCCCAGCACTTTGGGAGGATGAGGCAGGTGGATCACCTGATGTCAGGAGTTCGAGACCAGCCTGGCCAACATTGTGAAACCCCGTCTCTACTAAAAATACAAAAATTAGGCGGGCGTGGTGGTGGGCACCTGTAATTCCAGCTATTCAGGAGGCTGAAGCAGGAGAATCACTTGAACCCAGGAGGCAGAGGTTGCAGTGAGCCGTGATGGCGCCATTGCACTCTAGGCTGGGCAATAAGAGCAAAACTCTGTCTTAAAAAAAGAAAAGAAAAGAAAAGAAAGAAATTGTGTACCTTCAGAAAAGAGGGACTATTAGGGAACTCGGAACTGTGAGAAACCCAGACCCTGTACTTAAGGAAGTTAAAGGATGGATGAGACATTGACTCAAAGAAACCAAATACTATGAGATGATGGGGCTATGAAAATTCAGAGAAAGGGGAGGTCATGGTCAGCTCAGATTATCAAGGTAAGATTCCTGGAGGAGGAGGATTGATAATGATTTGTAAGAAAGGCCCAGCTCTTGAAATATGAAAAGAATGATTGCTTAGGAGACTGGAGGGTCAGCCTGCCTTGATAGTTTTTGTGGTAGATAAAATGATTTATTTGTTCATTTGCCAAATACTCACTGAGCATCTGCTGTCCTCCAGGCATACAGCTACTGAGGATACAGTGGTAGATAAAACCCAACAAAGATCTCTGCCTTGGTGGATTTCAAATAATTAGAAACCATGAGTGAATTAAGGAAGTTTTATAAGTAATAAGGTATTATATGCTGCATATATATAGGTATACATACAAGCTTTGTGTGTATGTTATGGGCTGAGTCGGGGGGATTAGGAGTGGCAGGGAAGGGATTTCTGTTTTGAGTGGTGTCATCAGATTAGGCCTTATTGAGAAACTTGACAGTTGATGGGCAAGCACTTCTAGGTGCTGGAAACAGCCAGTGCAGAGGCCCTGAGGCAGGAGTATGACTGACATGTTCAGAGACAAGGGAGTAGGTGGGTGGGCTGGAGCATAAATGAGTCAAGGGAGTTAGGAGCATAAAGTCAAAGAGATCATGGTGACCAAATCACAGAAATTCTTGAAAGCAGTCCAGAGGCCTTTTTGCTTTACTCTGAAATGTGAAATAATTGCGGGACCTTGAGTTGAGGACTGAAGTGATCTTCCTTACAGTTTATCAGGGATCACTCTGTCTACTGTGTTAGAGAGAGTAAATTATAAGGCAGCAAGGTCAGAATCAGGGAGACTTGGTGTGGAGGCTGTTAGGTTAATGCACGTGAGATATGGTGGCTTGGACCAGGGTGTCAGCCGTGGAAGTGAAGAGAAATGGTGAAGTTCTGGGTGGAATTTCAAGATAGAGATAATGGGCTATCCTCACAAATAGTAAGTTTAGAAAAATTTGTTATATTTTATGACAAACTGAGGAAGAAAGAACAGCAAAAAAGAATTTCATAGTGTCCCAGAGTAATTATATTTAACTTTGTTTTCTGTGTAGTTGTAGTAATTCATCTTCTGTGCTGCCTGTCATACAATTGAATCTATTGTTCAACATTTGCTATTACATTAAAGGTAGTTTTATTTGAGATTAGAAAGCCATACCCAGTAGCAGGTTCAGTTCTGAAGCAGAAAGACTTGTGGCCTCAAGAAGCAAGCACACTGCAACAAAGATAAAATGACAAGTCACAATAATGATGCAGGCTCCCTTTTTGGATTTCTGCTACCAGAAGTACACATGGAAGTAGCAAAATGCAATTATATTGTTTTCTTTTACCTCAGGTATAAAAAGGGATGGATATGTCTGTTTTGGATTTGGGGTTTTTTCAGTGAATTTCTCATCACTGATACAAAGCATTGAAAAGGAAGGTGTGATTATTTACTTTAGCTCTGAGGCTTCAAGTCTCAGCTGATATTTCAGTCCTTGGCATTGCAGATAGATTTTTGTGGCCCTCACTGTCTTTTACTCTTTCCCACCCCCCTCCCTGCTTTATGCAAATAGAAGGGAGAAGAGCTTTGTGTGAACTTCAGCTGCACTTGCAGCTGTGTCTGCGTTTGGTGTCTTGGTGTTGAAAAGTGCTCTGTTGTGTTAGATTTCGCTTGGATACGGCTGCTTTATACATACACAGTGAAGAGGGAGAGGAAGGCAGGGTTTTTGAAAGCAGGGGAAGTGGGGGCTCAGGATGTGTCTTCAGAGCAGGGCCATAGGCAGCCTTGTATGAAAAACTGGGTTCGCTGGAGCCTATTTTTTTGTTATTAAACATATGTGTGTGATATTTTAAATTTTCAAATCATAAATAAAAAGTTCTGGCCAGGAGCAGTGGCTCATGCCTGTGCACTTTAGGAGGCTGAGGCGGGCGGATCACCTGAGGTCAGGAGTTCAAGACCAGTCTGGCCAACATGGTGAAACCCCATCTCTACTAAAAATACAAAAATTAGCTGGGCGTGGTAGTGGGCACCTGTAATCCCAGCTACTTGGGAGGCTGAGGGAGGAGAATTGCTTGAACCCGGAAGGCGACCACTGCACTCTAGCCTGGGCGACAGAGCAAGACTCCGTCTCAAAAAAAAAAAAAAAAGAGAAAAGTTCTCCTACTTCCAGTTTCATTTCTATGGATGATCACTGTTAATAGTTTGTATCTTTCAGAACATTTTAAATGTGTTTATACATGATCACAAAGTCATTTTTATATACTTGGATTATCTTATAAATATTTTTATTGCAACTTGTTTTTTCCCCCATTCAGGTTATCTTATGTAACTGAACATCAAAAAGAATGCCTTGATGACCATCCTTACACATGCATACATACAGTATTCTAGGACAGATTTCCAGATGCCTAATCACTGGGTCATTGGTTAAGTGCATTTAAAATATGACCAGTACTGGCAATTTTCTCTCAGAAATTCCTAGTTAACATTCTTTCTGATTGCCACAAAAGTGAATGCAGTCTTCAACTTGATTTAATAAAAATAAGGTATCTAGAACAAGAAAAGTTATTTTATTTGCATGACGAGGCCAGTACATGGTGGCAAGCTCTGCTGCATCTGCCGCAGAACAGAGATGGCCCTTATGGAGCCAACTGGTAGCCTGTTATTTGGGCATTGCTCTCAACTCATAGGACATGTTTGGCCCCACATTGGAACTTTTGGTTTAAACTGGGTTCTCTTTCAGGTTTATGTATGTGTTTAATCACTTATCCTTTCTAATTCTTCTAATTACTTTTTTTAAATTACCTTCTAAGTTTTAAAATGACAGATGAAACTCAGAAAATAAAGAGGATAATACAGGCTAGCTCATGTTGTAGGCAAGGAAAATTGGGCAAATTTTTCTTCCCAGCTTGGCCCTCTCATCCTCTTATTAGTAGATTCTTTTTTTCTTTCCAAGGTTAATACCTTGATACTAAGGTAAGCCCTCAAAGAAAGGCTAGTTTGGTTAAAAGCAGAACCCAAAATTCAGCTAGGTAATGCAGAGACCAGAATTTCCTTTTAGAGTCACTGCTCCCTCCAGTAGCAGTTCAGCTTCCTTATAAAGCATATCTTGACCTAAATTCCATAGTTCTTACATAACAGTAGGACTACAGCCAAGCTGTTCAGACCAGTAGTCACTCAACAAAAACAGATAAGAGGATGTTTTCTGGCCACCTCTTAAGCAAATTCAGAGTCCTAAATTCCTAGAAAGAATGATTAGAAGAAAGCAAAACCAAGGATCTGTAGCCAGAATATTTAGATTTCCCACCCCACCTTTTACAGTCATTTTGCCTCTTACTTACTAATCTGATTAGTCTTCCTGCAGAACTGGACTTCCAGAAGATTCTCTTGCTGTTTACATATTACATCTCCCTTCTCATCATGCACACAGGAAACTGAACCAGGCTAGGCTTTACCCTCTTCAGATTACCTTTCCCAGAAAATGAAGAGCCCACACTAGACTATTAGGACCATGGTAGAACCCTGTCTTGCTTGTTCCTGGTAACCCTCAACCTCTCTCAAAATGTTTTGTTTCAGAAAATCTCCCTCTCCCTAAGGAAAGTCTACAAGCCAGTTACCAAAATCCAGGACATAAGCTATACCGTTTACTCTCTTTATTTGTTCTCCTCTTAGCCTGCTCATGCATCTTTTCTTCATACTGTGTTCATGGCCTGTCTTCCCACACCCCATCTGTCCATGGAAATACCCCAGTTGCTACTCCTATAACCAGTGATGCTTCTCACTCAATTTCACAGGGATTTTCCCCAGTCGGCCCTCTGCCAAAGGCCCAGATTTTTAGGCTAATTCTCATGCTTATTCCATCTAGTTTTTGCAAATAATAGTGTGTAGTGTTTATCCACAGAACTTGCTGCCCCCAAAAGCAAAAATGTTATACTTCCCTAACCTATTAAATGCCTCAGAATAGTGCTATTGGACAGAAATATGTGAGCCATATATATAACTAAAATTTTCTAGTAGCCAAATTAAAAACAGGTGAAATGATGTTTTACATAATCCAGTATATGTAAAACCTACATATATACATTGTTTCTATATGTAATTTATATGAACAATTTTTCATATTAAGTCTTCAAATTTTACTGTGCATCACCAACAGCACATCTCATTTCATGTTAGCCACACTTCAAGTGCTCAGTAGCTGTGTGTGGCTTCTAACTGCTGTATTGGACAACACAGCACTAGAAAATGATTCCCAGTGACTTAGATTTTTCTATCAAAATGATGGGATGGAGATGTTATTGAAAAGAAGTGGGTTTATTAACCCTCCTTATGCTTATGATTTTTATACTACTTTCAGAGATCTGGATTTTCATTTTCCTGCATGTTCAGGTTGATTTTCTTTATCATCCCTGAATTAAATTAATTTAGGATAGGCTTCATTCTCTGAACTAAACATATAATACTGTATTTCTCTTTATTCTCATTTGGGTGCCAGAAAGATTATCTTGAATATTGAAATGCTTGTAGTCGTTAAACTAAGATTCATGCAAATTTTTTTATAGGCAACTAAAATATTCCGTGAATGTGTCACCAAGTATAATTTTGGGTACTTGAAAGCTAAGATTTGCAGTGGCACTGCCAAAGTTCCACATAGAGAAATGCATATCTTTGCAGCTAAGGCCACGTCAACTCATGCAGAGTAATTTAACTCTGGTGTTATGTTCTAAAATAGACAGTAACCATGAGAGTATCACATCCAAAAGAGAGCACATAGGAAGGTTGGGTGAACTTGAAATGTTAACATCTGAGGAACTATTACAAGGACAAGAGAGGCTCGTTTTACCTGGGGAAGACTCAGACAGCCATAGAAAGTATTTTTAGATATCTAAAGGCCTGCCAAACATAGAGGGGATTACATGTGTCCAAGTGAGCCCAAAGAGCAGTAGCCCTACTGCGGGAAGATTGCAAGGAAAGACTTAGACTCAACATGGAGAAGACTTTGACCATGGTAACAGATGTCCAAATGGAAATATGCTACTCAAGAAATAATGCCTTTGTTCTCACTGTAGAAGGTGCAGGAAGTGAGGTGGTGATGTCAGTGTGATGGGATAGAGGTAATTCAGGCATTATGTAGTTGTCCTTTGTGTTATCCAATCCTGAAAGCCTCTTCTGGTGTCATTTCTCTTCCACTTCCTTTGCTTACAGCTAGAACAACAGAGGCAGCAGTTGCTTACTGAACGCCAAAACTTCCACATGGAACAGCTGAAGTATGCTGAATTACGAGCACGACAGCAAATGGAACAGCAGCAGCATGGCCAGAACCCTCAACAGGCACACCAGCACTCAGGAGGACCTGGCCTGGCCCCACTTGGAGCAGCAGGGCACCCTGGCATGATGCCTCATCAACAGCCCCCTCCCTACCCTCTGATGCACCACCAGATGCCACCACCTCATCCACCCCAGCCAGGTAAGAGGAAGGCCCTGCTCTTGGAAAAAGCTTATGGTCACTACAGAGGCACAGAGCATCATTGGGGCCAACCACACAGTTGGTGTTTTCTGATGAAGACTGCTCAAAATTTTCATTGTCATCTAGAAAATTGTAGGCATGTGAGATTTAGGGTTATCGCCACATGAAGCCTTCCATGTTCTTTTTCTCTTGGTATGATGCCTTTTTGTTGAGTAGGTCAGCCTCTGATTGGACAGTAATATCTCAGAGTTCATTCAGAATTTATCTTGGATTATTGATACCGTAAAAAAAATTATAGACATTTTCAAAGATAAATACACACAACACAGCAAACTCCCATGACCTGGTTTCAACAACCATCATCTTTCTGCCACTTTTACTTTTTGTTACGGAAATCTTCAAACACAGATAAAGTAGAGAGAATAGTATGATAATCCCCCATGTACCTATTGGACAGCTTCAAAATTATCAACATTTTAGAGTCTGTTTTTATCTTTTCCTCCTCACTTTGGGAAATGAGATAGACTTCAAATGTATCTCTAACCAGTGGGAGTCTTTTTTTTTTTTTTGAGACGGAGTCTCGCTCTGTCGCCCAGGCTGGAGTGCAGTGGCGCGATCTTGGCTCACTGCAAGCTCCGCCTCCTGGGTTCATGCCATTCTCCTGCCTCAGCCTCCCGAGTAGCTGGGACTACAGGCGCCCACCACCATGCCTGGCTAATTTTTTTGTATTTTTAGTAGAGACGGGGTTTCACCGTGTTCGCCAGGATGGTCTCGATCTCCTGACCTCGTGATCCGCCCACCTCAGCCTCCCAAAGTGCTGGGATTATAGGCGTGAGCCACTGCGCCTGGCCGGGAGTCTTATTCTTTACATAACTATCATCACCATCAAACAAAAGTAATCATAATTCCTAATATCATTTGTTAAATATCTTTTGAGTGCTTAGTTTGTTTGAATCAGTATTCAGTTAAGATTCACACATTTGTTGACATGTCTCTTAAAAATCTATGTAATAATTCACCTTCCCTTTTTTGTGCCATTTATGTGTTGAAGAAACCAGGGTTTTTCCACAATGTGGCTGTGCCTGATTGTACACCAGAGGTGCATAGTGTCATGTCATATGTCCTTCTAACCCCCCCACACAAACACACATTTCCTATAAACCAGAGGATTGCTCAGGTTCAAATTCACACTTTTTTTTTTTTTTTTTTTTTTTTTAAAGACACTGTCTCGCTCTGTTGTCTAGGCTGGAGTGCAGTGACATGATCATGGCTCACTGCAGCCTCAACCTCCCAGGCTCAATCAATCCTCCCATCTCAGCCTCCTGTGTAGCTGTGACTACAGGTGCATGCCACCACACCTGGCTAATTTTTGGTTTTGTTTTTATAAAGATAGGGTTTCGCCTTGTAGCCCAGGCTGATCTTGAACTTCTGGGCTCAAGCAATCCTTCCGCCTCGACCTTCCAAAGTGCTGGGATTACAGGCATGAGCTCTACCACACCCAGACAAGATTCACTTATGAGGTCAGGCATTCTTGTAGTGTCAGTTTTTCTTTTTGTGGTAATTAAGATTGATCAGTAGTTCTGGTGTTGTCAGTCGGATCATCCATTATAAAAATCCCCATTCGACTAAATTGTTTTAGAATTGAGCGTTCAGAATTGCTTCTTAAATTAGCTATTTTAGGCCGGGCGCAATGGTTCATGCCTGTAATTCCAGCACTTTGGGAGGCCGAGGCGGGCGGATCACCTGAGTCAGGAGTTCGAGACCAGCTTGGCCAAAATGGCAAAACCCTGTGTCTACTGAAAATACAAAAATTAGCCAGGTGTAATGGTGCACATCTGCAGTCCCATCTACTCAGGAGGCTGAGGCATGGGTATTGCTTGAACCTAGGAGGCGGAGGTTGCAGTGAGCCAAGATTGTGCCATTGCACTCCAGCCTGGGTGACAGAGCGAGACTGTGTCTCAGTTAGTTACCCTGAAAATCAGTTCTTATAGGAAAGCCTGGATAAATGCTTCATATTTTCCCTCTATTGGTTATCTGTATAATGAGTTGCTGCCCCTCAGTAACCAAAGGTGACCAGCAAAGGGTTTTTTTGTGTATATTTTTAATATTGTAAAATTATAAATTTTTTAATATTTTGTGTGTTTCAGTCTATCATAGATACTATTTGTGTTTCTTGTTGCTTCTTAAAAGAGGTTGGGTCTCACTGAGTTGCCCAGACTGGACCCAAATTCCTGGGCTCAAGCAATCCCCCTGCCTCAGCTTCTGAAGTAGCTGGATTATAGGCACGTTCCACTGTGCCTGGCTTTTTTTGATGCTAAAATTGTCCCATTTGTAGCTTGTGAGAACTGTTTCGAGTTGGCTATTGTTTACTAAATTTTAACTACTTTGGAAGTTGAACTCATAGTTCCTTCAAGCTTAACTGCCAGCATCATTAAAACCTAAGATGTACTTTTAATTCCAGTTCACCCCCCAAACCCCACATTCCTTCTCTTCTTAGAGGGCAATATATATGGGTGTGTGCTGTGTTTTATGTTAGTCTAGTGAAAGTCATCTTGTAAGATTTTTATAGTTTGCTTATCCACAGTAATATACCAAGTGCTTAGAGCCAAAGTTTGTGCTTTTGGGGATGGGATGCAAATTCTCTGTCCAAGTCACGGTATTATCAACACACTTATTCACAACCCAAAATATATTTTAGGCTGTAGTTTTAGTAGTTTTTATTGACTTTACCGAAAAACAGGGCTAAGTTTACTTTGGGAAGCTTTCGTTTACACACACTCACAGGATTAATTTGCAATCATAAGAATTACTACCATCGTCAGACTTGCCACTCTAAATGACATTTGTGGAGATAGCCTTAGAAGTTTACCCTGCTCACAACAAGGTGCATTCTTTCTCAGTCTTATTTCTGTCTACTTGAGTGGATCTTAAATTCTTTGTATGGAATCAGATTTTCTCCAGAGTTAAGCTTTCAAAAGATACAAATGCTTAAGAGTTCACATCTCAAAGTAATTTTTCAAGAACAATAGTTATTTAAAAATTAAATTCCTAGGCCAGGCTTGGTGGCTCACACCATTAATCCCAGCACTTTGCGAGGCCAAGACTTGAGGATCGCTTGAACCCAGGAGTTTGAGACCAGCCTGGGCAATATAGAGAGAAGCTGTCTCTACCAAAAAAAAAAAAAAAAAGTAGCCAGGTGTGGTGGTACTGCATACCTGTAGTCCTAGCTACTCAGGAGGCTGAGGCTGGAGGATCACTTGAGCCCAGGAGTTTGAGATTGCAAGTGAGCTGTGATTGTGACACTGCACCGTTACACTCCAGCCTGGGCAACAGAGTGAGACCCTGTCTCTGAAAAATAAATAAATAAATAAAAATTCAGTTTCTGAAATACTGGGATAAACTTTTAAGAGGAAGTTTACTGTAGCTACTTGGTATTTGGCTCTTGATGGTGCTAAAGCATCATATTCACATTAACTGCTCACAGAACATCTAAGGAGTGCTAGCATCTGCATTTACTTTGTAAAAGATGGGCAGAGAGGTGCGTCTACTTTCTTCCCTAAATGAGATTTTGATGATAATGGGTGTTTGTATGCCATGCCCCTCACCCACATTGTTTCACTTATTTCTCATTCTCACCTTACAGTTGAAGAACTGATGCATGGCAAGGCCGCATAGCTTTGCTGCATGGTAGAGCCAGGATTCACACTGAGCTCCATCTGATTCCAAAGTGAGGCCAGTGCCACAGTGCTGCCTCCCGTGACGGAAGACTAAGGGGATTTATAGCAGATTCAGATACAGCTATTCTAGTGAAGCAGTTCCGCAAACTAGAGTTCATAAAAATAGTCTTTGGAAGAGAAATAGGTCATTTTAATCTTTTTACTTTCTCACAAAAATAGGCTTTTCTAAAGTGAATTTGTAAAGGAAAGAATTATTGAGTGCAGTGCATGATGAGAGGTTTTTTTTTTATTTTTAGTCTATGACAAGATAGTCTCATGATTTTTTATTGAAATAAAATGTACATTTTGGATAATGCACAATCATAAATATTCAGCTGAGTTTTTTTTTTTTTTACTTCCTTTATACTTGCAGAATTGATGAGTTTTAACAGAGAATATTCATGTGTAACCAACACACAGAGGCCCTCATCATACTGAGTCACCTTCCCTTCCAAGGATAACAACTGTCCTGACTTCTAGCGCCGTAGACTAGTTGGGCTGGTTGAATGTTATCTAAATGTAACCACAATTACATTTATTATGTCTGGCTGCTTTCCTTGTTTTGTTTTGTTTGAGACAGACAGGGCCTTACTCTGTCACCCAGGCTAGAGTGCAGTGACATTATCAGGGCTCACTGCAGCCTCAACCTGCCAGGCTCAAGCCATCCTCCCACCTCAGCCTCTTGAGTAGCTGGGACCACAAGTGCACACCACGACACCCCACTGCCTTTTAAATTTTTTTGTAGAGACATGGGCTCACTATATTGCCCAGGCTGGTCTTGAACTCCTGGGCTTAAGTAGTCCTCCCGCCTCCGCCTCCCAAAGTGTTAGGATTACAAGCATGAGCCACCATGCCCGGCCACATCTGGCTTCTTCCACTCAACACTGTATATCTGAGATGTGTCCACATTATTGTTTGTGGTTGTACATTTGTTCCTTCTGTTTGCTATACAGTGTTCTGTGGCTGTACTATTTATTAGTCTGTTCTGTTGGACATTTGACTGATTTCTGGATTTTAGTTATTATGAATAGTTTGTGCTGTTGTGAAATACATGAGCACGTCTTTTGATAAGACATATATGTACATTTCTGTTGTATATATCCCTAAGGTGTAGAATTGAGTATTTATGAACCTAAGAGTGGATCATAGGATATGCATATGTTCAGATTAATAGATGCTGCCAAACTTTTTGCAAAGTGGTGGTGCCTGTTTACACTCTAGCAGTATGTGAGAGTTCCAGCAATTCAAGATAATAATTTTTCCAAATTACCCCTTTTGTTGGGTTGCTTTGGAGTTTGAATATAAAATCAAGTCTGTTAAAGAGTAAAATTAAAAGCAACAGCACATTAGGCTGGGCGCGGTGGCTTACGCCTGTAATCCCAACACTTTGGGAAGCCAAGGCAGGTGGACCACTTGAGGCCAGGAATTCAAGACCAGTGCCTGGCCAACATGGCAAAAGCCCATCTCTACTAAAAATAGGAAAATTAGCCGGGTATGGTGGCACACACCTGTAATTCCAGCTACTCAGGAGGCCGAGGCACGGGAATCGCTTGAACCCAGGAGGCAGAAGTTGCAGTGAGCCGAGGTCATGCCACTGCACTCCAGCCTGGGCAACAGAGTGAGAGACCCTATCTCAAAAAAAAAAAAAAAGAACAACAGTAAATTAAACCCACTATTTTAAAGTTACCAGTTCAGAAAAAGCTGGTTCTAGCACGTAGGTCTGATAGACCATATTCTAAAGGTCAGCTAAAAAGGACTTTCAAACCAGGGCAAGTAAGATTGTCCGTAGCATTTTGGGGCCAGAATGGCTTTAGTCTCTGAGTTGCCACAGGGTAAGGTAAGAACTATGAGCAGGTCCTTCCAACTCATGATTCCTAAGTTCCAGAAAAGTTAACAGGCCACAGCTTACATTGGGAGCTGAAGATTATCTGGGTCAGTTGGCTGTCTTTGGTATTTGGCTCGACTTTATGATATATGATGGGAATAATCAGCTTCTGAATGCCAGTAAGGTTGGGGAAGTGCTGAGAGGAGGGACTAGGCAGATTTATTACCAAGTGGTTAATTTTTCATCTCTCTGGCCTCTGTATAAGTATGCAGATAAGTTACATGTAATTCTTCTCTACAAAACTCTCCATCAGTTAGTGGTAGAGCCTGTTAAAGTAGCAGCTTGGTATTATGAATCTGCTAGGCTCTTAAACACTTACGGACTTCTAGGTATGAATGTAGCTGGTATAAGCTGGCACCTGTACATATTCCATTTAGTTTGTACCGATACCTCTGTAAGTTCTTCAGCCCCTCTGCCCTGTCCCCTACCTTTGATTCATCAAATGCTTATAATTTTTGTTTGGAGACTACTGCGTGCATGCCTCTATTGCTCTTCCTTGGCTCTTATTATTTGGTCCTACTCCTAACTCACCTGATAACTCCAACTTTTGGTAGATTTTGTTCCTGTCTCTTATAGTGTCCCAACTTGGTTTCTTCCTACCAAACAAAAAGACACGGGAAGTATCTGTAGTAGAATGTTTCTGGTATCCAGTTGGCAAATGGAAACTGAGGTTGGCCCCAACTGTTCTTAGACCACCTTTAGGTTTTGTTGATCTTAATGAAATACACAGCATTGCATTTCATTCCTTTTCATTTAAACTATAAAATTATATCAAATGATGCCTACATTAAGATTCTCCCTATAAGACTGCCATTCCAGATGGCAAAAGGTGAATAGTCATAATAGAAACCAATTCTTAAGCACATGTGTGGTATTCCCTTGACCACACCCTGGGCCATGGTATCTGTTAATATGAAAGCACATGGGGAACCACAGAGGAGAATGGCCTAGGTGGTGGCTGCTGTTTGCTGAGGTGTGCTGCTTACTCAAGCAGGAGGGCACCTCTGACTGCTTGGGATCTCCTTTTTTTTTTTTCTTTTTTTAGACAGAGTTTTGCTCTTGTCACTCAGGCTGGAGTGCAATTTTGTAGTCTTGGCTCACCTCAACCTCTACCTCCCAGGTTAAAGCAATTCTCCTGCCTCAGTCTCCCGAGTAGCTGGGATTACAGGCACCTGCCACCATGCCTAGCTAATTTTTTTATTTTTGGTAGAGACAGGGTTTCACCATGTTGGCCAGGCTGGTCTTGAGCTCCTGACCTCAGGTGATCCACCCGCCTCAGCCTCCCAAAGTGCTGGGATTACAGGTGTGAGCCACTGCACCCGGCGGGATCTCCTTTAAGTTGAGATGGTCAGGACTGTAGGAACTTCAGCACATGTTTAAAGGAAGATTACCTATCATTAAGTTAGAAGGAAATGACAGAAATCTAGTGTATAATTACAGTGGTAAGCTCTGCTCTCCATAGGCATGGATGTATTTTAGTAGAGACAAGGTCTCACTATGTTGCCCAGGTTGGTCTCAAACTCTTGAGCTCACGCGATCCTCTCGCCTTGGCCTCCCAAAGTGCTGGGACTATAGGATTGAGCCACTAGGCCCAGCCCGTCCTAGGCATTTGTAATAAATGAGGCACTCTTGAACATTCCTGCCTCATGGATCTTAAGTCAGCTGCCTGCACTGGGGAAGCCTTCGTGTGTACTCTATGTGTGAAAGCAGAAGGAAAGAACATGTTTGATTTAAATATTTTCATTGTTTCCTCATTATTAATAGTGGAAGAATTTTTGGAAGTGCCTTGAAAATCAGAATAGAATTGGTCTGATTTGATGAGAACTCAGACATAATACAATGGTATTCTAATGTTAAAACTAGAATGGGC
The DNA here is from genome assembly GCF_000001405.40 of Homo sapiens. Classification (NCBI taxonomy): domain Eukaryota; kingdom Metazoa; phylum Chordata; class Mammalia; order Primates; family Hominidae; genus Homo; species Homo sapiens. The sequence goes on along the minus strand of NC_000003.12, from coordinate 47,602,594 downwards.
TGGAAATGATGGCTTACGCCTGTAATCCCAGCACTTTGGGAGGCCAAGGCAGGCAGATTGCTTGAGCTCAGGAGTTCGAGACCAACCTGGGCAACATGGTGAAACCCTCTCTCTACAAAAATAAAAAAAATTTGCTTGGTGTGGTGGCGTGTGCCTGTGGTCCCAACTACTTGGGAGGCTGAGGCAGAAGGATCACTTGATCCCAGGAGGTCAAGGCTGCATTTAGCCAAGATTGTGCCACCGCACTCCAGCCTGGGCGATAGAGCAAGACCCTGTCTTTTAAAAAAACTGGAACTTTTTTTTGAGACAGGGTTTTGCTGTGTCGCCCAGCCTGGAGTACAGTGGTGCAGTCATGGCCCACTGCAGCCTCGAATTCCTGGGCTCAAGCAATCCTCTCACCTCAGCCACCTGAGTAGCTGGGACTTACAGGCATGTGCTACCACACCCAGCTACAGTTGGCTTTTTAAGCCCCTCACACCTACTTACACAACCCTACCTCATGAGAAATAAAGCTCAGGAAAGGATTACAACCAATCACCACTTTCTAACCCACCCCTGGACTCAACCCCACACCGAAAAAGAAAAGCAATAGCCTGGCCGGGCATGGTGGCTCATGCCTGTAATCCTAGCACTTTGGGAAGCCGAGGTGGGTGGATCACCTGAGGTCAGGAATTCAAGACCAGCCTGGGCAACATGGCAAAACCCCACCTCTACTAAAAGTACAAAAATTAGCCGGGTGTGGTGGCAGGCAACTGTAATCCTAGCTACTCAGGAGGCTGAGGCAGGAGAATCGCTTGAACCCAGGAGGCAGAGGTTGCAGTGAGCCGAGTTCACACCACTGCACCACTCCAGCCTGGGCGACAAGAGTGAGACTCCATCTCAAAAAAAAAAAAAAAGAAAAAAAAAGCCGTAGCCCATCACATCAGCCAAGATTTTATTATCTGCGGTGCCTTTGGTCCTACTTACATGCTACTTTCCGGAGTAGCCATGCTACTTTCCGGAGTAGCAGGTTACCCTCACAAAGAGAACAGTGAGGGCCCAGTCTTCAACAAAGAGAGTCTGTCACAGGCATCCCCAGGAAGCTGCTGTGGGGAAGGCACAGTCTCTGAGGAGCCTGGGCTTCCCCTCACTTGGCCCTGATTTTGTTATTTCCATTCTCCAGGAGACTCAGCCAGAGGATGTGCTATAGACAGTTAGAAATGGATTGATGAAATGTGCTCAAGACTGGAAATTCACAGGTTCCCTTTCCTAGATTCACTTTCTTTTCCTACCCTCCTTTCCCAACCCAAAGTATAAAATTAAGGTCCTTTACTAATATTCCATTAAGTGTCATGAGTGTAATGCTTTAGTAAAAGATACAATAAACCTGAGAGAGAATGAGGGATTTTTCTACTAGTTAAACCTAATTTTAGCAAAGCTTTTAATTTTTCAGGCTTCAGATGCCTGCTGTTTAAAAAAAAAAAAGAAAAAAGAAAAGAAAAAAAGCTTGTATGTAGGTCAGACTCCCACCATTCTAAGCTTTTGATACTGCTGTTTTGATGCCATGTCTCTCTCTCTCTCTCTCTCTCTCTCTCTCTCTCTCTCTCTCTCTCTCTCATTTTCTTCCTCTCCCTGTCTGCTGGGAAAAAATACCTGATTTTTTTTTTTTAATGGAAAAGACATACATCCTTTACTTTGTTTGCTAAGGCCTGTTCCTATGCATTTCAGATTTGTGTGGGCCAGATCTCTTAATGTTAGTAAGAATTAATGGAAATGCAGACACTGTTGTTCATTTAAAAGTGGTGAGACCTATATCAGACACCACAAAAACCCATAAAGATGTTTAGACTTCTTAAGGACAAGGGTTGCTTTGTGCGAAATTGATTTTGTCTTCTCCTGAGTCTTCTTAAATTCTACCCCATTTCAGATTTCATCCTTGGAAGTTACCTTTTCTAAGGGGAAAGTTACTCCTTAGAAAGGAAGGTGGGGTAAAGGAAAAGAGAATGGACCTCAGGGTCAGAGAGACCTGGATTTGAATCTCAGCTCAGTCTCTTGTTCATTGTGACTTTGCGCCAAATTACATAGCTTCTCTGAGGCTTAGTTTCCTTATCTCAAAACTAGGCCCTTACCATCATCTTACTAACAACCTGGAGACTTCAGAGAGATAACTGTCAAATCACCTGGCACGGTCAACCCTTACTCAACCTTATTCTTACCTCCTTTCCTGTCTTTTCTCTAAACCCACTGCCCCAGGTACACCAGTGCTGAGTTGCTTAGCATCTGACAGAAGGAACCTCTGAATGGCAAAGGGACATCATTCACTCTTAGGTACCTCTTGCTTTCCTGAGAGATGTTTGTTTTTGCAGGGTGCCATAAGCAGAAGTAAATTGCTTTTCCTCTAGACCTTCATTTTTGCTGCCAAGGAGCCGTTGTCCTCTCATACTCAGAACACCTGTATCCCAGTGGCTTTATGACCTTGTTTGTGACAATAGGATAAAGAATCTTTTTCACAAGGCTTTAGAATTTATAATAAATGAAAAGAAAGGTTTTTTTAGCTGTTGGGCTAACAGCCTTGGAAAACCCTAAAGCTGCCCTATTCCAGCTTGTATTCATAAAGATGTAGGGTAATAGGTAAATGGGCCACTGCCACTGAGCAGATAGCTTTGGAAATAGTACTACTGGGCCTAAGAGCAAGAGCCTGCAGGCATTTCCCAGTGCATGATAGGTAGACATCACTTTGTGGGTGTTTGTCAATCAGCCAGTGATGCTCCTCTTTGCCAGATTATTTCTTGAATAGTTGATTTCTCTGCTGGAACATATATTCTGAATTGCGGGTTCAGAAAGTAATTTCTGTCTGGAGCTGAGCATGGGGCAAATAATGGATCAATCAGTTTGGTGACACCAGGGTTTGCATCACGTCGTCTCTGAGCACCTGTTGGACCCCTCTCCCCCAGACCTTGATTGTCAGGGGTGCACACTGGCTGCAAGCACCATCTCTAGAATCAGAGTACCTGTATCAGATCTGAGCTCCCTCATTTACATGCTTTATGACATTGGGCAAGCTACTTAATCTTTGTGTCCTTCCCTTTCTTCCACAGGGATAATAGTGCCTGGTTTATAGTGTTGTTATGGGGATTGAATGAGTTAACATTTATAAAACTCTTAAATATAGTGCCTAAGGCATAGCACATGTTTCCTACGTAGTTTCCTGAGGCTGCTATAATAACTTTTTTGAGGCAGAGTTTGCTTTTGTCGCTCAGGCTGGAGTGCAGTGGTGTGATCTCTGCTCACTCTAACCTCTACCTCCCGGGTTCAAGTGATTCTCTTGCCTCAGCTTCCCAAGTAGCTGGTATTACAGGCATGTGCACTCCTGGCTAATTGTTGTATTATTAGTAGAGACAGGGTTTCACCATGTTGGCTAGGCTGGTCTCAAACTCCTGACCTCAGGTGATCCGCCCTCCTCAGCCCCCCAAAGTGCTGGGATTATAGGTGTGAGCCACTGCGCACAGCCTGTCAGAATAACTTAAAACAAGAGAAATGTATTCTTACTCTCTGGGAAATCAGGTCCAATATCCAGCAAAGCCATGCTCCTTCCAAGGTATATAGGGAAGAATCCTGTTCCTTGTCTCTTCCAACTTCCGGTGGCTTGCAGCATTCCTTGTCTTACGGCCACGTCTCTCTTTGCTCCATCTTTACATCACCTTCTTCTCTCTCTGTCTTTGTCTCTGTGTGTGTGTGTGTGTGTGTGTGTGTCTCTCTCTCTCTTTTTTTTTTTTTTTTTTTTTTTTTTGAGACAGAGTCCCTCTGTAGCCCAGGCTGGAGTGCAGTGGCGTGATCTCAGCTCACTGCATCCTCCACCTTCCAGGTTCAAACTATCTTCTCCTCAGCCTCCCAAGTAGCTGTGACCACAGGCATATACCACCACACACAGCTGATTTTTATATTTTTAGTAGAGACGAGGTTTCACTATGTTGGCCAGGCTGGTCTTGATCTGCTGACCTCAAGTAATCCACCCACCTCAGCCTCCCAAAGTACTGGGATTACAGGCATGAGCCACTGCACTGGGCCACATACATAGCTTTAATCAATAAAATCTCAGGAAACCAAAGCTCAGGGATTGAGAGAGAGAGGAGGAGACCTGTGAAGGGCGGCAATATGTTCTTCCTAACTTGTTTAAGGCCTCTGTCCAGGTCGGACTTGGTGGAAGCGAGCAACCTGTACCTGTTGATAAACATGGGCAGCATTATTTCTCCTAGTATATGGCTTCCCTTTGTCACAACAAGTCCATTAGGAGTGTTCTTTCGTCTGCAGGCTAGAATATTGTACTTTTTAGTTTTAAAAGTAGGCCTCCTGTTTCCAGCAGCAACAAAATCATCTCCTGTTGTCCTTCACGCCACCTAGAATACCATTAGAGAATCATTAGTAGTGATTTAGAGTGTGGAAAACAAAGCATTGCTTTTATTAATGGCCTAGCAGGTGATGTGGGGTAGGAAGAGAACAAAAAAAGGGCTTCCAAAAGGGAGCTGGGACAGTACCACCTTAAAAACAAAGGTGCCTCTTTGGCAGTTTGTGGAGAATCTTAGAATAGTAAGTCTCTGTTTGCCACTGCTCTATTTGAAACTCTGGGAGTTCTATACCTTCCCTTCACCGATACCTCTGTATTTCACTATATGGCTGCCCAGCCTACATCTGTTCCCAAAGCAAAAAGTTCTGTGTCCTCTTCACGTCATCCCATCTTCACACTCCCAGCAGTCAGATACCAAACCCAAATTCATTTTCCATCTCAGCTCCATGCTCGCCCTTCCTTCTTGCTCTGTCTCCAATCCCGAGGATGCCTCTTTTTACAGAACCTGTGGCTGGGCACAATAGCTCACACCCATAGTCCCAGCAACTCAGGAGACTGAGTTAGGAGGATCATTGAGCCTAGGAGTTTGAAACCAGCCTGGGCAACATAGCAAGGCCCCATCTCTATAAAAAATTAGCTGGCGTGGGCCGGGCATGGTGGCTCACGCCTGTAATCCCAGCACTTTGGGAGGCCGAGGCAGGCGGATCATGAGGTCAGGAAATCGAGACCATCCTGGCTAACATGGTGAAACCCCATCTCTACTAAAAATACAAAAAATTAGCCGGGCGTGGTGGCGGGTGCCTGTAGTCCTAGCTACTCGGGAGGCTGCGGCAGGAGAATGGCATGAACCCGGGAGGCGGAGATTGCACCACTGCACTCCAGCCTGGGCAACAGAGTGAGACTCCGTCTCAAAAAATTAAAAAATAAAAAATAAAATAAATAAATAAATTAGCTGACGTGGTGGTGCACACCTGTAATCCTAGCTACTCAGGAAGTTGAGGCGGGGGCATCACTTCAACCCAGGAGTTCACTGCTTTAGTGAGCTATGACCATACCACTGTACTCCAGCCTGGGTGACAGAGCAAGACCTCATCTCTCTCTCTTTTTTTTTTTTTTTTTTGAGACTGAGTCTCGCCCTGTCGCCCAGGCTAGAGTGCAGTGACGCAGTCTCAGCTCACTGCAACTCCTGCCTCAGCCTCCTTAGTAGCTGGGATTACAGGTGCGTGCCACCACGCCTGGCTAATTTTTTTATTTTCATCATGTTGGTCAGGCTGGTCTCAAATGCCTGACCTCGTCATCTGCCTGCCTCGGCCTCCCAAAGTGCCGGGATTACAGGCAGGAGCCACCGCCCCTAGCCAAGACCTCATCTCTTTTAAAAAAATAAAATAAAAAAAAAAAGAAGGAACTTGCAGAGTGCCATCTCCATCTCCTATTCCTTTCTGTCTCATCAGCCTGACATTCAGCCCATACTTCTCTGCAAAGGCACTTTTTCTCTGCTCTAGGCACTAACTCCTCTGCATCCCTTCTTAAAGCTTTCTATCCTAGCTGGGCATGGTGGCATGCACCTGTAACCCCAGCTACACAGGAGGCTGAGGCAGGAGAATCACGTGAGCCCAGGAGGTCTAGTCCAGCCTGGGCAACGTAGCAAGACCCCATCTTTTTTCTTCTTCTTCTTCTTATTTATTTATTTATTTTTTTTTTTTTGAGACGGAGTCTGACTCTGTCACCCAGGCTGGAGTGCAGTGGCATGATCTCGGCTCACTGCAACCTCCGCCTCCCACGTTCAAGCAATTCCCTGCCTCAGCCTCCCGAGTAGCTAGGATTACAGGTGCCCACCATCACACCCAGCTGATTTTTGTATTTTTAGTAGAGATGGGGTTTCACCATCTTGGCCGGGCTGGTCTTGAACTCCTGACCTCTTGATCCACCTGCCTTGCCCTCCCAAAGTGCTGGGATTATAGGCGTGAGCCACCACGCCCAGCCAAGACTCCATCTCTTAAACATTTTCTAAAAAATTGCTTTCCATCCCACAGAAAATTAGGTTCAAGCTTCTCTTCTTTTCAGAACCTTTCACTAAGTCCTCTGTAGCCTTACTTTTGAAGTCCTCACCCCTTGTTCTACATGCATGACTCCTTTTTGAATTAATATAGCCCTTTTTCCTTTGAATCATGACAGACCCAGCAGTTTTGTTTTGTTTTGTTTTTGTTTTTGTTTTTGGGAAAGAAAAAAAAAAAACCTGGCCGGGTTTGGTAGCTCACACCTGTAATCCCAGCACTTTGGGAGGCCAAAGCAGGCAGATCACGAGGTCAAGAGATTGAGACCTTCCTAGCCAACATTGTGAAACTCGGTCTCTACTAAAAATAAAAAAATTAGCTGGGCGTGGTGGCACGTGCCTGTAGTTTCAGCTATTCGGGAGGCTGAGGCAGGAGACTCACCTGAACCAGGGAGGCAGAGGTTGCAGTGAGTCGAGATCGCCCCACTGCACTCCAGCCTGGGCAACAGAGTGAGACTCCCGTCTCAAAAAAAAAGAAAAAGAAAAAGAAACCTTTATAAGCCTCGGTGTAATACAGATGAAAGATAGTAAGGTACCACAAAAGGGTATGGTATTTATATAGATGCTGCATATAAATGGTACCTCTCAGTAATAATGGGAGTGACATTAACATTATTTTCTGATTGTTTTAACTTAGGCTTGGCTGTGTGTTTATTTTATTTTATTTTATTTTATTTATTTATTTATTTTGAGACGGAATTTCACTCTTGTTGCCCAGGCTGGAGTGCAATGGCTCATTCTCGGCTCACTGCAACCTCCACCTCTCCGGTTCAAGCGATTCTCCTGCCTCAGCCTCCCGAGTAGCTGGGATTACAGGTGCCCACCACCGCATCTCGCTAATTTTTTTGTATTTTTAGTAGAGATGGGGTTTCAACATGTTAGCCAGGCTGGTCTCGAACTCCTGACCTCAGGTGATCTCGCCTCGGCCTCCCAAAGTACTGGGATTACAGGCGTGAGCCATCGCGCCCGCTTGGCCATGTGTTTAAAAAAAATTTTTTTTAACCCGTACACAAACTTTCCTAGCAGATTATTCATAGTAGCCAAAAAGTGAGAACCGCCAGATGTCCTCTTCAGGCTGTGTGGTCCATCCACAGCAGGGAGCACCACCCAGCACTGAGAGGAACAGCCTGTGGCTGCATACAGAACCGGTGACTCTCCAGGAAATTACCTGGAGTGAAAAAAAACCAATCCCAAAATGTTGCAAACGGTGCTTCCACTTATGTAACATTCCTGCAACAACAGGTCAGAGATGGAGAATAGAGGAGTGGCAGCAGGAGTCAGGATGGGTTGTAGGGATGTAGGTATGCAGATCTTATCAAGGTCTACCTGCTGTGCTGCAGCATATCCCCTGGGGGTGGGCCAAGGCACCCAGGATTTCTATTATTTCTTACTGGTTTGTGGATCTACAAGCATGTGGCCTCACAGTCCCGCCACAAGGATGCCTGAGTCCTTGGGTCCCTGCTGTCCCAGGTGTTTTTAGGATTAGTCCTATCCCTAATCCCTTTCCTTCACTTTACTTACATCTCATCCACAATTCCAAGTTACTCACAAATTTTTATTGATCAGCTGGAAAGTCTTCATTTTTTTTGGCTTGCTCCTTCCATAGTTTTTCCTTGGTTTGCCTTTCACTCCTTTATGTGCACTCATCCCTCGTATGCCTTTAGTGTTCTTGCCATTTGTCCCTTTTATCCTGAATCAGTCCCTAGATTGGCAGACTCTTCAACACTGCCTATTTCTGTCCTAGATACACGGCACAAGCACAAAAAGACAAAAATTAATGATGGTCAGTTGGTCCTAGTCGCAGTGTTCACATAGGAGTAGATCCAGCAGCTGCTCTTGATTTTGCCAAAGTGATTTGACCAAGTTATTTTCCAGCAAGCGGATCTCTGAGACTCCTCTGCTAGGCTTTGCGTTACATTATAGAGTGCAGAAAGATGGGCCACAGGGCCCAAAATTCTCTATTATGTACATTCTGGGTCATAATGTTGATGTACTTTGCTTTAAAAAGTAGTCCCTAGAAGACTGGACTACCCTAATTCCTATTTTTTTTTTTTTTTGGAGTTTCATTCTTGTTGCCCAGGCTAGGGTGTAATGGTGCAATCTTGGCTCACTGCAACCTCCACCTCCCGGGTTCAAGCAGTTCTCCTGCCTCAGCCTCTCAAGTAGCTGAGATTACAGGTGCATGCCACTAAGCCCAGCTAATTTTTGTATTTTTAGTAGAAATGGGGTTTCACCATGTTGGTCAGGCTGGTCACGAACTCCTGACCTCAGGTGATCCACCCACCTTGGCCTCGCAAAGTGCTGGGAATACAGGTGTGAGCCACTGTGCCCAGCCCCTTATTCCTAATTCTCATACCTCATTGTAGTTCTCTTCATTGACACCCCTGAAGTAAGGGGCTCCTCTCTCAGGTTCTTAGATCAAGGAACAGCCACTGGAGATAGGCAGGGTGTGGTTTGAAGCTTTGTATGTCTTTGTTTAGATAGACCTCTTTCTATAGTGACAGAGAGTCTGTATTTGAATTATCTTCAGTACTGCTTTGTGTATTGTAATTTGGTCCAATCTCCAAATTTTTCAAGATTAAGCATTCTTATTTCTAGCTGTCTCAGTACTGTCTTCTAACCTATATTCAGTTTCATAGTTGTCCTTACATAGATAGTAAAGTCCCTAGATTTAAAGAAAAACTACATTGATTCTCTTTTTCTTATTCTGTAGAGAATATAATTTGTCCTACATAAAAAAATTTCAGGCCAGGCGCGGTGGCTCACGCCTGTAATCCCAGCACTTTGGGCGGCCGAGGCGGGCAGATCACTTGAGGTCAGGAGTTCAATACCAGCCTGGGCAACATGGTGCAACGCTGTCTCTACAGAAAATGCAAAAATTATCCGGGTATGGTGGCGCACACCTGTAATCCCGGGTACTCGGGCGGCTGAGGCAGAAGAATTGCTTGAACCCAGGAGGCGGAGGTTGCAGTGAGCCAGGATCGCGACACAGCGAGATTCTGTCTCAAAAAAGAAAAAAAAAAAATTAAAGCCTTGATTGTTTCCATTAAACTATTCTTCTTAATTTATTACTCTTTAAAACCAAGACTACGGCCAGGTGCGGTGGCTCACACCTGCAAACCCAGCACTTTGGGAGCCTGAGGTGGGTGGATCACTTGAGGTCAGGAGTTCAAGATCAGCTTGGCCAACATAGTGAAACCCCGTCTCTACTAAAAATAAAAAATAAAAAAAAGAGCCAGGCATGGTGGTGCACACCTGTAGTCCCAACTACTTAGGAGGCTGAGTCAGGAGAATCCTTTGAACCCAAGAAGCAGAGGTTCCAGTGAGCTGAAATCGTGTTACTGCACTCTAGCTTGGGTGACAGAGCTAGACTCTGTCTCAAAAAAAAAAAAAAACAAGACTACCAGCCTGGGAAACGTAGTGAGACCCCATCTCTACAAAAAATTTAAAAATTAGCCAGGCATGGTGGTGCTCACCTGTAGTTCCAGCTACTTGAGAGGCTGAGGCAGGGGGATCGCTTGAGTTTATGTGGTTGAGGTTGCAGTGAACTGAGCTGTGATTGCACCACTGCACTCCAAACTGAGTAGAAAATGAGACTCTGTCTCAACAAAACAAAACAAGCCCAGCAGCCAAATCGCTTGGTTTAAGAACTAGTGAATGTTTACCATCATATCCAAAGCAGGGATCGCCTACAGCCTAGGTTGAAATCTGGCTCATCAATTGTTTTTCATACAGGTTGTAAGCTAAGAGTGGTTTTTATAGTTTAAATGGTTGGAGGAGGATATCAAAAGAAGAATAATGTTTTATGTCTCATGAAAAATTTGTGAAATTAACCTTTTAGGGTTCATAAATAAAGATGTATTTATTAGAACACAGCCACGTCCATTTGTTGTGTATCATCTGTGACTGCCTTCATGCTTACTTTGCAGAGTTGAATAGTTGTGACACAGACCATATGGCTGGCAAAGACTAAAATATTTACTATCTGGCTCTTTATAGAAAAAGTTGGCTAAACATTCTAAAGGGTCAGAAGGCTCATTGTGAAACTGAATACAGGAGGTATTTTAGTGTTCTTCAGTGTTCAATACTGCTTTCTGTATTTTAATTGCCAGTTAGCTATCAAATGGTCCCATCTCCACATTTTTCAAGATCAAGCTTTCTTATTTCTAGCTGTCTTGGTACTGTGTTCTAACCTATATTCAGTTTCATACAGTTGTCCTTACATAGATAGTAAAGCCCCTGGATTTAAAGAAAAAAACTACATTGATTCTCATATGATTCTCATCTCTCAAATGATTCTGTTAGTGTTCATGTCCCTCAGTATTGAACAACAGTATTGAATACTGTAGGGTTTTCTGTCACTAATTAGAAAACAATAGGAAGAGTGGCTCACGCCTGTAATCCCAGCACTTTGGGAGGCTGAGGCAGTCTTACTGCCTGAGCTCAGGAGTTCAAGACCAGCCTGGGCAACATGGCAAAACCCCATCTCTACTAAAAATACAAAAAAAATAGCTGGGCGTGGTGGTGGGCACCTGTAATCCCAGCTACTTGGGAGGCTGAGGCACGAAAATTGCTTGAACCCAGGAGGCAGAGGTTGCAATGAGCTAAGGTCATGCCACTGCACTCCAGCCTAGGCAACACAGTGAGACTGTCAAAAAAAAAAGAAAGAAACAAACAAAAGGAAAGGAAGGGAAAAGGAAAGGGAGAAAACAGTAGGAAGAGATGGAGCTGTCTTTGTTTTCCCTTATGAGTCTATCAGGCCAGTGCTTCATAGTGGGCTCTTAGGAATGATTTTTTTTTTTTTTTTAAATGAACCATACATGAGGCTTTTAATGGGAGAAATATTTGTGGACAGGAATTGGGGATTCAAATCAGAATCCCCTTTTAATGGTGATTTCACAGTAATAATACCCTTTCAGGCAAACCTTCCCTGTAAGCCATGGAGCACAATCTGGACTGAATTGTGGTCCTTTTACTGACTTTTACTTACTGACTTCCTTTTAAAGTCCACTTCATTCCCTGTGGGCTGTGCTTGGCATTGTATATCCTCAGGAAGACATTTGACAATCTACTGCTCACCCAAACTAACCAGAGTGAGTGCTTTATTTTAGGGGACCTTTGCCATTTCTTTTTACAGCCACCTTCTTGCCAGTGTTTAGAATAATCAGTCATTCCACAGACCTACCCCCATTAACACCCTTCTTCCAAAAAACCCAGAATACAAAAAGCTAAACATAGAGATTATTACAGATTATTGCTCTGTTGATATTTCAGATCCTTTGGAAGGTTGGATATTTGTATTTAGGAGTTGGATTTAAGTTGATCCCTTTCTTACACCCCTTTCTAGTATACTTACAGTACTTTAAATCTCCCTCCACAGGTCAGATACCAGGCCCAGGTTCCATGATGCCCGGGCAGCACATGCCAGGCCGCATGATTCCCACTGTTGCAGCCAACATCCACCCCTCTGGGAGTGGCCCTACCCCTCCTGGCATGCCACCAATGCCAGGAAACATCTTAGGACCCCGGGTACCCCTGACAGCACCTAACGGCATGTGTAAGTAACATGGAGGGGGGATGCATTATCTCAGGGTCCGTTCTGGAGGGCTGTAGATAAGGGAAGGAGGCTTTGTTCTCTCCCCGAGATTTGGCAGGTCCATGGATGATGCAGTCTGTGACAGTGGCTTCTCAAAGACCAGTTTTCAGTCTGTGTTCTTCAGCACCCCTGATGGACAGGTGCACAGGTGACAAAATGCTTCTAATCAGGGTTGTGCCTTTATGGCATGCACTGTCAGCATTGGGGCCATAAAGATATTCCTCTCCCACACCTGTTTAAGCCTGTCTTGTTATGACTCTCAACAGACATGTAGAGCTACTGGTGGTGGTTTTCCCTACAGCAGCCTTTTGTGGATACAGGGTTCAAAAGTGATGCGTGTAAAGAAAAGAATAGAAGTGAGTTTAGAGCTGGAATTACAAATATGTTTCTTATAGCCATTTTTGTTATATTAGTAGTGGCTGTGTAGGCTAAGAAAGTAGTATTCAGGGGCTGTGTTGAGAGGAAATACGAAGTTCCAGCAAGCTCAATGAGGACAACACTAGTGCTGCTAAGTGATACTTGTCTGAGGCTGTGTTTAGAGACCAGGTCATTTCTCCCATAGGCTCTTGCTCGGCTTCAGCCTTGGCCTGAGGGTTGTTTCTGAGACCCTGGCCTGCCTTTTACTCCAGAAGGCCTTCCCAGTGAGGATGATGCTGAAATGCAGCCAGTAGTAGGTCAGGTACCCCAGCCACATCTGTAATCTTAGGTTCATGTAGAAGTTCACGTGTGGCCAAAAGTTTAGCTACTATTTATAGTTCAGAGAGATAGGAAGCATAAGAATTCTTGCTCTGTAGGAGCTTTAGTTGAGAAAACAAGAAATGAAAACTTGGATAGAACTTAGCAAATGAAGGCATATAGAACTTACCAAAGGTTACATGAGACTGTGATGTGCCTTAAGTACACTCTAATACTCTGGGAGGCTTCATGGACAGAGACATGTCTGACTCTTCTCTGGCCCCCAGAGTCTGGGACAAAGTAGGTGCACAGAAGAAAGACACTAATTTATCTAGGTATATAAGATCACAACAACTTTTTAAAATTATCTCCCTTAAGCTAGTGGTCAGTGGTTGTGTAGTACAGTAGGTACCTCTTTTTCTTGGCAAGAAAATGTTTGCCAAGCCACCCTGTGGACCATACATAAATGAGCTCGCCTATCAAGAGAGTTGACCAGTTTTCCATCCCTATTGCAGAGGTAGTATCACTGGTCTTTACCAATTTACCACTGTCATGTCCTGCTGGTCACCCATGTTTTGTACTTCAGGATTCCTTCCCAAAGGGACCTCAGTAGAGCTCCTTGAGAATGTGGAGGGTTTCAGGTGGAACCTTCCCACCTGCTGCCTGGTTCCTGCCATAAGTCAGTGCTCTGGAATTCTGAACCATGTGAATTGGTTCTAGGATACTAGGTAGGCCACACTGGATGAGTTGCTTCTCCACTTCAGCCCTTCATTTCCTCCACTGAAAGATGACACAAGGGATTAGATCAGTGAGCTTCAGAATGCTTTCAAGAGTCTTAAGGGTTTGGTAGAAACCTCTTGGGCATAGAGTTGGGTGAATTGATTGGTGAGCAATGCTGCACTTTATTTCATATGTTTTCAATTCTGACAAGATCTAGGGGTTTTTAAAACCCGGATTAAATGATCTCTCGGGTTCTTTTGTACACTAAAGCAGGTAAAGTTGAAATAGGAAAGAGTCCCAGACACTCATACTAATTGTTCCCTTCAGGACATGACCTAGTTTGGGCCAAAAATCGAAGGACTGCAGTTCAGGAGCTGTGGAGGCCTCCCTGGACTATCCAGTTTGTCAGCAACTGCCTCAAGTGAAGCTCTCTGGCCCTGGTGGAGACATTTATATAGCAAGAATTTATTGATAATCTATTTTGTGCCCAGCTAGGCTAGGGACTGTGGGGGCGGGGGGGGGGCGGGAAGAAAAACAAGACATAGAACTGTCCCAGGAAGGAGCTTATTTTTTAACTGAAGAAATAAAATTAGAACCCTTGAAATACAATGCAATCAAAATTAACTTCTGAAAGGGCCTGGAGCGATTCTTGGAAGGAGTTGGCCTGGAAGGAGGGTGGGGGAAATTCAGACACCTCCCACTCCCCAGCCACTAGGGTTAGGCTAAGCAACTTGAGCAGTGCCCTAGAGGTTCAGAAGGAATTGACTTGCATAGACCACAGTGGAATCAATGCCTCACAGGGTGCATTGGTTGCCTGCCACTAAGGAAAGGACTTCTGTGTCTTTTTTTCACTGAATAGGCTCTTTCCTGAGTCTCTTGTATTTCCAGCAATAACGAGTTACTCTTGGATATGTTTGCAGATCCCCCTCCACCACAGCAGCAGCCACCGCCACCACCACCTGCAGATGGGGTCCCTCCGCCTCCTGCTCCTGGCCCGCCAGCCTCAGCTGCTCCTTAGCCTGGAAGATGCAGGGAACCTCCACGCCCACCACCATGAGCTGGAGTGGGGATGACAAGACTTGTGTTCCTCAACTTTCTTGGGTTTCTTTCAGGATTTTTCTTCTCACAGCTCCAAGCACGTGTCCCGTGCCTCCCCACTCCTCTTACCACCCCTCTCTCTGACACTTTTTGTGTTGGGTCCTCAGCCAACACTCAAGGGGAAACCTGTAGTGACAGTGTGCCCTGGTCATCCTTAAAATAACCTGCATCTCCCCTGTCCTGGTGTGGGAGTAAGCTGACAGTTTCTCTGCAGGTCCTGTCAACTTTAGCATGCTATGTCTTTACCATTTTTGCTCTCTTGCAGTTTTTTGCTTTGTCTTATGCTTCTATGGATAATGCTATATAATCATTATCTTTTTATCTTTCTGTTATTATTGTTTTAAAGGAGAGCATCCTAAGTTAATAGGAACCAAAAAATAATGATGGGCAGAAGGGGGGGAATAGCCACAGGGGACAAACCTTAAGGCATTATAAGTGACCTTATTTCTGCTTTTCTGAGCTAAGAATGGTGCTGATGGTAAAGTTTGAGACTTTTGCCACACACAAATTTGTGAAAATTAAACGAGATGTGGAAGGAGAACCTCAGTGATTTTATTCCCTAGTGAGGCCTCTGAGGGCCTCCACACTGCCTGGCAGAACATACCACTGAACTAGTATGTGCTAGAGGAGGGCACAAACATCCGCTCCTTCCCTAGGCCTGCTGGCTCTGGTTTTCTATGCAGATGATTCATTGGATTGGGGGTGAGTGTTTTGTTTTTCTGGGGGCAGTGTGAGCTTTGAGGGTTGGAATATTGGGAGGCATTCCTTAGTTTCCTCAACTAGCCTGGAAAGTTAGGAGTCTAGGGTAATTACCCCCAATGAGTCTAGCCTACTATTCACTGCTTTGTGTGCATTTTTTTCTCCCTCTTTAAAAAACCCTTTAAAAGAAAAAAAAAAGTAGATAGTGCTAAATATTTTAGCTCATGAAACTTGGTTAGGATGGCTGGGGGTACAAGTCCCCAAACTACCTCTTGTTACAGTAGCCAGGGAGTGGAATTTCGTCAACCGGTACTTTTAAGGTTAGGATGGGACGGGAAAAGTGAAGCAGGATATTAGCTCCTTATACCTTCTCCCTTCCATTTCTGAGATCTCACATTCCATCTATCACAGGGTTTTCAAAGAGATGCTGAGGGTA
The DNA here is from genome assembly GCF_000001405.40 of Homo sapiens. NCBI lineage: Eukaryota > Metazoa > Chordata > Mammalia > Primates > Hominidae > Homo > Homo sapiens. Next base: position 47,586,993 of record NC_000003.12, on the reverse strand, counting down.
ACAAGGAACTCACTTGGCAGTCAGAGCATCATGCTTTGAGGTTTGGGGTGCTCAGGCTGGGAGGGTAGAATGCCATTCCAGAGGACAAGCCACAAAAATGCCTTAATTTGAGCTCGTATTTACCCCTGCTGATAAGTGACTTGAGAGTTCCCGGTTTTTTCCTCTTGTCCTTCCCTCCCTTCTGTCCTTCCATGTGTGGGGAAAGGGTGTTTTTGGTAGAGCTTGGTTTCCAAAGCGCCTGGCTTTCTCACTTCACATTCTCAAGTGGCAGTTTCATTATTTAGAATGCAAGGTGGACATCTTTTGGATATCTTTTTCTATATATTTTCTAAAGCTTTACATATGAGAGGGTATAGGGAGGTGTTTATAAAACACTTGAGAACTTTTTTCCTTAATATCAGAAAGCAAAAAAATAAAACCACAATTGAGATTTGCCTTTCAAACCCTCAGGTTTGCCTCTAACCAGGTGTCCCTGGTCACCATCAGAGTACTGGAATACGGGAACCGAGGAGACCTTGGTCCTTTTGTTTTTGTTCTGGACTCTTGGGAGTGGAAATGAGAATGAGTTTATTCCTACTGGAGCTTAGTTCCAATGCATTTGGCTCCAGAAAGACCCCAGTGCCTTTTGACAATGGCCAGGGTTTTACCTACTTCCTGCCAGTCTTTCCCAAAGGAAACTCATTCCAAATACTTCTTTTTTCCCCTGGAGTCCGAGAAGGAAAATGGAATTCTGGTTCATACTGTGGTCCCTTGTAACCTCAGGTCTTTAATGTGATCACTTTCAAATTTAAAAGATCCAGGTGGAAATATTTTTACTATAGTAATAATTCTACAAAATACCTGAATTCTTAACACTGTTATATTTCAGTATAAGTGGTGGCTTTTTCTTTTCATGTCTTTGATCTGGTTTTATTCCTGTAATTCAGCCACCTGATTTTGTGAGGGGGGGGAATAATATGTGGTTTTTGTACAAACATGTTTCTCAGTGTGTTGTTATTTTGGAAAAAATGAGGGGAGGGAGTTTGGCAAGAATGGAGAAAATGAATGAAGAAGGCCTAATCTCTCTCTTTTTCAGTGAATAAATGGAACACCATTTCTGGATTCTAGTCCCATTCTCTGCATTCATACACCAGTTTCTTCATATATCCTATGAAGAACCTAAACATTTGGCCCCACCTGGTCTTGGTTTGATCAGCAGTTAAAATTCTGTGACTCGGGCTTCCTTCCCGACTGCCC